>NC_000012.12:127397382-127699006 GCF_000001405.40 Homo sapiens | reverse complement strand
CTGTGCTTTTTGCGCAAAAATTCTTGAAATCTGAGTGGTACAATTCCATAACAGCTTTAAACGGCGTATTAGAAAATCATTTTAGGAACAAGAAAAATAGAAAATGTAAACAAAATAGAGTATCATGGAAACTGCCCTAACTGTGTCACTCAAGAACAAAATGTCTGAATATTTGAGTCATGTTTTTCATGCAAATATAAACCTATACATGTCGAATCACACAAGATTATATGGTTACAACAAGGATGCCTGAAATTGTTAAATCATTTTGATTTTCACTAACATTTATAAGATGATGTCACACATATCAAAAGTTACATTTTCAAACCAAATTTAACATGAAAAAAAAAATGAAAGAACATACTATGGTCCTTTGATGTATTACTTATGGGTACAGAGCCCCAGTGTATAGGATGGAGATGTATTTTAAAGATGGAGCTTCACTACAGGCTATGAATAGCTTTTGGGGCTGAGCTAAACTACAACCCACTGGAAGCTGTTTCAAAGCATATTCCTCATTGCCGTGCTATTTCTATCTCAGTTTTACAAGCCATTTTGAAGTCTTTTACAGACCAAATCAACACCTTTTAAACACATCTCCCCTACTGAAATCAATAATCCATTAGTGCAGTGAATTCTTTGGCTTCTCTAAACTTGAGAAATGGTGTGTCATTTTAAACAGTTTCAGCTGAATGACTTCTGCTCCTAACCTCTGGCCAGTTTTAAATAACGACTTGCTGCTCAAATAACAACAGGCGCATGCTGAGGCTAAAGTGTATTTTGGTAAAAGTCTAAACAATTAAAACTCATAAGAAAATGTTTTCCCTTGAAGAAATGAATTTATAGCATATAGAAATTTGTTTTCGTTGAAAATGGGTAAGCAAGTGCTGCAAATTTTTACCAATTAAATTCTGACCTTGTCTCTACAACTTCTACTTTTCTTCCTTAATGATATCTTGTTAACTAAAATGCTGATGTACAATTATTTGTATTGCTTGGCTTTTCTGTGTCCATCCTCTTTCATAAACCCTTAAATGAGAAATATATCAACTATCTCACTATCTTCTGAAAACCTAATGAGCAAACAATGTGAATATATTTCAAACACACACACACACACACACACACACACACACACCCTTGTGGAAATTATGAGTACAGACAAAATGTAGTTTTGCATTGTGGGCTTGAGTAATTTTATTCTACTCAAATCTGTGTTATCATTATAATAAAAATTTTTTCTTTAAAAAAAGACATGAAACTTAAAATACTAAATAAAAATTAAAGGGCGATAATATCTGACATGTGCAGAGATACGCTATTTTTCTAGTAACATTAATGTGCAGAGATATTTTCTAGTAACTAAGTATTAATTTTAATTTTTCTTTGGCTTCTTTTTTTTTGCTTGTAGAGATACACCAAAGCATCCTTGACAATGAATTGGGGTATATACATGATGCTATGACTTCCAAGGATTGGAATGAGTAACTATATCTGAAGTTCTGAGGCATTAGCAGTGAATGTATCCCACTTCTATGTAATATCACCCCTATTTTCTACCTGACAGTTTTATACTATTTTTGCTTTCAAGGCAGATGCTTGAAAAAACACAAACATCACTGCCACCACCATCATTACCTCAAATATCACTACCACCAACATCACCACCTCCAATATCACCACCACCACCATCATTACCTGGATGATCACCTCTAACATCATCATCACTTTCAGTATCACCACCACCACCACCATCATCACCTCCACTATCACCACTGCCATCATCACCACTATCACCACCACCACCATCATCACCTCCATTATCACCACTACCATCATCATCACCACTATCACCACCACCACCATCATCATCACCTCCACTATCACCACCATCACCTCCATTATCACCACTACCATCATCATCACCACTATCACCACCACCACCATCATCACCTCCAGTATCACTACCATCATCACCACTATCACCACCACCACCATCACTTCCACTATCATCTCCAAAACTATCATCACCTCCACTATCACCACCACCACCATCATCACCTGCACTGTCACCTCAACTATTATCACCACTTTCACTATCAACACCACCTCCATTACCATCACCTCCACAATCATCACCACCACCATCATCATTACCTTCACTGTCTCCATCACCACCTCCAGTATGAACACCACCACCATCCTCTCCACCACCATCACTTCCACTATCATCATCTCCACTACACCACCACCACCATTATCACTTACACCACCATTATCACCTCCACTATCACCTCTACTGTCAATTCTTTCACTATCACTACCAACCCCATCACCATCACCTCCACCAACATCATTCACTTCCACTAGCACCACCAGCAACATCATTACCTACACCATTACCTTCCATCACATCAGCACCCTTTACTATAATCACCACCACCCGCATCAGCCCCTCCCCTATTGCTAACACCACCACCATCATCACTTCCACTAGCACCACCAGCAACATCATCACCTACACCATCACCTCCATCCACATCAGCACCTTTACTATAATCACCACCACCGTCATCAAGCACCTCCACTATCGCTAACACCACCACCACCATCTCCAGCAGCAGCATCACCTCCACCATCACTACCACCATCACAACCTATGCAATCACCATTAATCCCACCCTCACACCATGAGCATAACCATCGTTCTTGTTTTGCTTTTTTTTCCCCTTGGATTTCTCCCAAGGGTCTGTCTAAGCCATTGTGCCTACACACAAACATAACACTGACTTCACCAGCAATACCATTCCCCAAAACAGATTGTGTTCATTCTGTTTCTCACTATAGCATCGGTAGGCATAGCCTTCCTGGACCCATTAGAGAAGAGTCCCCTCCCCACAGGAACAGCCTCCTTGCTCTGGTCTCCTGCTTTGAATCCTGACCTTGAAACAAAGTGACTGCATGACTTCAGGCAAATTATTTCACTACTTTCTGACCCTCAAGTTTCCCATCTCTAAATTCAGCATTCTGGAGTGGAAGATATCTTAGGTTTCTTTCAGCTAGAAACGTCTATATTTATAATTTTAATAAGGCACTATTTATATATAATCGGAAGAGTATATTTCAGTCTTAACGAGAAGAATTGCATTTCCTTAACTGGAACACTGAGAGATAAATATGTAAAAATCCACACTGTATATGTATACAAACAAATACAAATATTATATGGATATGTCACTAAAATTTTTTTCAAAGTTCTGAGATGTTCTGAGCTATTCATTCATGACTTTATGAATATTTACCAGGAATATCGCTTAGTTTTGCTAACCAACCCAACCCTTAGTTACTTCAAATGACAAAAATCGACTTGATTTCAATACTATAGGTTAGGGTTCTGGGCATAGCTCAGTTGGAACAGTTTGTCTGTGCTTCATGTGGTGTGGGCTGAGGTCACTCAAATATTCATGGTCAGCTGATAACCATGCTCATCTTCATTACTATACAAATAAATGGGAAAATGTAGTTCGTAAGGAGGAAAATATTTTATTTCAATCAATAGAAACAGACACTGGAATGACACAGATAATATAATTAAACCATAATAATAAAATAGCTGTCATACATATATATGTCATATATGTATATATATGATAGAAATAGTTATTATGTATATATGTATAATAATGATTTTATTATTAATATATTATATAAATAATATATTTTATTAGTAGTATATATTACATGTAAATACATAATGCATATTGTTAATATACAATATAGTATATATTAATATACAATGTATTGTTACTAATATATAACATAGTATATATTAATTTATATTTTATTATTAATATATTATATTATTACATTATATGCATATTTTATATGGTCAAAATGATATTGAAAAGTGTGGGTGTAAGTGGAGATGTGGAAACAAAGGCCCGAATTAAACCTCTAGAAATGGAAAATCATATATGTGTGTATACTCTAGGATTAATAGCACTGTCAGAAAAAACAGTGAACTTGAAGATACAGCAACTGAAAATTATCCAAAATGTAACACAACGATAAAAGCCAGGAGGAAATGAGCAAACCATCAGTGAGCTGTGAGACAGTATCAATCAGCCTGATGTATATTTAACTGAAGTCACAGAAAAAATGGAGGGGAGATGTTCGAATAAGATTTTTTTAAAAAATAAAATCTATACATCTGCAGTTCTAAGGAACTCAAGGATCCTCAGTTACAATGAACATGAACAAAACTATGCAAAGTTGTATCATAATTAATTTGTTGAAAATAAAAGTTAAAGAAAACATCTTTTAAAAGGATGCGTGGCCAACATGGCAAAACCCCATCTCAACTAAAAATATAAAAATTAGCCAGGCGTGGTGGCGGGGTCCCATAATCCCAGCTACTCAGGAGGCTGAGGCAGGACAAACTCTTGAACCCGGGAGGTGGAGGTGCAGTGAGAGACAGTTGCACCACTGCACTCCAGCTGGGTGACAGAGCAAGACTGTCTTAAAAAAAAAAAAAGAATCATTATGTACAGAAAGACAAAATTAACAATGACAGCACAATTCTCAGCAGAACCAGTGCCAGTAAGAGGGTGGTGAAGCGACTTTAGATTAATGCACAAAAGTATGTCATCCTAAAATTCTAAATCCCACAGAAATATTTTTCAAAAATGAAGGAGAAATGAAGATGTTTTCAGTTAGGTAAAAGTTGAGAGATTTAAAACCACCATACCACTGAAAGGAATATAAAAAAGTTAATCAGACAGCAGAAAATAAAAGCAACTGGAACTCTA
Organism: Homo sapiens; assembly: GCF_000001405.40. Classification (NCBI taxonomy): domain Eukaryota; kingdom Metazoa; phylum Chordata; class Mammalia; order Primates; family Hominidae; genus Homo; species Homo sapiens. The sequence goes on along the minus strand of NC_000012.12, from coordinate 127,694,198 downwards.
GTCTACAGAAAGGATTAAAGAATATAAGAAATAATAAATGCGTGGGAGAATTATAAAATGATTACTATTTCTTAAATATCTTTAAAAGATAAAAGACCGTTTAAGGAAGAAAAACAATTATTGTGAGATTTAGGCTTAAAACACAGAAATAAAATGTGTGACAGCAAGAGTATAAAAGTTGGGCAGGAAACATTGGAAAACTATTCCTATTAGTTTCCTGTACCATACATGGAGTAGTACATTATGACTTCATAGTAGGCTGCAATGAATTCAAATTATAGACTATAAATCTTAAATCACCCATCTAAAAATCGGGAAGCTAATAGGAGAATATGGAATTTAAAGTGGAAGTAAATAACAGTTAAAGTGTAAATAAAGGCAAAAGATGTTAAAAGGGAATAAAAATAATAGAAGATACATAAAAAAAATTAATAACAAGATGTTTGATTTAAACCTAACCATAGCAGTAACTGATAAAATATAAGTGGTCAAAAGATCACAATAAAAAAGACATAAATTGTGAAATTGGATATAAACAAGCAAACTATATGCTTTCTACAAGAAACTTAAATCAAAAAACAAAAACAAAAAACCCCCAAAAAACACAATGATAAACCCAGTGTAAATATAAAGACACAAGTTAGATTAAAAGAAAAATATAGGAAAATATTCACCCTGGAAATACTAATTTTAAAAAGCTGAAGAGGCTTTATTAATATCAGATAAGTAGGTTTCAGAAAAAGCACTATTGGTGTGAATTAGGGTCATTTCCTTATGAAAAATGAGCCATCGATTGAATGATACAATAATACCAAATGATTATGTACCAATAAAAGAGCTTCTAAATATATGCAGCAAACACTGGTGGTGCATAAAGTAGAAATAGACACACCCACAATTATAGTTAGAGAAAAAAATTACCAATAAACACATACTACAATAACAGTATTAAAATCAATGACCTGACTGTTTACGTTAAAACATCAGAAAAAGAAAAAGAAAGCACATCAAGTCCATCAGAAACAGAAAAAAAAAAAAGTAATAAAAAATAGAAGTCAATAAAGTAGAAAAGAGAAAAAGAAATAGAGAAAAATCACTGAAACCAAAAGAACATTTGTGCCAATACTCAAAGTTGGACTAAGGTTATTTTAGTAGAGAGACGTTTTCCTTCCACTATAATGTGTGGGTTTTACAGCCAATAATTGTTGCTCATGCAATGAAACCTCAGCTGTAACAGTTTCCTCTTGATGCCTGCAGACCTGCATTTCCTTCATTGTCAAGGAAGGAAAAGCATTATGAAGTTGAAACATTTGATCTCTAACTGAACGTTTTTTCTGAGCATTTGTCTTTGGCCCTGATGTTCATGTTTCATCAGATCGTCAACCTTCTATGATGCAACTCCAGCTTGTGTCCCCACCAACAGACTGATGTTATTTGTTTACGGGATGAAAAACAATACCTGAGGTTTTTCCTCTGGAATTAATATGCGGTCCCAGCGGGAGAAGGGACAGTGAGCCTTTTGGGGCATCACCATTGTAGGTGTATAAAAACATTTCTCAGTCATTGAGTGTTTTGCATTTTGCTATAGTCAGAACTAATTTATATTTCATGTTTCTCACCCTCATTTTTGTCCACTCACAGCAGGAGCTAGCACTTTTTAGCTAAAAAATAAATTTTGGAGATGGGAGTCCAGGAAAATTCCCTTCCTGTCATTCTTTCAACTAAACAAGATTACCTATTGGCTGGGTGTTTCTTTCAATCTGTGTGAGATGCTTAAATCAGAGGCTTTTCTCTGACAGCGCCTGTTAATCAATTATCCACAAATAAATTTGTATTTTTGAAGTGCCAGGTAATTATAAATCAGATCCTAGGTTAAAAACAACACTAAAAAATGCTCCCCAGATTCAGATTTGATTGAGAAGTACAGACTCTGATGGCATTAGAAATAAATTTGCTGATCGTCAGGGATGACTTTGGAAAAGTATCCAAAATTTCTCCCTCTGAATAGCAATAATAATACTAGCAGTATACTGCCCTAGTTAGTAATTAGGAGATATTACAACCCACGATTTTTTTTTTTAAACCAGAAAGGTACAGAGATTAATGTGAAATGGAGAAATGTTGTCTACGTTAAGATGGAGAATTTAACGTTTAGTTTCCCCTACTAGAATGTAAGTTACATGAAGGCAGGTGGATGTACTAGTATCTAGCATGATGTTTCACAGAGGATGGTTAATGAATGTATTTGAAATTAAAAGCAAATGAATTGCATAAACTGGTTATGATTTTTTTTTGTTTATTTGCTTATTCAAGGACAATGTTACTTAGTTCTGTGGCAGATATGTTGCCCTGATATACAGGTGTCCACTTCCTCTGAACACACGGGGAGGGGCTGCACTTGCTGGCTTTCTTCAAGTTAGGCAGGGGAATTTTCTCTGAGTAGTTAATAATGTGTGAGCGGAAATTATCCACAGCTGGAATAATTTGATTGCTGGCATTTCACCCTCCACGCTCATTCCTGCAGTGTGATCACGGAAGCGTGTGCCAAGGTTGTCATCCATCAGACTGAGTCCCCGAGTGAATACAATCTGCAGGGCCTCACCTCCAAGACCAACCGACTGTGCATCTTTAGTACGACTGCAAAATAGTTCTTTGTTGCTTTAAGCAAGAGATTGGCAAACTTGTTTTTTTCTACAGACCCAGATAGTAAGAATTTTAGACTCTTCCCGAAGCTACTCACCTCTGCTCTTGGAGAGTGGTATCAGTCATACACAATCTGGAAACAAATGGGAATGGCTGTGTTCCAACAAAACTTTATTTACAATAGCAGTTTGTGGATTTGATTTGGCTCTTGGGCCATAGTTTGCCAAGCCCCACCTTACGGCACTGAGATTCGGGGGTTGTTAACACAGTGTGACCTAGCCCATCTTGACAAACACAACACCACAGTTTTCTAAACATGATGATGAATAAGGTGGTCTCTGACCTCAAGAAATTAGATGTCTAGAAGAATAGCTACTTAGTACTGAAGAGTTGATGCAAGGTGATTGGTGTAATGGATGGAAATCATCATCTACCACCACAGATTACGGAGGGTTTTTTTTTTTTTTTTTTTTTTTTCTGAGATGGAGTTTCATTGTTGTTGCCCGGGCTGGAGTGCAATGACAAGATCTCAGCTCACTGCAACCTCTGCCTCCCGGATTCAAGCAATTCTCCTGCCTCAGACTCCCAAGTAGCTAGGATTACAGGCGTGTGCCACCACACCCAGCTAATTGTTTGTATTTTTAGTAGAGACAGGGTTTCACCATGTTGGCCAGGCTGGTCTTGAACTCCTGACCTCAGGTGATCTGCCTGCCTCAGCATCCCAAAGTGCTGGGATTACAGGCATGAGCCACCGTGCCCAGCCCGGATGTCCTTTTTAAACACTTATTTTTTAATAATTATACTTTTTAATTTTCCATTGCATTGGGTTGTTGTGACAATCCCTCACCCATGGCATAACCAAGCCTTTTCTTCATACCATACTTTTCATGTAACTCTTATCTCGACCACCACTAAAAGTGAATATGAGCCCCGAGGCCCAATCTACCACCAACCAGGCCAGTGTCTCCTGCCTGCGCAGCAGGTGTGTTGTCCTAGTATTTGGTTCCTTCTTTATAGACAGGAACAAAATTACAAGAGACAGGTTTTATCGTTTGAATCATTTGCAAGTAGCATTCTAAGTCACCACTGATTTTGCAAGAATTGGGCACTATTCAGTGTGCACTCACTCATTTGTATATTATTACCATTTACATTAAAGTCTAAAATAGCTAAAAAAAAAATGACCGCAAGATGGCACTAGCGTTTCTATCTTGGCGGTGGGATTAGGTGCAATAATGATATTTCTCTGTGATTTTTGGTGCCTTCCAAATTTCTCTCTAATGAGCATGTATTACATTTGTACTAAAAAAAGCAATTTATATAAAAGGAAAAGCATTACCATTGTTATTCTTAATAAGCCTCTTAATTATTGGGTAGATATTACACATTCCACGCCAAGTTGCACACAACCAGAACAGTCAGTTTGTACAGAATTCTCTAGAGCTAGGATAGCAAATTACGCTTAGCTTCCATGCGCTGTCTCCCTGTACATGGTATTTGTCTTGGGTAATGTGGTGAGAGGAATTCAAAGACCAAAGCCTTGCCTCAAAAAGAGACGGGATTGATTAATCATGTCCGCTGCAGGTTTAGGATAGGTAAGCAAGGATGTACTTACTATGTGTTTGACTAGCCTGAATTTATAACACCATTATAAGGCAATAGTGATTAAACATCTTTACTGGTGCTAACAATAATGGAAGTCATATAAAGCTAATAACGAGTCTTTCCTTCTATCATAAAATTCTCATCACCCCGAATCTAATATGGGATGCTTAATACTACCAATATCACCAGATCCCAGAGATGCGACCACCTGTGGGGTAAAGGGTGAATTTTGAAGAAGTGAATAACATATCTCTTATTATCTCTGTATAAATAACACTGAAGACAATATTAAAAATGCAACTGCACATGTATTCATATATGCAAATCATGTTTCCAGCAAATAAATTGGGAAATTAAACTTGTCAGCTCAACCCTAAGCTAAAACTTACATGATTAATTCTTACTTCGTTTTCTTATAAGTAACATACAGACTATCAAAGATTTGGATCTTATAGGTTACTATGAAAATTGCCTAAGGAAAACAATACTTATAATTTTACATTTTTGAGGTCACTTTTGCATGATAGATAAGCAATTCAGTTACTTAGTTACAGGCGCTTTTACACAGAGTAATTTATTTTCTCTCATCTACATGATGCTTTTTCATCCTTCAAAATTATCTTTTTAATAGAGCATTATTGCCTTATAATTGACATATAATAAATTGCATATATTTAAAGTATGCAATTTGATAAGTTTTGAAATATGTTTATACCGCTGGAATTATTACCACAATCAAGATAATGAACAATAATAGCTTTCCCAAAAGTTTTCTTCATGGCTTTTTGTATTTCGTCACTCCTGCTCTAGGCAACCCTGGATTGACTTTCTGTCACTATAGATTAGTTTAAATTTTCCGTGATTTTGTGCAAATGGAAACACATGGTGTGTAGTCCTTTTGTCTGCCTTTTTTTTTCACTCAGTGTATTTATTTGGATGTTCATCATTTATGCTGTTGGGTGTACCAATAACTCATTCCTTTTCACTGCTGGACAGCGTTGCCTTGTACAGATAAACAGCAAAGTGTTTTTCTGTTCACATATTGATGGACATGTGGGCTGTCTCTACTCTTTTGGCTAATGCAAATAAATCTGTTGTGAACATTCACGTACAACTTGTAAGGAGATACCCTTTCATTTCTTTTGAGTAAACACCTTGAGTGTGACTACTGAGTCATAGGGTAGGTGTATAGTTAAGTTTAAGAAACTGCCAAAATGTATCCAACGTATTCCAAATCACGTACATTTTTACATTCCCACAAGCAATGTGTGAGAGTTCCAGGCCCTCTGCATCCTCACCAATATCTGGCATGATCAATCTTTCTAATTTGGCGTATTTTAATAGGAGGGTAGTGGTGTCCCATCGTGGTTTTGATTTGCATTTCCATGGTGAATAATGATGTTTAGCATCTTTATAAACTTTTTTTTGCTTTTTTTTTTTTTTTTTTTTGAGACAGAGTCTTGCTCTGTCACCCAGGCTGGAGTGCAGTGGTGCGATCTCGGCTCACTGCAAGCTCTGCCTCCCGGGTTCACGCCATTTTCCTGCCTCAGCCTCCCGAGTAGCTGGGACTACAGGCACCCGCCACCACCCCTGGCTAATTTTTTTTGTATTTTTAGTAGAGACGGGGTTTCACCGTGTTAGCCAGGATGGTCTTGATCTCTTGACCTCGTGATCCGCCCACCTCGGCCTCCCAAAGTACTGGCATTACAGGCTTGAGCCACCGCGCCCGGCCTACAAACTCTTATATTTCATCCTTTTCTCTTTTTATTAGATTAATGTTATATTATTTGTGGAAACATTTTACATATTCTGGATCCAAGCCTTTTATCAAAAAAAAAAAATGCATCATTCACAAACATTTCCAACCATCCTTGTCTTTTGATCAGCAGGTCTTCATTTTTATTCAATCAAATGTATTATTTTCAGAATCTGTTATGAATCATGCTTCAGATGTTATAGTAAATAAAACTTTGACTTCACTTCATACAATTTTATCCTAATTTTCTTCTAGAAACCTTATAGGTCTTTGATCCATTTTGAGTTGCCTTTCATGTATGAGGAGGTGTATGGGTAGAGATTGTTTGTTTAGTATATGGTTATTGAACTGCAGCAATTCTCTTTCCAGCTACTCTCACCTAGGAACTTCAGCCACTCTTATCTTCCTGGAATTCCATCTCTGCCTCTGCAACTGGAGATATCTAGGCTCTGCCAGTACCTTCCTCTTTACTTGGCAGCCTGGGAGTTTTCTCTTGGTAGTAAGCTGAAGCAATTGTAGGGCTCACCTCATTTATTTCTCCTCTCTCAGTGACCAGTTGCCCTGCACTGCCTGAGGCCTGAGGTCAGAAACTCTTGTTTCTAATATGTTTTCCTATTTGTTGTGTCAGCCAGGAAGGCAAATTCAGACCCTTTTATGTCATGCTGACCAGCAACAGAAGTTCTTTTTAATCCAAAATCTATTTTAAAATACATTCTCTATTAGGTACAAAAAAATCAAAGCAAATTCTAGAAATCACCAAGTCACATGCTGTCAAATGACTGGCAGTACAGCAAGTTCATCACCAAAGTATGTACATGGTGTGAGAAACTACTATCACATTTGGTCATGGTTAACAATGTGGCAATCAATCCAATTTCTAATATCAGTACGGGGAAGTAAATGCATTGATACTAGAGAAGGCATACGGAGTTCAGGTTGAGATTTAAGTTTTCCAAATTAGTTTCACATCAATTGCATTCATTCTTTGGGTAGGGTGATCTTCTCCCACAGTATTATAAACATGCATATTCTCATTTACATATTCACATGTTATAAGCAGCTAAAGTTATCCAAATGTATGCATAAATGTAAGACATTTGCATAGCAACTTTAAAATATTTATTTTCCAAGCATTCTCCATTCTATCTTCCTGTTTTATGTTTTGGTATATACAGAAATATTGGCAAGGTTTTTATGACATGCAACACTATATAACCAATTTGTAGATCTTTTTTATTTTTCTTATAAAATAAGCCAAACATATTGTTCCAATCAATCCATCTTTCTTCTTAATTAACGCTTTCTTCTTATGCAATGCTTGCAGGGATTTTTGAAGCTATAAAATGAAGTATAAATTACATAGAGGAATGAGAAAAAAATTACATATGTTCCTATCTGTGGCATTTTAATTTTTTCAACTGTTTAGTAATGTTGATTTGAACTAGCCGTCATATTTACTAGCAAATGCTAAATCAAGAAAATATTCTAAAAGTTTACTAGAAAGAAAAATCTGAAAAGATTAGTGCAGAGAAGGCACAGCCTTCATTTTTGTTTTTCCTGAAGAGTAATTCTCTTTTTATTTGTGTTTTCCTTCTCTACCAGAATAATGGAACACATTAAATTGTTCTAAACTCCCATGGAAAACATTCTGCTCACTCCCAATACTTTTCATAATATTAGTCCCAAGAGTTTGACTAAGTAACATTTTGGGAAGATCATTGCTATCCAAAAATACATTTACCTTTTTTACTCCAAGAGAAGTATAAATTCATCTTTAATACTTTTTCTTTCCACATTCCCTCTCGCTTATATGATATGGGTATGCAATGTAAGAGAAGCAGAAGAAAAAAAAGGAGAGAAAGCAAGGGAGTTAGTGAAGGAATTTAGCTTGCATTAGCCATCTAACTTAATCCTAATTAACATTCCTATGGGGTGCTACTAAGGTTACCAGAATTTTATACATAACAACAAAACCAGCTATCACTTATGACACATCTACTGTGAGCGATGGGCTGTGCACTTTTACATGCATTATCTTATTCTTGGAAGCAACAGATGTGATCGATCCTATTATTACACTCGTTTTTATAGATTTGGCATTTCCCCACTGGCGAGGTGCAGGGTTGGGACGTACTCCCAATCACGTGATATGATCTCTGGTGAGGAGACCATCATGTGCTTGGCAGGGATCCTAACACTCAATAAAAATTAGCTTAAAATAGCGTGATCCTGGAACCAAGTCTAAGCCCCGGGGTTTACCTCGCCAAGCGCAGAACAACTGAGACAATTATTTTAATGAAAACAAAAAAATGGTGACTTTCTACCAATTATGAAGATGTATGATTTCTCTGTAGTAATTAGGATTGTGGTATGGGAACAAGGGTAGCCCCATAGAATTCAGGCCTGTCCATGTATCCTGTTTTGGCTGGTACATCCTTAGCAGATGTGATGGGAGCAGAGGCTTTCCATGGGCTTTCTGGGCTTCGCTTGAGCACTTGTGCTCCAGTCCCAGATGGATGCTTCCTCTTTGGATTTCACTGACATTTAAAACGGGGCCAATGCAATGATGCAATATCTTCCCCAGCCTCCTGTCTGAAATGTCATCTAGCCATTTTCTCAAGCACTCTACCTTAGAGCTACCTCTGTTCCCTTTTATCTGAGACTCTCTCCCATCCTCAAGTTCTACCTTTTAACATCCACTTTTGTGTCAATTCCATCAGTGACCTACATTTTCCAGTCCATTAGATTGAGATCATATTAAGAAATCATCAAATTAGGCATTGCTGGATGCCAACCTTTAATGGGCATTGGAAATGTCAACGGGTAGAGAGCGGGATCTTTACTGAATCCCTCTCAGTGAGAGAGCTGTATAGAGTAAGAAAAAATATCCCCAGCATGGGCAACGTGGCGAAATCCTGTCTGTACAAAAAACACAAAAATTAGCCGGTTGTGGTGGCATGTGCCTGTAAACCCATCTGCCCAGGAGGCTGAGGTGGGAGAATTGCTTGAACTGGGGATACTGAGGCTGCAGTGAGCCAAGACTGCACCACTGCACTCCAGCCTGGGTGGCAGAGTGAGACCCTATTCCAAAAAAAAATAAAAATAAAAATAAAATAAAGAAAAAATATCCAATCATATTTTCTAAGAGAATATTTCTGATTAACCACATGGTCTGTTGTTGTTATTGTTACTGTTGTTGTAGTCCTTCTTTTCGCTTTTTTTACAGTTGATGTGCAAATTAGGGGCTAGAGCTGAATTGCTCAGAACAATAAAAGTGAAAGAGAACAATGATTACCTCTGACCACTCTTCCCCCGTAGATTACTTTCTCTTTCTCCTAAATAATTGTTGTTATAGTTTTAAAATACTGACTTTAAGAACTGCAGGCTTGTTAGCCAGTCCAGAACACACCCATTTAACTCAATACAGCCCTATTGTGCGTTACAGAAAATGTTTCCTTTCCACAGAAAATTCCAAACTAGGATCATGTCACTCTCTAAAGAGTTGGTCCAAAGATGGGGAAATGGCCTGGAAAAATTTAGAGCCTTTGCTGGAGTTCATTTTTGGCCTGAGCCAGTTTTCCTGTAGTGAATGCAATAATAAGATTCCCCCCTCTAGTTCTGTGTGGGGAACACTGTGAAAGCAATGTTCTATTTACTTTTTAAATTTTCCTAATTCTCAGACAGCAGTGCCTCAAACCATTTCTGATAGTAAATAGATTAAAGACACAATGTCAAATTTGAACACCGTCACTAACGTGAGAGTTTTGATTATCTGCTTGGCAGAGATCCTAACACTAAAACAAGCACACCTAAACTAAAACAAAAAGGGAACCTGCTCCATGGCAAAAATTCTTGACATTATGTAAAATTTCTCAAGTGCAGAAATATTGCAAAAATTCCAAATCAGTGGGTCTAACTTTTCTAGGATCCTGCTCTAGATGAGGCCGGAGAACTCATGTTTCTGGGAGACGGGTCCCCCGACAGCTGAGGGTTGTAGTCTGTGATGCCCAGTGGCAGACAGTGACGGGAAGGGGAAGCCAGGGTTTTACTCTCGTTTACTTGCTGCCTGGTGGCAGCTGAGTCTCCCGTGTGGATCCATCTCCCTCTGCATGGGTTTGCTATGGTTCAAGATTTAAATCTAAGACCCAGGCTCCCGCCTTTAATAACATCACCATGTCCCTTTGTCTCTCTAGCTGAGGGTGAAAGCCACTCGTGTCAGTTGTTACTATCTGAGTGGCTTTTCAATCACCTCTGTGGAAATTTCCCTGAATTAAATTCCTTCTGTTTGAAATGCCTGTGCTGTCTGCTTTCCTGAATGAAACAACATGAGAAGATAAATTTACCACTGCAAACATTTATTGAACATCTACTTTTTGCCAACATTGAGAAAATTCCCTGCTGTCCTAAGACAAGACATTTCTCAGTGAAGGCAGTGTTCTCCAGACCACTCCTCCCAGCCCCAGGGTACTTGGTTCTGCTTCTGCTTGTTGGGGTCTCATCACCTGCAGGCTGACATCCTGATGCCTGCCAGCACCTTTGTGAGGATGCAGCGACTTCTCCACAGGGACCCTATCATTGCTCCAATGCCAAGCAGGAGACTCCAGACGCAGCATCTCTCCTGTAGGCATTTTGAGGAGTGTTTTTGGTCCTAAGTTTGGTGCTCCCACAACTTCCAGGGCAAAGTTCTAGAATTTTATCTCCCACTTGGCTTAAGGTGAGAGACAAATACTCTTCTTTCTAGGTCAAAAGAAAGAGGGACTCTCTTTGATGTTAACTCTCTCAAATGGGCTTCTCTCTTTCACATCCACTTCCTGAACTCTTCAACTTCCAAACTTTTGTATACTCTTGTTTTCTAGTGTGCAGATGGATAATCTAGCAATTTGCTTTGGAATATGAGAATATTTGCCAATACCACTGGTTAGTAGAGCACTTTTGACCTTAAAACACGCAGTAACAAATGTAAACGATCATACAGCCACACCCAGGGACCTAATTCTGATAGCCATAGAAACATACTTCAGACTGTGCAGGGAGTGTCACCAACAGGCTTCAGCTGCTCTGCCCTGAAATTCATCACCACATTTGCCCGGTTTTAAAAATAGCCTTGTTGAGATACATAATTCAATGCCATAGAACGCTCCCACTTAAGGTGTATAGGGCCAGACTCAGTGGCTCATGTCTGTAATCACAGCACTTTGGGAGGATCACCAGAGGTCAGGAGTTCGAGACCAGCCTGGCCAACATGGTGAAACTCCATCTCTACTAAAAATACAAAAAATAGCCAGGCGTGGTGGCACGTGCCTGTAATCCCAGCTACTCAGGGAGGCTGAGGTACGAGAATCACTTGAACCCAGGAGGCACAGGTTGCAGTGAGCCAAGACTGCCCCACTGCATTCCAGCCTGGACAACAGAGTGAGACTCTGTCTCAGAAAAAAAAAAAGTGTGCCGGTCAAATTATTTTACTGTATTAAGGGAGCTGTGCAACTGTCATCTCAGTCAATTTTAGAACATTTTTGTTATCCTCCCCCAAAATGTTTGTACCCAGTAGCAGTTGCTTTTCATTTTTTCCCCAATCTCACCAGTCCTGGGGAATTACTAATCTACTTTATTTATCTATAGATTTGCCTATCCTGGTCATTTTCTATAAATGGAAACACGGTGTGTGACCGGCTCATTTCAGTCCACATAATGTCTTCTAGGTTTGTCGATGTTGTTGCATACTGAAGGAGTTTCTTCTTTTGTAAGGCTAAATAATATTCCCTTGTATGTGAATATCATGTTGTTTTATCCATTCATTTTAGGATGAACATTTATATTGTGTCCATAGCTTGGCTATTGTGAATAATGCTGCAGTGAACATGGGGGTGCAGCTGTCTCTTCAGAATCCTAATTTTACTTCTTTTGGGTATATACACAGAAATGGGATTGCTAAACCTATGCGATTTTTACTGTGTACAATTATAACTCAAGGAAGCGGATTTGAAAGCAAACAAACAAATTTAATTTTTAGAGCTGCTGAGTTGCAGAGACATTTGGATGCTCAGCCAAGACAGGTCTGTTGTGTAAAGGTCTGGAGCCCTGGAGCATGGGGTGGGATGTCCCCCGCTGAGGATGCTGATGCCACAACACTGCCCCTGTGCAGATGGCTTCTAGGGTTGGACCACCCTCCCCTCCTAGGAAGTAGCACTCCCTTGAGTATACTGAAAAATCCTTCAGGCAACAAGTGCTCCCTCAACTCTGCGCCCAGTTCCCTTCCTGGCTGCCAGACTAACAACTAGGGTTGACACCTAGCATAAACCAGGTGGGTATATGTTGATACTGAAAAGTTAGCACAGAGAGATCAGACATTAAAAAAACACATGGGACAGATTAGCCTGCATGCATTAGCACGAACGAGGGGAATTGCTCACTTTTTGGGGATGGATTTTAAGGGCCAGGATGGCAATACTGCATACATGAGCATTCATTGCCTTGAGACACTTTCTCTCATGGTATTTACACCCTAGAAGAGTCCCAGATACTGGGACGAATTCACTGCTGGGAAGATTTTTAGAAGCCTAGAAAAAACACTGCTGATGGTAAGAAAAAAGAGGCTGAGGGAAATCAGTGTGTTGGAATGAATATACTAAGTCCAGATGACTCAGCAGAAAATCGTGTTTCTCGAGAAAGCCCCTAGGAGATACCGAGGCGATGGCTTATGCTGCAATGTGCATGGGAATGTGATGGAGAGACAGCACTGGCGTCTCTAAGAGGGTCGGTGGCAGTTCTGCTTTGCAGGCCAGAGCTGACCATAGGAAGGCTCTTTGATCACCCGGGCAGGATCATCAACATCCATAGGGATGTGGAAGCCCTGAGGTAACACAGGTGGCTGCACTTTAAACCCACAAGCCAGAAGGCTGCAATCAACATAAAACTCTCAGCAAGGGTGCAGGGACATTCGAGGGAGTTTGACCCAAAGGCATTGTGGAGATGGATAGCAGAGAATGGCCTTTCTCAAAACAAAATGGATGGGCCAGCAACCAGGGTGCTACTTAACATCTGTATCTTTAAAAAGGCAGGCCCAGGGTGGTGGCTCATGCCTGTAATTCCAGCACTTTGGGAGGCCGAGGCAGGTGGAACATGAGGTCAGGAGATCGAGACCATCCTGGCCAACATGGTGAAAACCCGTCTCTACTAAAAATACACAAAAATAAGCCGAGCATGGTGGCACATGCCTGTAATCTCAATCGGGAGGCTGAGGCAGGAGAATTGCTTGAACCAGGGAGTCGGAGGTTGCAGTGAGCAGAGATTGCGCCACTGCACTCCAGCCTGGCTACAGAGTGAGACTCTGTCTGAGAAAAAAGAAAAGAAAAGAAAAGAAAAGAAAAGAAAAAACAAAAGGCAAGAAGAAGCAAGCAGGAGTTTGAGGATGTTGCGCCATAAAAAGTTACAATCCCTTACACAATGTCCAGTCTTAAGCCGTTTTTCAAGTCCTGACATCACTGATGGAAGAGCTTGCCACAACCCTAAGAGGAAGACAAAGGACCTTGCAACACCGTGAAAAGCAGATGCTGTGATGGAAAGCAGGACTGAGACATCACGACTGAGACATCATGCTTTGTGTCTCGCCTCTTAGAAGGGCTCCTGTGGGTGCCAGGTAATAAATGGATCCCTGGATGAAGTTTGGCTCACAGTCAGCTCACTGTATGTGTAGACCCAACTAAGTGATGTGTGGGCCAAGGCCCTGGGTCCCCTAAAGGTCTGTTGAGAAATGACTGACATGAGGCAGATTGATTAATAGGAGAAAAGGCATATTTATTTAACATGTATACACGGTGGTCTTCAGAATGAAGGCTTAACCCGCTGGTGAGGTATAGAAGCTTATACACCATCCTGAGGTTACAGAGAGAATGCATGCTCAGAGCACAGCCAAAAACACGTTTTAGTGGCAAGACAGGTCATAGGAGAGAGAAAGGAAGAGTCTTGGCTGGCAAAGGTGGCCTTATCATGTGAATGAAGCCTCTCAGGTAGCATCCCACAGGCAGAATAGATGGCAGCTGCCTCTTTCCAGACTTTTAAAGGTGTCAGACTCTCTCTTAGAATCTCTGTTAGATCCAGGAAAGGCCTGGAAAGGGAGGCCTGGCTGCGTTACTGAAGATTCTCTACAGAGGCAAATTTCCCCCACAAAAGACGGCTTTGCAGGGCCGTTTCTAAATATGTCAAAAAATATATTTTGGCATAAAATGTTTTGATGTACTTCAGTGGTCACTTCTGAAGTCCCCAAGTATCAGTTGAATTTGGTACAATTGGTGTTTGGAGGAACCTCCATATTGGGTCTGTGTCCTGTGTGGTAAGAATTTTTATAGTGAGGAAGTCACAGTGGAAACCTCTGAAACTACCTACCTAGGTAAGATAACAAATTAAAAAAAAAATCTCATGTTGGAGAAGCAGGAGAAAGCAAAAATAAATGGATTCATTAAAGGTCTAAAGGGGGCTGTGGTGGTCCCTTTTATAACTCCACTGAATTCACCAGGGATCAGCAGGAAAGGAGAGGGTCTCCTGTATTGGCAAGAGTGTCTACTGATTAGTGACACCTACCAGGAGGTGACATAGGGCTGCATTTATGCAGGGGCAGGAAGGCGTGGACGTGGAGCTCGTGTGACCTGCATGGATGCCTCCTGATGCTCCCCCACCCCACTGTTACAGTGAGTGGGCAAAGGCAGCAACCCCAGCCTAAAGGTTCTGCTCAGACTGCAGTGAGACACCAAGGCCTGCCCAAGAGATAGCTGAGAGTGACAGGATTCAGAATGGATTGTGCAGGAGGGAGAGGATGCAGTTGCAGCTCTGAGATCAACTACAGTTATTGGGGCTATAATTCCTGCCACAAATGTCCCTCTTCTAAGCTTCCTCTCGTGAAGGAAGGCCCTGTGGGGACTGCAGAGAAGATGCTCCCAAGATGTATGGGAAGCAAAGGGCTGCAAGGTGGAGAGGGTGGGTTGTGGTGTCTGCGAGAGGAGACTCGGATGTCCGAGTGCGACAATGGACCAGTGACCCAGGCTGCTGCCCTCTGGACCTCACCACTAGGTTTGTGCTGAGACCACACCTCCCAGGGGTGACCCCAGCCATGATGCCCCACGGGCTCCCTAAGGCACACTACCCCAAGAGACTGGGCCTTCTTTGACGGAGACTTTGGTTTGGGGCTTCCATGCTGACTTTTCTAAATATTTCAAACTCCACAGCTGTCTGAGACTCTCCTGCCCACCATGCCACCCCTCTTTCCTTCCCAGACAACTGGACCTGCTTTGTGGTTGGATGGCTCTTCCCATCTCCCCTGACTCCCTGCCTATTTTCTCTCAAGAGTGTTTCTCCTAATACAACTCCTGCATGTCTAATCCCAACTTGCTTTCTGTTCTCTAAAGACCTAGACTAACACATCAATGCTGATTTTAAGAAGAAAATACAAATACCATTGAAGCCAGCTGGATACTCTTCCCAAACTTCCCAAACTGTCCCTCTCCACTCAGACGTAACCACTCTCCTAAGTCTAGTTTATCATAATTAGTAGCTCTTTTAATTGGGGATTTGAGGTGGTTCTCAGCATGAGAATTTAAACACACCATCTACAATTCAGGGCAAGAATGTCTATAACCAGGCTAATTTGCATTAAGATTAGAGTCATCAGATCTAATGGGTACCATTATTTCATTAAAAAAATACTTAATCTATTTCATTATATTTTACATTACTTAGTCTAATAAATTCTCTGCCTCCAGCAGTGCTGAAACATTTATCAGACTTCATATATAATTGGTCAATATTAACTCATTTATACATTTATTCTAACTTTGGAAGCAGGCCTAGAAGCTACTTTTTTTCTGCTTTCTTGCAAATAATCCATCATTTATAATTATTGATTTCACATGTGACAAGATACTTAATTCTATCAAATGGCAAGGTTTGCCAAGCACATAAAAATGAATTTGCCTCTAATTACTGGTTTTGATAATCCTGACTTCATTTACTCTTCTCCAGTGACAGTGCATTGCCAGCAATCGTTTCAATATGATCAAAGAATTAAAGCTATTACAGAGAAATGAGCAGAGTTCACAGAAATAGCTAAGAAGAGTCTTGGAGTCACAGAAAGTTGCGAGTGGAATTTACCTTGCTTAATTCAGCAAAAAGATATTCATTGTAGGTCTTTGACTTCTGGAGGTGTAACTCTCATGCAATAAGTAGTATTTTCGTGCACAACCTGACTTTAGTTCTTGTAGGAAAGTGAATTAGGAACTGTGAGTATTTGACTTTTTGTACTCTAAGTTGTGTGTGTGTGTGTGGTCTGTGTGTGTGCGCGCGCGTGCATCTTTGGGGTTAAAGGATTGTAACAGGCTCTGACCCTTCCTAGCAGCTGCAGGAGGTCTCCCAGCCACCCACTGGGCCTGCAGTAACGCCAGGGATGCCTTCAGTGCTGGTGGAGATTGCAATAGCGTCCACAAGAGGGCACTGCACGTCTTTGAATTTAGGCGTAAATAGCTAAACTATTTGGCTGTCATATCTGCTCAGAGGAAAACATTCATTGAATCCTCAGAGAATGTTAGAAGCATTTCCTTTGAAAAACATCTGAAAATAAAGCTAATATCCCTCTTTAGAAAACAATGTGGACTGCTAGGATATTTCTTTTGGAGAAACAACTGTTTTTCAGTAATTGAGAGACGGAAAAATGCTTTATCTTGGCATTATCTGAATCAAACGACAGTAAAGTCTTAAAATGCTTTTTCATCTTTTGCCAGATATTTTCGCATATTCAAACCTAGGAAAGACTATCCTTTTTAAACACATAAAAGCAACACTACAACTTAATAGCTAATTGTTCAAGCATCTCTCCTTGCATCCTGCTAAATGCTTACCAAAAGTACGGGCTGCTATGCTCAGTAATTTATTTGGAAATGGTGGAGGACATTGCCAAGGCAGAGACAGGCCTCTCTTTAACTAAAATGGAGTTTGCAATTGACAGATAGCACAAGAGTCAGTGCAAACATGGGTTGGGGTCTTTGTCAAGGGTGAGGGTCACTGGGAGCTGTGTCCGTGGCAGGTTCCCAGCAATTGTTTCTGACCTTGACAGCCATAAGGATACAGGAGGTCTAATTTAACCTACCCTGGAAACGCAGGGTCTCTAGTTCAATGAGGCTTCAGGGTCAGTGAGTAGAGACCTGCTGACTGTTTCCTGGGCCTCGTCCTGTGCGGCTGGCTTCTTGGCTTGTAGACGGCCCGGATCTACTCCCTGGATCTATGTCCGGGACCTGCTTCCTGGATCCTCACATGCAGGAGAAAGCAAGCTCCAGTTTTTTCCCTTCTTACTGTTAGGACACAAATCCAATCACGGGGCTCCGTTCTTAGGACATCATCTAGATCTGTCACCTCCCAAAGATTCCACCTCCTAGTACCATCCCATTGGATGGTGGCATAAGTCTCATGCAATTACATTTTGGTGAACACCTTAACATGAGGGTTAGGGTTTCAACATATGAACTTGAAGGGAACAGAAGCAAGCAGTCTTTAACAAGACACAGCCATTATATGGCTGTATGTGTCTCTCCCTCATACCTCTATTTATATCCATCTATACCTAGATCTGTATCTACATGGATCCCTATGTCTAGCTCTATGTCTATGTCTATGTCTATATCTATCTATGAGAAATGCCAGCATAAGTGATAGAAACTGTCTTAAATGTCTTAGACATTTTAAATATTTATATTTTTTGATCCAATATAATCAAAATAATAGTATAATCAATAATAATAGTATTAAACCCAATACTATTCAGTATTTGCCAAAATGATACTGTATAGAATGTACATACTGTGTGATTACCCAAAATAATTGCATTATTTATAAAACCATTATTTCACCATCTATCACTTTTTTGGTCCAGTAAAGGAAGACGGGTTTTCCAGTTCTTTCCTAACCGTCGCTCACCTTCCTCCAGTCCTGGGCTGTGGCTCTGTGACGGTGTTCACAGCTGCTTTGGCAGAGTTGAGTCATGGTGACAGAGACCATCTGGCCTGCAACGTCTGCAATATTTGCTACCTAGTCCTTTACAGAAAAGTGTGCCAAGCCCTGCACCAGACCATCTCTCCCAGACATGCCAAGAGACTGAGAGAAGAAAGCTGCAGTGTTCATCATCACCCGCATAGATTCCAAGAGAGGCTTTGAGATTGGAGAGGGCAAGGGAGAGGACTTCCTTATGTCAGGTTGTCACTGATGTTTCTATTTCCCTGTGCCTCGTAGGGAGGCATGGAGAGGACCTCATCCTCACCCCAGGTCAAGAGAGAAGGATTTTAAGACAACCACTCAGAGACTTTGATATGTGCGAAGTGGAGTTCGTGAAAAGCAAGGATGGGCCTTGAACGCTTATTTGGAAAAACTTAACAGTGTTTGAGGCTGCTCCCCTGGCGGGAGGGTGGAGGGAGAGGTGGCTGCATTGGGGGCGATCTGCACATGTGCCATGGTGGAGGCCACAGCACTGGGTTCTGAGAACCAAATGTGAACCTCGTGAGAGCAGGCCAGCCCAGGACGACTCAACCGAGGATTCTACAGGGAATAAATTCCTGGGGAAGAAGGAGAATCCAACAGATAGAGTCTGTGGGGGGCTGGCTGGGAGGAGCCTGGGTGCTTAGGGAAAGAGTGAGCGGGCAGAGAAACAGGGTCCACACCGTGGGAGCTGGGCTGACGGACTCTGGTTGGGAGGATCTGAGGAGACCACCAAACCCCATGAAAGAAAGCACCAATAACTGAGCATCTATGCCCCAGGGCAGATTCTACACCTGCCCAGCCCTGTAGAACTCTGCCTTTTGCCCTAATTCCCCCCCTCCTCCCAGGACCGACTCTGTAAAGGTGGAAACAGAAAGTAACAAATGAGAAAGGCTGGAAGGAACACAGCAAGGCGGAGACGTTTGCGGGAAGCAGACTGCCTCCCTCTCTTGTCTGGACTTCCGCAGGAGGCCAAGGCAGAGGTGGAAGATGATTGAAGATTCATCAGCCAGATTTGTTTTCCTATTTTGCACCAGGTATTAGAAATGAGATTTTTCTTTTTCATGTTTTTTGAGACGGAGTCTCGCCCTGTCGCCCAGGCTGGAGTGCAGGGCCGCGATCTCGGCTCACTGCAAGCTCCGCCTCCCGGGTTCACGCCATTCTCCCGCCTCAGCCTCCCGAGTAGCTGGGACTACAGGCGCCCGCCGCCACGCCCGGCTAAATTTTTGTATTTTCAGTAGAGACGGGGTTTCACCGTGTTAGCCAGGATGGTCTCGATCTCCTGACCTCGTGATCCGCCCGCCTCTGCCTCCCAAAGTGCTGGGATTACAGGCGTGAGCCACCGCGCCCGGCCAGAAATGAGATTTTTAAAATGTGAATACAAAGGAACAGAAAGCTGTGGACACAATAAAGACTTTATGCGGAGTGAGTAAAACCCAGTCCCGGCCGGAGCCTGTTTGACGGGCAGTGGGGAGAAACAAGACCTCCACAGACACCACGTGGGTTGGAGCTGGAAGAAAGCTCACCTCCTTGTCTGCGTCTCCCGTGTAGGGCTGTGTCCCTCAGAAGCAGGGGGTACCTCTCCTTCACAGGTGGGTTCCCTGGGAGAGAAAGTCTGTTCAAATACCAGCAAGCCACAGTAAACGCTCACGGGTCCTCAAACGAGAGAGAAGACAATTTCCTACGGATTTCACCCTATTCAGATTACTAAGATTTTACTCACAAAAACCTAGTATTTTGTCCATAATTTCAGGCATACCCTGGATCGGTAGATGGAACCAGATGATGAAATACTGGAGGCAGCCTCCTTTGTCCCCTTCTGTATATTAATGAAACAGAGCCCACGATTCTCCGAGGCACATTTTTGTCCTAAATTCTCTAGAAGCAAGGGCATTCTATCAGTCTGCTTCACAGGAAGCTACAGAGAATCTGGCACAAAATTACAAAAGCGGGAGGCTCACCCGGGGAGTGGATATATCCAGGTCCCTCCAACTAAACAGCACCCATTGAGCACTTGGAAACGTGTGTGCTCATCCCTGCTCAGGAGACACAAAAACACAGAGATGAGGGAGATTCAGAACTCAACTCCAAGTAAGAGCCCATGCCCCAGTGGGAAGGTGAGGAAAGGAATCAGGGAATCGGGATAGAATACACCCAGCACCGATAGACGTGCCTTTCACTTGGTTTTCAAAGAAATGGCATGTCTCAATCTTTTCACACTCATTCTTTCTATTTGCGTAATATCTAATTATTTATGCAATGAAATAACAAGGAAGAAACCCAAAAGATGTCTACTACATGGAGAATTAATTTGGTGGCCAGTATGAGTTGGAGCAAATAAATAATAAATGTTAAAAGAGCAGTAAGTAGCTATCATAGCTTGGACCCCAAGTTCCAGATCATGATAACACATCATAAAAGGCAAAGGAAGGAACAGGACCCAGCTAGATTCTGGAACTAGATCGGGAAGAAGGCAAGTGGCTCTACACTGGAGTGCAGGAGAGGTGGGATGAGACCCTTGGGGATAACAAAGAGCTTCAAATAACCTGCCGGTTCAATTTGCAATAGAAGCAAACTGTGTGTGTGTGTGTGTGTGTGTATACACATACATACATATATAACTATGAGTGTGTATTACATATATTGTATATATACTATATATTACATAGTATATACTTAATATAATACAATATATAATATTGTATATAATACAATCAATACAGTTGTATATGTATTATAATATATACTATATATAGTATACTATTACATATACTACTATGGTATATTATATATACTACTATATAATAGAGTATATACTATATATAATACATAGAATATATTATAATACATATACTACTCTATTGATTGTATTATATACAATATTATATATTGTATTATATTATATTAAATATATACAATATATGATATATAATATATAATGATATATAATAATATATAATATACAAATATATAATATGATATATGTAAAATATATTGGGTTTATTATATATAATATGATATATATTACAATACATATTATAGTATATAATATACATATAATATATAAATACAATATATACTATATAAATATAAATTATATAAAAACAATAAATATAATATAATAAATACAATTATAATATATAAATACAAAATATAAATACGATAAATATAATACATATTATATAATACATTATATAATTATATAACATAATACATATTATATAATACATTATATAATTATATTATATAACATAATACATAAATACATTGTATTTACACAATATATAAATACAATACATATTGTATAATACATACAATTTTTTTATATTGATATGGAATACACATATTCCTTCTTTTAAAAATATATTTTATCAAAATCCTCAAGAACTTCAATTCTCAAACATTATTTACAATGACTATACACTCTTTTTTAGAAGATGATTTTTATGCTAAATACCAAAAATGTTACAAATCATAACACAACCAACTGCTTGATTTGAGTGTTCTGTATATTCAGAGACTAAATTGTATATGTAATACACACATGCACTCAGATATATACATATTTTTTTCAAGTGGGCAGTTGGGAATTTAGCTTATTATCTGGGCAGGAAAGTGGATACTATTAAATTAATCCCAACACAGGGAAGTGAAATGTGAAAGTTTCCCAGGCCTTTGCCCTTTATTACATAATCAGAACCCATTGAATAAAATCACATACATTTCCCATCTCATATTCTCAGCTAAACGTGCCAAAGAAACACTCGCAGATTTAAGCCTGAAACTTCTGTGACTCTAGGGTCTTGTTTGCAGCAGAAGATATTTATATTAAAACTTTAAATTGTTCAAGGAATGAAAAACAAAAGCTTAACCCACATTTGGATTTTTAAATTAAGTTTAAATTTATTATATTTTATAATAAATGAAGCCGATACCTTTAGTTCTTACTGGTAATTGCCTTTCTGATTGTCTTTTGCTTTAATTCATGAGGAATTAAACAATGGGTTCCAAATCAACAGTGTTGGAAATGATTGCTGTTTTCCTTCTTTGAACTAACATTATGGTGTTGGGAATTTTGTTTCCATAATGATGAGCAATGCCAATTTTCAATAACACATTAGCAAAGAGAGGCCGGGTTCCTTCAGCTTGAACTAAGTGTGGTTGACAGGAGTCTTGTTCTGTACCTAGTGTTCATCTCTGAGGGGCCTCTGCTTTGAACTGAGAATAGAAAAATATAAAATCATATGGAGTTTCCTGCTTTGTTTTCCTTGTGGCTTATTTGCCCTTACTCTTTTCTCAAAGCACCTTAATTTCTTACACTGGAACTAACAATGGGTATTACCAATGCAACTTTGAAGTGCTAATGCTCTTCCATGCTTGGTGGGCGGGCCCAGGACCCAGTGAGAGGCTCCTTTAGGGGTCCAATGACAAAGAAGCTGAACTTCGCTCCATTCCATTCTGTGCACAGGGATGTCCTTTCCTAGGTGGCTTCCAGAATGGGATCTCTGTCGAGGTTCCAGCTTCTGGGGAAGGCACAGTCTGCACACGCCTCAGACAACAGATCCGACTCATTTCCACTCATTGAATCCCTGCACCGTGCACCACCACCGAGGATCCCAGCCAATATTATGCATTTCACAGTGTGTCTGTTGCAATTTAATCAACATAACTCTTGAGTACCAGTTAGTGGCCTGGGATTTTTTTTTTTAATTTTTTGAGGCAGGACCTCACTCCTCAAGACTGGAGTCTAGTGGTGTGATCACAGCTCACTACAGCCTTGACCTCCTGGGCTCAAGCAATCCTCCCACCTCAGCCTCTCCAATAGCTAGGACTACAAGCACGTAACACTACGACCAGCTAATTAAAAAATTTTTTTTAGAGATGGGGTCTTGCTCTGTTGCCCAGGCTGGTCTTGAACACCTGGACCCAAGTGATCTGCCTACCTTGGCCTCCCAAAATGCTGGGATTATAGGCGTGAGCCACCATGCCCAGTCTTGGCCTGGGATTTGTCTGAATATTCTTAAAAATATATTTTTATTAATATCAAAACCCTCAAGAACTTCAATTCCTAAATACTATTTAAAATGACTATGACACAGGATTCTTTCAGTGCCATGTTGCCAGCTGGAAATCTCCACAGCTGGTGTGCCTCTCCCGGGCTTTGCTTGGCTCTTGAGCTTGCTACTGGGCTCGCTCTACCCACTCGGCCTGGTGGGCTGTGCTTGGCTCCTGTTACCAGCCTCAATTTCACACCCACTGTGGCTCAGTGCTCAGCCCGTGGCTGGGCCAGGTGTGCTGAGATCTGCTTCCACCTTGGTGCTGGAGTCTGGAGGAGGGGAAAGTGGTGGCACCCCAAAACTCAGAGATGCCAGCAACTCGCCTGGTAAGTCCCAAAGTCTGAGCCCCCTCCAAGAACTGTTACGACTCTCTCCCCTTCCCACCACCCACAGCAACAAACTGGGGGGCATGTTACCGCTCATTTGTGTTACTGCTCGTTCATGTTACAGTTCATTGCCACCACCCACAGCAGTGGGCAAACAAGGGAGGGCAGCATGTGGTGCCCAGCAGCTTTTTCTCCCCTCTTGCTCAGTGAGCAGGAGGGAGGGTTACTGTTACATCTCCTTTTGCACCCACCATTCAGTGGGTTCCTAGTTCTTATCCCACGTCAAAGAGGAATGACGTATGCAGACACTGGAGAGTGAGCAAGGTGGAGAAGAATTTTATGGAGCAGCAGGAGGAAAGCTCTCAGCAGAAAGGGGCCCTGAGAGCAGGTAGCCCTCTGTGTGAGGGGTGGCGTAAAAGCAGATAGCCCAATGTGTGGCTGAGTTAGGGGTTTTTATGGGCTCAGAATGTGTGAGTGTGTGCTGATTGGTCCATGGGTGGCCCGGAAAAGGCACCATTCACTAGGCTAAAAGGCACAGAGAAAGTTTTCACTCCGGTCGTCGACTCTACCTGGAACTGGAAGCTCAGTTTTCAGTTTTAAACTGTCTTTGGCTTGAAGGTTGGATTTCACTGGGGATCCGCCCCTGTCTGTCTAGGAATTTGTCTGTCTCCTGCCACTATCAACTATATACTCTAATTTTTGAAAAGATGGTTTTTATGATAAATACCTAAAATATTACAAATCATAACACAACCAACTGCTTAATGGGAGTGTTCTGTATATTCAGAAGCAGATGAGATGGATATAGATTGTGAAGGTTTGAGGGAAGAAGAAAATTAAAGAATTTACACTGTACTCTAGAAAGGAAACTACTTGGCTAACTGTATTCCATTATGCTCGCAACACTGGGGATTTTATTGCAGTATACACACATACACAATGGACATTTCTGTATTCCATAGGACTAGGAAAGTCTGATGATCCATTTATCTCTCTCTCTCTCTACACATACATATACATATTTAAATTTATTAATTCAATATTTATTTAATATTTTCTAGGAGTTATAGGATCCAAAGATGAGCCTTGGGAAAAGTCAGATCTAATCTCAGTAACAGTACTCCCTTCCACTGATATAACACTTTAATACTCTAACTCATTTTTGTTAACTATTAGTATTACTATTATGAACTACTACTGTTTTTATCTACTAACTCATAGGATTCCCATGACTTTCCTGTAAGGTTCCTGAGGTTTGCAGTTATTGTGATTCCATTTCTAGGTGTGCAAGCTGATCTCCAATAACTTGCCATTGGTCACACAGCTAGAAATGGCTAAATCAGGACCCAAAACAACAACAGCTATAAAAGCAGAAATCCCATGTCCTCTCTCTGCTGCCCTGCTGTATTCCATATTTCTCCAGCCCACAGTAGATACTATACGCCCACACATGACTACCTGTTTTTATACCAGACTAAAATTATATCAGGTAAGACACAGCAGCAAGAGTAATTCCATAATAAAAACAAGGGCAACAAACAATCACAGTATTTCTCTTCTTTTTCCTGTACCCTAAATAAAAACCATGATTTCCCTTCCTAATCTTTCACAGGGTTAGCCTGCAGCCTTGAAGTATCTGAGGATCCCCTGAGGTTGCCCACTATTTCTAGCCTTGTCTCTTTTTTTCCCCTGAGCCCTCACCCCAGCACCTCCTTAGAGCTGCAGGTCTACCCTGTCTATGATCCCGTGAAGTGTGTGAACAGCCTCTGCATATTCATTCCTTTTTTACTCTATGTTTTTCTTAGTTCTTAGAGATGTCAATCTACACTGAAGAGCTGCAAGGAGAAGATATTTTAAACAACACCCTCCCATAAGTGTCATCTACCACCTTTAATCTTAAAGAAAAATGAATCAAACATGAAGCTTATGCATAATTCACACTGCAGTGTAAAATCATACTTGAGATATTTAATAAATGTCAGTTTTGGAAATTAGAATTTATCAGGAGATTTTTTTAAACAATTTTTTTTTTACAAAAATAAAAAAACCCCAAGTCCTAGGAAGAGTTTTATATTAGGTTGGTGCAAAAATAACTGTGATTTTTACCATCAGTTTCAAAGGCAAAAAATGCAATTACTTTTGCACCAACTTTTTTTTTTTTTTTTGACAGAGTCTCACTCTGTTGCCCAGGCTGCAGTGCAGTGGTGCAATCCCAGCTCAATGTTACCTCCACCTCCTGAGTTCAAGTGATCCTCAGCCTCCCAAGAAGCTGGGATTACAGGTGTGCACCACCACACCTGGCTAATTTTTGTATTTTTAGTAGAGGCAGAGTTTCACCATGTTGGCCAGACTGGTCTTAAACTCCTGGTCTCAAGTGATCTGTCTGCCTCGGCCTCCCAAAGTGCTGGGATTACAGGCGTGAGCCACCACACCCAGCCCCAACTTAATAGTTTCAAATGTTTCAAGTGAATATCTTATGGGATATAAATGAAGTAGCTTTCTTTTGGGGAACTAAGATGTTCAGAAACACATGAAATCGAACTCCTTTTCAAGTGAAAGCTATGAAGATTATCACTACATTCTAAAGGCAAATAATGTTGTGGGTTCTTTTGGATGTCTTTCAGATTTTTGAAAGTGCGAAAAATGAAATTGAGAAAATCATTAGCATTTCATTAGACACAAATATTTGAAAAAGAGCTTTCTTTGAGCAATGCACGCTATTATTGTGTTTTGTCACTGTATTCTGTGTAGATTCCTGGGTTGAATTTTCTACAGGACAATCAGTCCCATGAAAGTGTAATTTTCTAATACATTGAAAGGAGTAGGCAAAAGAACCTGTCAACTGTCTTCTCATGGTGAGAAACTTTTATTTCTGGAAGAAATGAAGCATAGAAGGTGGAAAAACATCAGCACGTGATTCTCAGCTATACTTCAGGTGTCCACACCTATGTCAGTCAATTATCAGCAAAATAGCAAGTGGCCTCCATTGATTCAGAGGGAAATAAATGAATGCACACAGCTGCAGATGAGGCCCATGTATGAAGTCTCAGGAAGAGGAAAGGAACCAAAAATATGCTGCAGAACAAAATCTGTGAGAAGTTAGGGTGGTCAAAAGACTTGCAGTGTTTCTCAGCTTCGTGGCCACACAGCAAACCCTGAGTGACTCTCTGGACTAGAGATTTTCCAAAGGTTGGTCAGCAAAGTTCTGCCTAGAAGCAGAAAAAGGCTGGAGAATTTCCCAGAAGAAATGGATGAGGATTCCTCAGCAAACAAAATAGATATCTATGGCATGCAGGAATGCATTCATAAATTACACTGCCGACAATTAGGAGGGTTCTTTTAAGAGCTCCTTAGAAGGCATGGTAGACCCACTGAGTCTATGCATTTATATTCGTGAACCTAGGCAAGGGGAAGCTTGATGGATTCCAGGAATAATTTTCTCCTGCTTTGCACTAGCTTCAGTTATTCATGAAACAAATATTGAATGGGTATGTACCACAGCACAGCTGTGTGCTGGACATAGGGTGACCATGATAAACAAGCTCTCATCCTTCCTTAAATAACTTATTAAATAATGTTCTGTGTCTTCCCAGGCAAGAAATGCACAAGAAGCAAATGCAATGGCATAGGTCCTACCAAAGGAACATGCTGAGATTAGTGGAAAGAGATGGCTCAGCATAGAAAGAACAGCCAGGGAAAGATGTAAAAATGAAAAGCGTTTGAAGAGCTTCTCAGTAAGAAGTATGAAAAGATGATCAACAGGTTTGGAGAAGTGGCTCCACAGACCAACACTGTGCTTAAAAACATTAAAATAAATATAACCCAGACTCTCCATGACATTCTCTCTGTCTCTCACTGACACACACACACACTCACACGCACACACACACACAAACATACACACACACTCACACATGTGCACGTGTATCCACTGTACTCTGCTTCAGATACCAAAATTGCAAATACAGAACTCTTTTTGGAAGGATACCATACAAGACAGCTAAAATAAAGTTGTGATGTTTAAAGATAACAAACCTTTGGATGTATAAAAGAATCACTCATTTTCAGCAGTGAAGAAAGCATACACTTTTTTTTTTTTTTTTTGAGACACGGTCTTGCTCTGTCACCCAGGCTAGAGTGCAATGGCATAATCATAGTTTATTGCAGCCTCTAACTCTTGGGCTCAAGTGATCCTCCTGCCTCTGCCTCCTGAGTAGCCAAGACTATAAGCATGCACCACCATGTCCAGCTAATTTTCTTCTTATTTTTTAGTTTTTGTAGAGATGGAGTTTCACCATGTTGCCCAGGCTGGTCTTGAACTCCTGACCTGATGTGATCCTCCTATCTCAGCCTCCCAAAGTGCTAGCATTACAGGTGTGACCCTCTGCACCTAGTGGCATGTGGGGTTTTTTGTTTTTTTTTTCTGTTGTTGTTTTTTTTTTTTTTTTTTTTGAGACAGAGTCTCGTTCTGTCGCCCAGGCTGGAGTGCAGTGGCGTGATCTCGGCTCACTGCAAGCTCCGCCTCCCAGGTTCACGCCATTCTCCTGCCTCAGCCTCCCGAGTAGCTGGGACTACAGGTGCCCGCCACTGCGCTTGGCTAATTTTTTGTATCTTTAGTAGAGATGGGGTTTCACCGTGTTAGCCAGGATGGTCTTGATCTCCTGACCTCGTGATCCACCCACCTCAGCCTCCCAAAGTGGGCATATGTTGTTTTTAAAATATTATCTGACAACTCTTTGGCTTGTTTTGCTGCCATGTTATTCTACAGACTGGTGTTTGTTTTTATTTTGCTTCAATGTGCTGTTAAGGCAGAAGTGACTTTCTTCCCCTTCCATTCTGGCCAGTGGCTCTTCTGGTGTGTAAAGATACCCAGCTGGATTCTCTGGTGCATTCAGACCCTGGCTGGAAAATCAGAAGTCAGGTGCATCGTGGGAGGTAACAGAGTAGCTGACAAGGAAACACTGCCTAGTTTCTGAGTGTAGGATTAAAGAGATAAAGCAAAAATCCAAGACCCATCCACATTCTGAGAGACAAAAACCGGTGATTCTGGTTGTGGAATCAAGTGGACCCATCCAACCTCAATGCTAATCAGCCCTCACCTCAGTGCCCCTGTCTCCTTACCTCCCTGAAACCAGAGAGAGATGTGTTCAGACAGATTTTCTCCCTAAGATACCCATGACTCAGTATCAGATGGCAATTCAGAGCATTTTTATAAATGGAAAACATTTTCCGGAAACGAACGGGACTGTTTCCAGGAACAGATTTCCAATGGACAAGAAATTAAGAGTCCAGAACATAGAGACCCCATCCAGAACTTTATGTCACTAGTTGTAATTGTACAAATGGAGCCATTAATTTATTGCATGGAAAATTTAGGGGAAAAAACATGAAAAACATGCAGCCAATAGTGAGTTAACTACCTAAATTGAGTTGCAGAAAAGAGTTGTGGAATTACAAAGCTTAGGCAGCTTTGGTGTAGAGAGAAGCACACCACTGCAGTTTTCTAAATGCCGTCAAATTTTCTGTGTTATTTCTTGCTGCTTCTAAAAACCAGAAAAGTGAGTGGGGCTGGAGATTGTCTTTATAACATTCTTAAAGATCCACATGAATAGTGCAGATTCCATGCACACAAGCAGGTTGCTCGTCTCATTTGCCAATCCCTGCGTGAGAAAGCTTGCAAATATCCCAATGTGTGACATCACAGCACAGATAGCACTGGTGGGATCTGCATCTGGAAGATGGCTCATCTCACACTTGGCCTATGTCATCCAAGTGGGTGGCAATCGGTCTTGTGTGTGACTTCATTAATTCCCCTTGGTCATCTGGGATTACTCTTAAATCTAAAGGAGCATTTGCCATAAACTTAAGATAAAGCTTTTCCAGTAGAGTACAAAAGGCAATTCTTAGAAAAATAAAGTGAAGGTCATGGCATTAGGCAAAGGGTAAAGTTGATGGAGTAAAACAATGTGTGACTGGGAAAGTTAAATATTGAATGTA
This sequence comes from Homo sapiens, assembly GCF_000001405.40. NCBI lineage: Eukaryota > Metazoa > Chordata > Mammalia > Primates > Hominidae > Homo > Homo sapiens. Next base: position 127,664,805 of record NC_000012.12, on the reverse strand, counting down.
AAATTAAAGATGATGACTTTATAATTCACAAAAGTGGATGATCTACATCTAATGGTCAATTTTCCTGGCTTTGCTCACTTCGTCTATCGCCTCTTAACATTCTTATAAAGACACCAGCAGCTCAAGAATAGCCACTTCAAGATATTGTGGCCCTGATTCTCTTCAACCAAAACTAGGCTATGTGTCCATTCCTGAACAACTCACTAAGCCACTTGGATGCTGGACTCTGAAGACCAGGGCTGTGGCACATGCTTTCAGGAGGAAGGGGTAGGGTCTGTCCTGGACAGCTCAGGTGTAAGCCTGGTGTCCACATACTCATCGAATTAGGGCCAAGTCTGAAAACAGTCACATAAGTTTGCACCATCAGAACCAAATGGACCAAAGAATTGAGGGAAAAAGCTCCCCCAGGAAAACTGATTTAATGTTATTCCCAGAACAATTAGTTAGGGATGTTGGCCAGGCAAATAAAAACACGGCCCACTCTACCATTGACTACTTCTTCTGTGCTGAGCTCAAATGAAGCATTCATTGGAATCTTTCCCACACTTTTTTCTCTGTCCCACAGGCAATTGCCTCTCCATTCTTAGAACTACAACTAGTGACCATACTCTGAACACAAGTTTATCAGCACACACATTATGACCATTGCCTCCCCATCTGTCTTTCATGGAAAGTGATCAAATCCAATTCTTCCTTTTATCTCTGGAATCTAGTACAGAGTTTGGGTCATTCGTTAATTCTTTCATTCACTCACTCAACAAATGTTTATTGGGCTCCTACCTTATGCCACATATTAAGCCAGGAGCTTTAGATACGGAAGATAAAAAGCAGACATGTTCCCAGCTCCCCTAGGAGAAACAGTCAGTGCCTGGAGGATGCCAGGCAGAGGCTGGTGAAGAGGGCAGTGTTCCAGGTAGAAGAGCATGTGCAAAAGAAATGACAGAGGCCTTCGGAGAATGGCAGGACCATTGGAGGCAGGTGGTAGAACACAGTGAAAGATGAGCCTGCAGAAGCACACATAGCTAAGGATTTGAAGTTTTTATCCCAAGGACAGTGGGAAGCCAAGGAGGAGTTACAAGACTGAGGGAGACCAAAGGACAGGTGGAGATGGGAGAGGATCAGATCTGCAATTTGGAAAGATCCTATGAGGTGCAATACGGCCACTAGATTAAAGGAGCTGATAGGACATGCCAGGAGACCAACTGGAAGGCAGAACATCCATGGTAGAGGTGCTGGAGGCTGGAAATAAGTGGGAGATGGGAAAGGGGGTGGAAAGGCAGGACACAAGCCACCTGGGAAAACGTGCTGAGCACTTGTGTTACAGGTTGAAATGTGTCCCCTGCCAAAACCCATAGGTTGAAATCTTGACTCTCCTAGGGCCATTGCAGATGTATGGAACCCCAATCCAAAATGGCTGGTGTCCTAAGAAAAAGAGAAATTTTGGGACACAAAGACACACACACAGAAAGAACATCATGTAAATATTATAGTTATGCTGCTGCTACAAGCCACGGAATGCCAAAATTTCACCAGGTTTCAAAAAGAGAGGAAAAGAGACCCCCCACCCAGTGCCCTCAGAGGGATGATGGCCCTGCCAATACCTTGATATCAAACTTCTGGCCTGCAGAATGGTGAGAGAATCCATTTCTGTTGTGTATGCAGCTCAGTTTGCTGTGGTTTGTTATGGGAACCCTAGCAAAGTGATATATCAGGGTTGTTGACTTAAATTACCATAGTTTAGGCATGTAGTACATTCATATCCATCCCTTTTTTATATTCCTATATTTGAGAAGGAAGTGAATGGAATAAAAGAAGAATCATGCACATTTAAACAAGTTTCTTTCTTGCAGGACCTTCAGGATCATTAATATTTTAATTACACCTCATGAAACTCCAAGATGGAGACACAGTTTGCATGGTCTTCCAGGGTTCACTGTGGGAGATTTTGGCTTTGATCAGTACAACACTGGATACATATCGCCCCCTAAATGCTTGAGACACCTGGAACTTACCCACTCTCTCATTTTTCTGATAAGGGAACATGAGGTTCAGAGAAACAAAAAGCAACAAGCCCAGTCTCTCACCTCTGTTGCAGAGTAAGAACCGGAAACCTTGACTGTGTTCCCTTAAACACATTATTTGATTTATTTTATTCAGTAATTTTGGTAATTCTCTTCAAGGATCAAAAACAGTTCCTTTTTTGGGAGCAACCATTTTTACCTATGAGTTCCTGTTGCATCAAAACCACAATTCACAACAAAATCAGGACCAGGCTGGGCACGGTGGCTCATGCCTGTAATCTCAGCATTTTGGGAGGTCGAGGCAAGCGGATCACTTGAGGTCAGGAGTTCAAGACCACACTGGCTAACATGGTGAAACCCCGTCTCTACTAAAAATACAAAAATTAGCTGGGTGCGGTGGCGCATGCCTGTAATCCCAGCTACTCAGGAGGCTGAGGTAGGAGAATTGCTTGAACCTAGGGGGTGGAGGTTGCAGTGAGCCAAGATCATACTCCAGCCTGAGCGACAGAGCAAGACTCTGTCTCAAAAAAAAAAAAAAAAAAAAAAATTCAGAACCAGGCTTTTACTAGCAGAACGCAGAACGCCCTGGCGAAGAAAGCCACTCCTCAGAGTTGGCCCTTTTTCAGCTATCTGATTCAACAATGAGGACCTGCTTCTTATTCTCACTTTCTATGCAGAACTTTGCAATTAAAAGTAAAACAATTGTTTCTTGGATGGCACCTGAAGGCACTCTGGCATTTTTCCCAGTGTTAATTAACATTCTGCCCATACTAAGGTCAATGTTCACCGAATTATTTCCTTTTAGTGTTGGAATAATAGACAATATAAAGAAATAAAAAAATTGTTCTGGTGCAGGAGAGAAAAACAGGTATGCAAGATCTAAGAATGAGAATTAGAATTTGGCATACAATCCATTCCAAGAGCTCTCTGGGAGAAGGGAAGGGATGGGAATTCACAATAAAATAAATAGAGAATCCAACAGAAAACCTTTCTATTATTTATTATCTCTATAATGATATCTTGGATTTAGGAGCTGTAATTAATTATCAGCAATGACAATTGGTCAAGGCAAAGCCAATGGCAATGGCACTGGTGGCTGATGATCTACTGTGAATTGAGAACATCTTGTCACATCCAGGCTGGCTAATTTATTAGGCATTCAGTCCTACTCAATTGATGCTCCAAAGAGAAAGTGCTATAAATAAAGAACAACTTCAGAGAAACTCATGCTAGTAAAATGAAAAGCCAGTGACGATCCCAGATAGTGTGGCTCTGCAAGCTTGTGGGTCTTCCTTGTCTACGTGGCCATCTCTTCCCTGGACTGTGAGCACATTGTGGGCTGCTCTTGGGCTTAAATTGTCCCTATGCAGTGTCCCTAGAACACAAAGCCAGGCACAGGATGGAGGCTATTTGATTATTTTAAAACACTTTCTGAATTGAAGAGAGCCAAATAGGACATAATAAAACGTAGAAAACAAGAACAAAAGCAAAGATCTCTAAGTCTTAAGTGGAAAGAAACAATCTCAAATTCTCAGCTGGTCTGTTTACACTTATTTAACCCAGATGCTTCCATGAGGAGCAGGAATTGGGCAGGTATGTAATGCTGCCCAAGGGACAGATGGTCTCAGGGACCACATTTGCCAAAGCATGACTTCATTCTCACCCCACATCGGGGAAGTGTGAGTAGGAAAGGATTCTTCTTCATTAGGTTTTGAAGCACAAAATAAAGATCTATCTGACAGGATGTGACTTCCCTCTTAAAGCTTGAAGGAAGGTTCCCAACAAGTTTGCTTAGTTATTTGGAACATTTAAAGATGGAATTATTATCCTTCGTATAGACAGAGAGGTGAATTGGGGAAGGTGGCATGTGTGCCCACTCTCTCAGGCCACCCCAAAGCCCAGGAAATAGCCTCTGTTCCTTGAACTGGTTCTGCTTATTCAGTGCGAATAAGCTCACCCTGAAGTCAAATGCAGAGATGGCACCTTATTGCTGGGAGAATCCACTTGGTGAGATTCTGTGAAAGGCCACTTTCAAGAACTGGAGCCAAACTGCAACCTTTTTAGGCATTAGGAGGGAGAATTACATTTAAATTTTGAATATTAGATCCAAATCTTTGCTACAGCTTGGCTTAGCTGTAGCGACTTCAGCGAGAGGAGATTGATGAGTGAGTGATTAATCAGGAGGGCTCTAAAGGGAAACTGGCTGGCTGGGAGGGGCTTTGCACAGAGCAAGGACCCTGCAAGCCTCCCTTATGCTCCAGAGATGCCCCTTCTCCTCAGTTCTGGGATAAAGAACAGAAGTAAGGAAGGAAGACAGAGCCTGCCACACCAGCTTCCCCAAAAGTGGCAGAGCTGGCAATGGTAGTTGATAAGGAGGCATTTTAGGCCACTGATAAAAATGCCACTTTAGTTCCTGATACCACTTAGCATGGAGACAGTGGGGCAAACTGAGGCATCCTGTGTGTACTATGAAAAACAAACTCCAAAATAGAACACACAGTTACATCTGTGTGGAAGAAAATACCCAGCAAGAGTACAACATGATTTATCCTCAACCATTATTGCTGGTTACCTCTATGTTAGGTGCTGAAATTGCTGAGGGGAGAAGGGAGAGGGTTAGGGTTAAGGTTAGGATCTTAAGGAGATTTAGTCACACATTAAAAGTTTAATTTTACCTTAAATTATTTAAGTAGTTCAGATGCAATTAAATAGTAATTTAAACAGCTTTTGTAATAATGATTATAAGAATAGTAAAAGGGCGATTTTTACTCAGGTGCAGTGAAACACATTTAAACTGTTTACGAAGTCATTTGCAGGTGGTTCAAAAAATCCACGTCTCCATTGCAAACTCGAAACCAACAATGATCGTTAATTATTTTGCAGGTTCTATAAAGCTACATTAGAGTCCATTACTTATGCAGAATACATGAACAATTCATCTAATTTGGAATAAACAGGACCTTTGTCATGTCTAAGATAAAAGGGTTTGCTGGACCAAGAAATAAAGATGATTGAGGATACTTAAAGGAAATTAAGATAAAAGCATTTTAAAAACAGCTTATTATGGCCGAGGGCACGGTGGCTGATGCCTGTAATCCCAGCACTTTGGGAGGCCGAGGTGGGCAGATCACTTGAGGTCAGGAGTTCAAGACCAGCCTGACCAACATGGTGAAATGCCGTCTCTACCAAAAAATACAAAAATTAGCCAGGCATAGTGGCGTGCACCTGTAATCGAAGTTTCTTGGGAGGCTGAGGCACGAGAATTGCTTGAACCCGGGAGGCAGAGGTTGCAGTGAGCTGAGATCATACCACTGCACTCCAGCCTGGGCGACAGAGTGAGCCTCCATCTCAAAAAATAAATAAATAAAATGATAGAGCATATTATATGTATATACAGGTTAATAATAATAGTAACTACAAAGGCATATGGTTCTGCTAATATTTCTCAAAGGTCGTTGTAAATTCCTTCACTTGGATAGCCTTTGCCAAATTTTGTAAATTCAGAGTATGTATTTGCAAGTCCCCAGTGTGCTTTTTTTTGGTATAATTTCCCTAATTAAGAAATTATATGCTGTGAGAATCACTTGGTGAAATTCTATGAAAGGTCACTTATGATTCTGTGAGTGCAAATTTTGTATTCAAAACACAGTCTTCCAGAAGAGGCAGTTCAGGGCAGTGGTTAGGGTCCTGGAATCTGGAGCCAGACAGCCTGAGTCAGATCCCATCTCTCTCTCCTGCCAGCTGGGTGACCTGGAGCCATGTGCTCTGCATCTCTGGGCCTCAGTTTCTTCATTTGCCACCGGGAATGGTGCAAACGCCTGCCTCACAGGTTTGTTGTGAAAACTAAATGAGCCAATATTAACAGTATCTTCCCCACGTAAGAAGCACCATATGAAGATTAGCTTTATTGTTATTACCCGATGCCATAAAAATACTGTTCATGGCTGTACTCCTGGCCCATCTGCCAATGAAATCTCTTAATATTGAATGTGATCTGCAGCATTGAGGGAGCAATGTGCCTAGAGACCATTTTCATTTGCTGTTGCTGCTGTAATAAATCACCATAAATCCAGCAGCCTAAACACACACACACACACACACACACACACACACACACACACAAAATTTATGATTGTATAGTTCTTTTTTTTTATTTATTTTTATTTTTTGAGATGGAGTCTCTCTCTGTCGTCCAGGCTGGAGTGCACTGGTGCAACCTCTGTTCACTGCAACCTCTGCCTCCTGGGTTCAAGCGATTCTCCTGCCTCAGCCTCCCAAGTAGCTGGGACTATAGGCATGTGCCACCAGGCCTGGCTAATTTTTGTATTTTTAGTAGAGATGGGGTATCACCATGTTGGCCAGGCTGGTCTCGAACTCCTGACCTCAGGTGATCTGCCCGCCTTGGCCTCCCAAAATGTTGGGATTACAGGCGTGAGCCGCCGCTCCCGGCCTTACTATCCTATAGTTCTAAAGGTCAGAAGTCCTTAGATTATGGTACAAGCAGGGCTGCGTTTCATCTGGAGGCTCTAGCGGAGAATCCGTCTGCGTGTTTCTCCCAGCTTCCAGAGGCGCCACATTCCTTGGTTCCTGCCCTCGCATCATCTTCTCTGACTGACCCTCCTGCCCACTCTTACAAGGAGCCTTGGGATGACATGGTCCCTGTATGAGTCGCATTAGTTTTGCATTGCTATAAAGAAATACCTGAGACTGGGTAATTTATAAAGAAAACAGGCTTAATTGGCTCCCAGTTCCACAGGATGTACAAGAAGCATGATGCTGGCAGCTGCTTGCCTTCTGGGGAGGCCTCAGGAAATTTTCAATCATGGCGGAAGGTGAAGGGGAAACAGGCACATCAGACATGGCAAGAGCAGGAGGCAAGGCGGGTCGGGTGGGGTCGGGTCGGGGGGGGGAGGCAAAGCGGGGGCGGTGGGGGATGTGGGTAGAGGCCAGGTGTGGGGAGACGAGGTGGGGGCGGGGGTGGGAAGGGTAGAGGCAAGGTGGGAGGAGGCGAAGCGGGGGAAGTGAGGTGGGGGGAGGCGAGGCGGGGGAGGTGCCATGCACTTTTAAATGATCAGATCTCAGGAGAACTCCCTCAGGATCGTGAGAATAGCACCAAGAGGGAAATCTGCCTCCCACCAGGCCCCACCTCCAACACTGGGATTTACAATTTGACATGAGATTTGGGCGACAACACAGATCAAAACCATGTCAGTGGCCCATGGATCATCCAGGATCATCTCTCCCATAGCAAAATCCTTTTCTTAAGCAAATCTGCGAAGTCTCATTTTCCACGTACGGTAAGGTATTCGCAGGTTCTGGGGATTCGGTCGTGGACATCTTCAGAGGACCATTATTCCACCTAGCACAGGGACATGCCTTCTCAAGCCCTTTATTTCACCCCTTTTTCCTAAACCTGCTCCTCCCCCTCCCAGTCTTCCTCATCCCAGTAAATGCCAGCAGCCTTACTCAATGCATCTTTAACTACCAAGAAAAAAAAATGGCCATGACTCTGATACATTTCTCCAAGTCATGAGAGCCTCAACTGATATTTAAATAAAAACTTGCCTATTAAGCAAATGCACATTAGAAGAAAAAAGGAATAAACAGATGTCTCTCATTAACAAAAGAAGGGCTTTTATTTTTACCCAACTTTACTTTTATTGCCCTCCTAAATGCTCATCCCTAAATGGAATGAAATGAAGAATTCAGCTAAATAATAAATTTTTTCAAGTTTCAAGATGTAGGAGACTCAGTGAAGTTGAGATAAAGGGCACCGCAGCTCGGCCGGAGGCTGGCCAAGGAGACAGCTGCCATGTCCAACTTGTTCTGGGATCATACGACTCTCAACATCTTATTCAAATGAAACGATTTTCCTAAAGCAGACTGCATGGATTCAGCCAGGGTCAGAAGAGCAGGAAGAGCAGGCAGGGCACAGCATTGACCTTGACCCGACCTTGCAGCCATCACCCCATCTATACTTGGCCCCAGTGCTCAGGAAATTTGCAATGACCCCTGTCATCTCACGGGGCTGGGGACAGCATCCAGGCCCCACAGGGGGCTAGGTAGGTGGTAAGATGAAGCACACTGTGGAATTTCCTAAGACCCATAATTGTATTTGCATTTTAAAAACTTTCCAAAACAACTATGGACTCTTCCCCTTCACTAGAAATAACTGATCCTATTAGTTTCTCTTCTGCTTACCCATAAAGACCATGGCTTTCAAAAAACGTTTAATTTCCCTTTTACGCCTGACCACACACAGCACAGAAGCCTGGGGAGGGGCATCACTGCCCCCCAAGAGTGCATTCTTGAAAAGTGCGATGACCTCCCTGGCACAGGGCCTGGTGAATGCTTCTCCCTGTAAATATCTGCTAAATGAATCAATAAGTAGACTAATAAGTAGATGAAATCTACTTCTCTGAGGATGAAAGACTCATCAAATCAACATGCCCTGCTCAGGAGTGGAAGTGGGTCCACTTCCCACTGGATTATTTTGTGCTGGAAATAATCCAGCACAAACATCCTAATGACTGTAACTTCTGTTCACCCCCCCATGTCTCTGATAAACGGTGAGGGGTGGGGGCTGGGGGAGACTGGGAGGAGAGACCCCTTGCAAAGGGGACTTCTCACCACCATGCTGGCTGCCAGGTAGGAAGAGGAGTCCAGTTACCAGAGCTCCCATCTTCACAGGAAAAGACAGTAGAGCTATATTTTACTTGGGGCCTTCCAGTGTTTATGTGTTGTCAAATAATTCAGTCTTTCTAAACTAACTGAACAGTTTGGCATCTCTGATGTATGCATGGGAAAAACATCCTTAATTTGCCTCTCTGGGAAGTAGATGCTGAAATAGTGTTAGGAGTGCAGGGTGCCGGCAGTTTACTGGAGGCAATACTCATTGTATTAGTCAGGGTTTTCTAAAGGGCCAGGACTAATAGGATGGATGTTTATATGAAGGGGAGATTATTAAGGAGTACTGACTCACACAGTTACAAGGTGAAGTCCCACAATTTGCTGTCTGCAAGCTGAGGAGCAAGGAATCTAAGCTGAGGAGCAAGGAAGTCAAATCTTAAAAGGAGGGAAGCCGACAGCGCAGCCTTCAGTCTATGGCTGAAGGCCCCAGAGCCCCTGGCACACCTAAGTCCAAGAGTCCAAAAGCTGAAGAACTTGGAGTCTGATGTTTGAGGGCAGGAAACCTCCAGCATGGGAAAAAGAGGAAGACCAGAAGACTCAGCAAGTAGGTTACTTCCTCCTTCTTCTGCCTGCTTTACTCTAGCTGCTCTGGCAGCTGACTGGATGGTGCCCACCCAGATTGAGGGTGGGTCTGCCTTTCCCAGTCCACCGACTCAAATATTAATCTCCTTTGGCAGCACCCTCACAGACACACCCAGGAATAATACTTTGCATCCTTCAATCCAATCAAGTTGACACTCAATATTAACCATCACACCTCTGAACATTAGAAGAGGGAGGAAGTGGGAAAGGGATCTGACAAAGCCCAAGCCAGCACAGAGGGGGCTCCAGCCGTGGGGAGGGGGTTGCCCATTAGAGGAGTGCTGCATTAGAGGGAATGGGTCAGACCCCAACATCTCTGCAGCGCTTTGCTCCATCATCAACCGGCTGCCCGGGAGGAGCGTGGCCTCGGCTCAACAACAGAGGCAGATCTGGACCACCTTAGCAGGTGGGGCCTGTCGGCTACTGAACCCTTGGAGCTAAATGGCGAGGCATAGAAATCTAGGTGGCATTGCTCCACATGGTGGAGCACAAAATGTTTTGCAATGGACCCACTTCCACTCCTGAGCAGGGTGTGTTGATTTGATGAGTCTTTCACCATCAGAGAAGTAGATTTCATCCACACATTAGTCTACTCATCGATTCATTTAGCAGATATTTACCGGGAGACAACAGTCACCGGGTCCTGTGCCAGGGAGGTCATTGCACTTTTCAAGAACACATGCTCTCGGGGGCAGTGACTCCCCTCCCCAGGCCTCTGTGCTGTGTGTGGTCAGGATTCTGCACAGCACAGAACAGGGCCACTCACTCAGTCTCAGGGCCGGCCTTCCAGGGACATCCACAATCAGTCCATCCGTTTGACTTCTCTGGTGGCTGAAATCCTGGCTTATCGGAAATTCATAGTGTTACAATGACCCGCCCACACATATTTATCTGAAACACACAACTGACTGCCAAGACCAGTCACATTTCAGTTTCAGGGTTGGGTGGTTGATGGAAAGTGGAAATAGAGAGGAGAAAATACCTGGCTGGTATCATACCTTGACTCGCAGAGAGATCAGATCACAGTGCATTTAAATCTGACCTCACTTTTGGAGCAAGTAAAGGGAAAGGAGGAATAGGAATCTTAGCTAAGAAAAGACAGAGACGCCAGATTATTCATTCAATGTTTTAAAAAATGACAGCCCCTCTATGTACGCCTTGTGGGTACATTGTGGGTGACAGCAGCAACACCCCCGTTTCATGGTGCTTGTCGTCTAGTGAGAAAAGTAATACAATAAATTGGTGAAAAGTAAACGCATAAGATAATATTTGACAATGAGGAATACTTTGAAGGATATGAAACAGGTTGGTGTGTGAGAAGGACTAGAACTATTGAGAATGACCTGAATGATCCCACAAGAAAAGGGTTCTATGGAAAGGGGATGGCTCAAATGGAAACACCCAGAAGTAGGAACCATCCTGGGTCGTAGAACTGGCACATGGCTGTGTGGTTTGTGGGGAATGGGAGGGTGGAGCGAAGGTCATGGAGGAAGGTGGGCCAGGCACACAGGGTCTCGGGGCCTCTGAGCACTGAGATCCCTTGCTCCTCAGGTGTTAAGAACAAAGGAGCAAGTCCTGGTGTTCAAATACTGTCCCATGACACTGAAGAACAGAGACCTGAGGAATGCACACCTTCTGCTCCTCATCAAGTCTCCTAAACAGGCTGCCCAGCTCACCAACCTGGAAGGAACCTCCTTTCTCCATCTTTGTGCCCTCGTCCCTGGAGCCACAGCTATGAGAACAGGTGTGCACACTGGATCTAGGTGCGACAGGCATATACCCTCTCTGATATGGTTTGGCTGTGTCCCCACCCAAAATCTCATCCTGAATTGTAGTCCCCATAATCCCCACATGTCAAGGGCAAGACCAGGTGGAGATAATGGGATCATGGGGGCAGTTTCCCTCATAGTGTTCTCATGATAGTGAATTCTCACGATATCTGATGGTTTTATGAGCATCTGGCATTTCCTCTGCTTGCCCTCACTCCATCCTGCCGCCCTGTGAAGAAGGTGCCTGCCTCTCGGCCATGAGTGTAAGTTTCCTAAGGCCTCCCCAGCCATGCAGAACTGTGAGTCAATTAAACCTCTTTCCTTTATAAATTACTCAGTCTTGGGTATTTCTTCATAGCAATGTGAAAATGGACTAATACACTCTCCTTTGGAACCCCTGGGCCAGTCAGTGATACAGAGCTAAGGTCCAACACCAGGGGGACTTGAGGTTATAAGGTATTTGTGAGACCCCCAAACCTAGGAAGGATCAGAACCAGAGCAGATGGAGGAAACGGTCAACAGAGAGGGTGGCTAGAAATAAATCATAATAATAATAGACTAGGCTTGCTCAACACCTCATTATAAACCAGACCCCCGAATCTAAGCACCAAGCATTAAGACAGTTAATTGTGGTAGCGAATAATGGCAGATGCTACTGTTACCCTTATTTTACTAATGTGGAAACTGGGCTAATTTGACAATGAAGCAGAAACAGAAGCAAGACAAGATTGTATTCTGCTCCACGGACAGAGACTGAGAGACCAGCTACCCCCTGCTGCAGTAAAATAAACCTTTGTGTAGGACAAGACACTTCTGGGTTCTCATAGGCCACCTCCATGGCAGCTCCCCATGAGGGAGGGAGGTCACCCCTCATCCAGCCCTTGACAGCACTGGCTGATTGACAGGTGCAGCCACAGCCTCCCCATTGCACAGCTGGGTATAAAGTGTGGTGGTGCACACTTCCCAGTCATTTCTCAGCCATCATTCTCATTGTGCTTGTTAAGCCTTTTCACTGAGTCTTTAATGGGCATACAGTTTATTTCTCTAGTGTTTTGAACCACCAACTAGTTGTGCAGAAATCTCCTCCTAGGCCAACATTTTGTACGTTATCGCCTGCATTGACCATGATCACGCAGTACCTAACAAGGAGAGATTCTGCTGCAGATGGGGATGTGGGCGACATTTTAATACAGCACTTCCAAAAAGCAGACAACATGATGAATAGGTGGTGATAAAATGGTCATCTTGCAGGTGGCTGGATGTAATAAAGTGATGTGTAATGGCCCACCAGGGAGCTTTTCCAAGAGGGAGAATGGATTTCTTGGGAGGGTCAAGGCTCCATCAAAAACCTCATTCCTTCTCAGCATTGAGGGGTTGCCTGCCCTGAAGTGGACTGTTAACCACATTGATTAAAAAGATACCAGCTCTTCTCTGAGCACCTATTTGTCTGGTACTGCCTAGGGCTGGGATATATAGCATGGGATATAAAGGTAGATGAAAGCCTCCACTCATGGGGCTTATATTTTAATGGGGGAAGACCGACAATAAACAAGTATGTAAGTTAAATACATAGTGTATCAGATGACCGTAAGTGCAACTGATAACAGTAAGGCCAGGAAGAGGAAGAGAGTACTTGGTGACTGGGGGTACAATTTTACTGAAAAGGGTTAGGGATTCCTAACTGAGAAAGCGACCACCTTGAACAACTCAGTGTAGCAACTGAAAGACAGAAAAGTAAAATGATGATAATAATGACACTTTCAAAGTTATTACTCTGTACTGTGTATTGTCCTAACAATTCAACTCACTGATGCTTTATTTTCAAGTATGGAAATTGAGATAAACACTTAAAAAGCCTTTCCCAAAGTCACACGGGCAATAAGCTGTAAAGACAGACCAGACGTTGACCCAGGCAGTCTGACTCCAGTAAGTGTGACTTGAAGCCCATATCCCACTGTCTTTCATGGAATACGGTAGAGAGTACCTAAGGCCATGAGCCTGCTGCTGTGTAGAGGTTCAAGAGTCCTGCCCTACTGGACTGCTGCTGTGTAGACAAGGCTGCCCTACAGTCTGCTGTGGTGTAGAATAGACTCAACAGTCCTGCCCTACTGGACTGTTGCTGTGTAGACAGGGCTGTCCTACTGGCTTGCTCTTGTGTAGACAAGGTTCAAGAGTCCTGCCCTACTGCCTGTTGGCCATGTGAACTGGGGACTCATTTGACTTCTCCTTGCTTCCTTGTTAGTATACTGGGGATATTAATAGTTCCTGTATCTCAGGGCTCTTGTGAAGTTAAAATGATGTAATAAATGCAAAGCTCTAAGAAGAGTTCCTGGCCCATGTTAAGTGCTCAATCAAGAATGTTATTCTTGCCAATATCACCATCTAGTCCTTGTTACTTTTTAGGTCACATGTAGGATGTAGGGAAAGGTATCAACATCATCCTTGGCAGAGAGAAGGTCAGAGATCACCCACCTGTTGTGCCCATGGAGTGTCTCAGGAGTAAGTACATTGCCCCGTTCCTCACTTAGTCACCTAATCAAACACCGTCTGGGGAGGTCATCCCCAGTGATTTTCCTATTCCTAACCATCAACAGGGATTGAAAGGTCGATGGGATGTGCAAATAGGAGGAAGGTGAGTGCTAGGGTCTGGATGTCTGTGTCCCCCTCAAATTTCTGTTTTGAACCCCTCATTCCCAAGGTGATGGTATTTGGGGATAGAGCCTTTAAGAGGGGATTAAGTCGTGGGAGTGGAGCCCTTATGAATGGATGAGTGATCTTATGAAAGAGGCCCCAGGGAGGCCCCTTCTGCCCTGTGAGGTTACAGGGAGAAGACAGCAGGTGATTTATGAGGCCGGACACCGAATCTGCTGGTTCCTTGATCTTGGACATTCCAGCCTCCAGACATCTGAGAATACATTTCTGTGGTCTCAGCCACCCGATATATGGTATGAGACTTAGCCCAAACAGACTCAGACAGTGAATCAGATTGAGACCACTGGTAGCTCCCAGTGAGTCCCTTGGGAAGAAACAAGTGCCCCTGTAACCCTATCTCATAGATTGTGGTTTTACACTTTGGAACATTTTTGTAAGTTTACGTAGGACTCAGTTAATGTTCTGGATTTCTACCTGGATGTGCAGAATTCATAAAGTTCAACCTATATACATTTTCCACATAAATGTACAAAAAATTAAAGGAAAGATGTAATCACAAAATAATTGAGAAAACAAATCATAGAAGAGGGTGTTCATAGATGTGTCCAAACGAGTGTGTGGTATGCACGGTGACAGGAGTGCTGGCTGCATTGGCTGGTGCAGTTGGGAGGTGCCAGAGCCTCCGGGACATCCTGAGCTTCCAGTCACTGGGCCAGCAATATGGTGTCCACAGACATTCCTGCCCACTCAGCCTGGCTGGAGAAATGGTGGCACAATTTCCTGTTTCTAGGCTCTACTTCATTCCATTCTACCAGTCTTAATGGATATCTATCCAATCACCAACATGTGTCACTCATTACTTGTGTTAAAAGAAAAACTTCAGCCACATTAAATTTAAAGGACTTCAATTGAGCAATGAATGATTTGTGAATTGGGCAGCCCCCAGAATCAGCACATTCAGAGAGGTGCCTCCAGATGTGCCTCGTGATGAGAACAAATTTATAGACCAAAATAGTAAAGTGATATACAGAAATTGGAAGTGAGGTACCAAACAGCTGGATTGGTAACAGCTGGACGTTTGCCTTATTTGAACACAGTTTGAACACTCAGCAGTATATGACTGGTTGAAGTATGGCCTCTGGGATTGACCAAGACTCAGCGATTGTTAAAGGCGCATACTGCTCAGTTAGGTTTTCAGTCCTGTCTACCTATTAAGTCGGGTTGCAGTTTATCCACAAGGACTTAATTATAGAAGTACGGAGTCTTTCTCAGGCCATGTTTAGTTTGCTTCAACACTTGAAAATGCTTTATAGCTCCAAGGATCTACTGAATAAAGGCCAATAGCTTAGCTGGAGCCCAGTGGCCCTCCACAGGCAGGCTCCCACCACCAGACACATCACCCATCCTTCCTCCCCGTGCAGCCTGCTCCAGTCACCCAGGATGACCCAGCATTTCCAGAATACACAATGTTCTTTTTCTGCCTTTCCTAATGATAATAAATTAAACAAGATACAAATTTATCACAATTGCAAGATTTTATGATGATGATTTCCAGTGTGGTGTTGTGTATGATTCTCCCAATAACTTTATACGGTAGGGACCTAACGTTGCTTCCCTTTTGTTTATAAGAAACTTCAGATTTGGGGCTATTCCAAAAAAGCTGGATTTTGCTAAGGTAACAACCCCAAATTTTCCAAGACTTAAAACAACACAGTTGATTTGGCATTGTCACAATGTGAGAGGTCACAGGATCTGTTTCCCGTTGTTCTGTCTCAGGAACTCAGGCCGAAGGAAGCCCCTCCATCCAAAGACTTGGACTTCTCAACTGGAGGTTGCAGGTTCTGCCACAGCAGGAGAGACAGCAGGCTGGTACCTTTCTTTTCAGCCCCAAAGATCATGAGAGCACGTATTATGCTACTCAGAAAAAATATTATCTATTTTACTTTTCCATATACCCTGAATGTGCTCTTTTCTTAGAAGCAAAAAACGAACAATGAATCCCAAGCCCCTGCTGCTGTGTAGATGGGGTTCAAGAGTCCTGCCCTACCAGACATTAGAGAACACAGGAAGAGCCTGGTGCCTGGAGGGGAGAGGGTGTGGCTGCCCTGACGACGGGAAGGAGGGGCCCTCTCTGTGTTTTGAGTGTAGCCCACATGACCTGTTTTCTGCTTTAAAATAAAACATTAAAAGTCCCAATTTCTATTGTTTGTTCCTCCTAGATTCATAGTATGTTAGTTGAGTCAATTACCTGTGTGCATTTTTCTCTTCATCTCTCTTAGGCAAAGTACTGATTTAAATTCAACCTATAGTTACCTGGTCATGTCTGAAGGCCTTGGCCCATCACATTTGAGCGAATGTGGTTAGATAGATGTGTGATGGCTCAATCCCAGACGCCTCCACTTAATGCTATTGTGGGTATGGAGAGACACAATACTGGAAATATTTGTCAATCTCAGCAAATGTCCTCAAAATGCCCCCCAGGAACACATATGGATTCACTAAATAGTTTTCCAACCATACAGTGTAAGAGACTGAAATTCCATTTTCAGCTACAAATTAACTTGGGGAATTTGGAAATATCCCACGCTATCTGTGAGCTGGAGATCTATGAATTTCAATCTGTCAATATCCACAAATAATTCCAAGACATTTAAAACACACAGACTCGAGAGCTAGGGACATCTGGTTTACCAGGCGTTCTCCCTCCAGCTTAGTGGCTGCACGTGTTCCTGTTGGCTGCTGGGAGCTATGATGGTGTCACACAGGTAGCACGTCTTTCTGCCTGAGTTAAACACATTTAACTCAATCAGTGGAGTTACTGTTCTGAGGCCAAAACGTCTCCATCTCGTATCTTCACTTTTGTTTCTCATACAAGTATGATATTAATTTCTAACTCTGAGTGGCAGATTCCTCCCAGAGCTATAAAAACAATGGCAGAAAGAAGAGGAACATTTACTGAGCACTCCCCAGACGCATCTTTTCATTTCACCGGTCACACCACAGCAGCAGAACAAATATTGCAGGCTCATGTACAGTTCCATAACTAATCCAATAAATGACAGGGGCCTCCCACTCTTAGCAATTCTCATTTAGAATGCGACTGTCCTCTAAAATGTTTATTCCCCAATTCTTAGTGTCATGAATTTATTTACGCAAAAGCTTCATGGAACCTGAAATTCATTATGGCATATCCTCCATTTACAGCTCAGGAAATGCTGGCTCTAGTCATCGTCTCCCCTGTATCAGTTTAATCTGAACATAAATACATGCATTTGCTGCAGGAGTCACTAATGTGAAATTGTAAAATTGTCAGAGTAAAGCCAGAATTCCTGACGGAGAATTGTGTTCCATTTCTTTCTCCTTACTACATGAAGGATTGCCTAAGTCTGGTTACTACCTTTTTTCTTGAAAGAAGTGGGAAAAACAGTACCCTCTGATGAGAAGATATAGATGAGAGCACATGCCCACACCTGATGACTTCAGCCAGAAGCAGCTGAAGAGGGCAGCTCAGAGACCTGTGATCCCCTGCTTCAGGCTTGTGGAAAGCTCTGCGGGACAGACACATCTACCGGCATGGCCTTCCAGGGATAATGACTTTCACTTTATTTCTGTCTTAGACACCTTATTTGTTTTCCTCTCATTGGAAGGGAGTTCTGGAAACTAGAACTAAAACTCAGGGCATGCAGTCTTCATCAATAACCATTCAAGCCTAGAACCTGGGCTGCCTCAATGTGGCTAGCTCATTGCCAGTGGACACTGATGCTGTAAAGAAGTAGAAAATACATGAACATCAGGTGATAACTCAAAATTCCATCACCCTCAGCTCATAAACATTGAAATTGTCACTAACCACCATTCACATCTTTTTTTTTTTTTTTTTTTTGAGGCGGAATTTCACTCTTATCACCCAGGCTGGAGTGCAATGGTGTGATCTCGGCTCACTGCAACCTCCACCTCCTGGGCTCAAGCAATTCTCCTGCCTCAGCCTCCTGAGTAGCTGGAATCACAGGTTCCTGCCACCACACCCAGCTAATTTGTTTTTTATTTTTATTTTTATTTATTTATTATTTATTTATTTATTTTAGATGGAGCCTCGCTCTGTTGCCCAGGCTGGAGTGCAGTGGCATGATCTCAGCTCACTGCAAGCTTCATCTCCCGGGTTCATGCCATTCTCCTGCCTTAGCCTCCCTAGTAGCTGGGACTACAGGTGCCCGCCACCATGCCTGGCTAATTTTTTATATTTTTAGTAGTGATGGGGTTTCACTGTCTTAGCCAGGATGGTCTCAATCTCCTGACCTCGTGATCCGCCCGCCTTGGCCTCCCAAAGTGCTGGGATTACAGGCGTGAGCCACTGCACCCAGCCAATTTTTGTATTTTCAGTATAGACGGGGTTTCACTATGTTGCCTGGGCTAGTCTTGAGCTCCTGACCTGAGGTGATCCTCCTGCCTCAGTCTCCTGAAGTGCTGGGATTACAAGCATGAGCCACTGCGCCTGGCCTAACAACCATGCATAGCTTATCTTGGTGAGGTTTTCCTGAATTTACAGAGAAATTGATACCACAAAAATCTAATTTCTTGGAAAAATGAGAAACAATAAACAAAATGTATTTTTTTTGTTTATCTTATCTTTCCCATCTTCCTCTTCCTCCTCTTTCTTTTCCCCTCCACCTGCTTCTTCTTCTCTTAATTATCTCACCTCTTCCAATCCCCTATCTAGCTTGGGATCAGACATAAATTTTGCATTTAAAACTTCCTAAATAGGTTTTCTGAACAGCAAACAACTATTCAAGGGTTGTGAAATTTACTTCCCAAGGGAAATAAAACCTTCCAGTAAGCCTTTACAGGTACAATGATGGAAACATCGTCATCACCATTGTCATCATCAAATAATTATAAAAACAATAATAAAGATGGACCATGTCTCCTCTATTCATGGCTATCTTATTCTGCTTGGGCTGCCATAACAAAACACCATGAACTGAGGAGCGTAAACAACAGAAATTTATGGTCTCACAGTTCTGGAGGCTGGGAAGTCCAATATCAAGGTGCCAGCATGGTTGGGTGTTGGTGAGGGCTCTCTTCCTGGATTGCGGATGGCAGCCTTCTTGCTGTGTCCTCACAGGGACGTGAGACAGAGTGAGAGCAAGCTTTCCCATGTCTTTTTATATGCTTTTTAAATTTCCATAGATTTAGGGGGTACAAGTACAGATTTCTTGTGTGCATACATCACACAGTGGTGGAATCTGGGCTTCTCCCCATCACTTGAACAGTGAACACTGTACCCAGTAGGTGATTTTTCAACCCTCACCCCCTGCACACCCTTCCACCTTTGGTAGTCTCCAATGTCTATTATATATCTCCAGTGTCTACTATATATCCATGCGTATCTAGTGTCTTTTTTATAAGGACACTCATCCCATCATGGAGACCTGACCCTCACAACCTCATCTAAACTTATTCAGCTCGGAAAGGCCCCATCACATGCAGAGTTAGGGTTTGACCATATGAATTTTAGGATGAAACAATTCAGTCAATAGCAACTGTCATTCCAGGTACAGGATGGTGACTGGTGTATAATACAAGATTATTATTATTTTGAATAAATGAATGAATGAAAGATGGTTGCAAACTTATTTTTTTCTCTTTCTTTGATAGATGTAAATCTGTGTTGGATTATTTTTTGCTAACTTAGCCACCCCACTATGTCCTCTTTTTTTGAGACTGAGTCTCACTGTGTCTCCCAGGCTGGAGTGCAGAGGCACAATCCAGGCTCACTGCAATCTGCATCTCCCAGGTTCAAGTGATTCTCATGCCTCAGCCTCCCAAACAGCTGGGACTACAGGTATGCCCCACCACGTCCAGCTAATTTTTGTATTTTTAGTAGATACAGGGTTTTGCTCTATTGGCCAGGCTGTTCTCAAACTCCTGGTCTCAAGTGATCCACCCACCTCAGCCTCCCAAAGTGCTGGGATTACAGATGTGAGCCACCACAACCAGCCTACCACTACTTCCTCTTAAGCCTAGGAACTCTTTCCAAAACTCTCTCCCAATGAGAGGAAATACATTGAAATGTGTAAGACAAAAATGAGGTGAAAGCTATTGTCACTGGCAGGCCACGCAGGTAAATGTGTTGGCTTCACACAGCTCTCCATAAGCTCAAAGCAGCATGTCAGACTTCTCTGTGAGCCCTGGCTTTTCCATTGCTTTAGGCAAGTCCTTAGTTGCATTTCCTCTGATCTTCTTGCTGCCGCTTCCTAGACCTTCCTTCTCCCAGTTCCATCCACCATCTAATTCCAATATTATGCCCATTAAACTTCTAATAATTGCACCTGTAGCAACTATGGTGGCTCCATTTTTCTGATCAAACTCAGACAGGTACAATATCCTGAAGAATATTTTTGTTGAGTTTGTTGTGTCATAGTTTTGTTTTATCAGAGTCTTCTCCAAAAATATTCTCACTCACAGAAGTCCACACTTTTTCAGATTTTTGTAAGTTTGTGTCAGTGGAGAACACAGGATGAACCAAGTTAAACACAGGGAATAATGCTGGCATAAGCAGGTGTGAAACGAAAATAAATCTTGGGACCCCCAAATCACAAACTAAAAGGAAAAGTCATCCTGGGAACTGCTTAGGGCCAATCTGCCTCTCATTCTATTCAGTCATCCCTCTGTGACTCCCCTGACACAAATGCCTGTCTGATTGCTCCCTCTCCCCTATTGTTTATGTAAAAATGCAGATTCACTGAGCCAGACTAAACTGTGTATTTAGTGGAAGGCTGATCAAGCACTCGAAAGAATGCAACCTTTTGTCTCTTACCTACTTCTAACCTGGAAGCCCCCACTTCGAGTTGTCCTGCCTTAACAGACCTAACCAATGCACATCTTATCCATATTGATTGATGTCTCACGTCTCCCTAAAATGTATAAAAGCAAACTGTACCCCTGATCACGTTGGGCACATGTCTCAGGACTTCCTGAGGCTGTGTCTTTAACCCTGACAAAATAAACTTTCTAAATTGACTGAGATCTGTCTTTGATATTTGGGGTCCACACAAGTATAAACAGGAAACAAGTGTATTAATTGGAAATGTTTCCAGGTGCACGGCACAGAAGATTCAGCCAACCTTAAACCATGAGGATATGTGTGCCAGGCGCAGTGGCTCACACCTATAATCCCAGCACTTTGGGAGGCCGAGGCGGATCTCGAGGTCAGGAGATTGAGACCATCCTGGCTAACAAGGTGAAACCCTGTCTCTACTAAAAATACAAAAAAAAATTAGCCAAGCGTGGCGGTGGGTGCCAGTAGTCCCAGCTACTTGGGAGGCTGAGGCAGGAGAATGGCGTGAACCTGGGAGGTGGAGCTTGCAGTGAGCCGAGATTGTGCCACTGTAATCCAGCCTGGGTGACAGAGCAAGACTCCGTCTTGAAAAAAAACAAAACAAAACAAAACAAAACAAAACAAAAAACCATGAGGATATGTGTAATTTCCTTAAGAAGACTGAGGTAAATTCAGAACAGGTTTGTGATTAAGTCTTAAATTTGTGTCATCTTTCCAATGCTCCTTCCCAGAACAGCCTCTAAAACATGACGGGAAGACAGAGGCAAATGATGAGCTTTCTCACATTACAATTATTATCAAAGAGGTAAATATTGCTTAGAAGGCACAGAAGGTGTTACCAATGGAGGGTGTCCAGGTTCTTGGCTTCTTAAACAAAGAATTGGACACAACGTACAAACAAAGCCAGGAAAGAATGAAGCAACAAAAGCAGAGATGTATTGAAAATGAAAGTACACTCCACAGTGTGGGAGTGGGCCCAAGCATAGGGGCTCAGGGCACCGTTACAGAATTTTTGGGGGTTTAAATACCCTCTAGAAGTTTCCACTGGTTACTTGGTGTACGTCTTAAATAAATGAAGAGGGTGAAGTAAAATTACAAAGTCATTTACTCAGCCTATGGCCTATGGAGATGACATTTCCTGTCACAGCCGATGTGTAAATTGGCCTTATGTTCCCTGCCTCCAGACCCTATTTTCCTGCCACAAAGATATTTCCTAATATCTGTTTGAGTAAAACTGGGTTACTTGCCCCATCCCTGAACCAGTCATTGACAGGGGAATGGGATTACCTCCATTGGATTAGGCTAATCATGAGCCATCCCTTGGGATGGGGGGAGGGTCTACAGCTGCCTATCATGGTGGACTTCCAACCTGGTCAGCCACAACATGGGAGATTGTTACCTTAGGACATAATTCTAGATGACACAAAATCTGCCATTTAAATCACACTCAATTATATGGCGACCAAGGGATTCCCTTTCCACAAGATTTGGGTTCTTCTGGCTGTTGGGTTTTGAAGGGAAGGCGAGGGCTAAAGAAAGATAGAGAGAGAGTTGGCGGCTCTACGGCAAAGCAGATTTTTATGTCCAGCACTAGGACCAGCTTAACGTCAGAGCCCACTGATGCTTACAGGCTGGCGTCATTTATAGGTTTGGCAGGGGGATGTCTGGGCAGTACGGTTTGCTGCCCAGCAGGATATTGGTAAGATGGTCCTATGATCAGGTGGTTTGGCCCTTTCTCCTGTGAGATGTGATAGGATGTTCCTTGGACCTTTGCCCAGCGGGATATGGTAGGGACATTCCTTCAGTTGAGCCTTTGCCTGGCAAGGTATGATAAGGATGTTCCTACGCCTTGCGGTCAGGTGGTTAGTAGGATGTTTCTCACGGCCTGAGCCCCGGTGGAATGTTTCACTCTCATCAAGGTCTGTGAAACTGCGGGGGCTTACAAAATGCTGCAGTTTGGACTAACGCCAGCTACATTGAGAATTCTGTTTGATGCTTACATAACTGAAAATCCTCCTGCTACCACTGAATCTTCCTTTCTGACCACTCCCAAAGAAAAGCAGAACTCAGGCAGTAAACCTGAAGCACATAGTGGTAACTAGGTAATGATATTTCATGTTTATCTATTGTATTTACTTCCATAATTACCTTTGATTTTTGACAAGTGATAATGGTTTTCCATTCATCATGTTGGTATAGTTTCCTGTTAGAATGTCCTTTTCAAATATATTTATTTAAGTGACATAAGACTTTTAAATTAAGTAGATTAAGTAATCTACTTAAGTAGATAATAGTACAGCCATTATGGTAATTATAGGAAATTTTGTAAGAATATTTGAGGATGGGGGTGGTGGCTCACCCCTGTAATCCCTGCACTTTGGGAGGCCGAGGTGGGTGGATCACTTGAGATCAGGAGTTCAAGAACAGCCTGGCCAACATCATGAAACCCTCTCTCTACTAAAAATACAAAAATGTAGCCAGGTGTGGTGGCAAGCACCTATAATCCCAGCTACTAGGGAGGCTGAGGCAGGCAGGAGAATCGCTTGAACCCGGGAGGTGGAGGTTGCAGTGAGATCACGCCTGGGCAACAAAGCAAGACTCCGTCTCAAAAAAAAAAAAAAAAAAAAAAAAGAATATTTGACAAAAGACTGAAAATTGGAAAATGCTATTTAAAGCACAGTAGGAGAGACACGGGCTGACAGTGCAGCTAGACCCACACGGTAAACCAGAAAGCTGCCTCCAGATTAATTGATAAGGCAAATTACGTAAACATAAGCCCTGAGCCAGGTCTTGCTTTCCTCTGACAGCATCTGGCCACTCCACAATCAATCCCCAAACACCCAAATTGTTATAATTTTAATCATCAAAATATTGCATTGTTTCAAAGTTTGAGCCAACAATGGCATTTGTTATTAACTACTGCCAAAATTACTGTTATTTCTGAAAACATCCTGATTCAGTTCAGTCATTATTAATCATCTATTGATTTCTTGTTTTTATATTTGAAAGTACAATGACTGAAGAATTCATAGGCTGATATTTTTGTGTACATAACATGCACATCTACACAAACACCCACAGTCAATATTTCACACCCAGAAAAATCTTGTGCTTCACCCTGTGTATTTAACATAGCCTCAAAGGTACAAAAGTCTTGATTTTGGATAGCACATATTGTAACGATGTTTTTCAAAGGGTGCCTGCTTCACTGGTGTTGTACAATATGACTTTACGTGACACCCAGACAGTGTTAAACAACATAAAGTCACATGGGAGACATTTTATTTCATCTTCCATCTTCATTTCAATTCTCTCTCAACCCTTCACATTACACTGAAGAGAAAGTCTCATTTGGGGGATGAAATATTGTTAAGACCTCCAGCCCTCACTGGTTTTCCTTTTAATCAAAGGCAGCATGAGGATCAAGCTCAGCCCCTCTGGAAAGCATCAGAATCTAATAGCAATGGGCATTTTTTACTTTCACCAGTCAGATTGCTTAACTACGGTTAACAGTTGAATGACGTGGATGATGAATTAGCTCTCACAACTGGCGGTCTGGAGACATGCCTTTCTCAGGGATCTAAGGCTCTGTCCGTGCAATTCTTCCAGACTTCCTTAGACAGAAATTCCTGCCTGGGTGCCAAACATCAAATCTATCACCCTCCCAAGCAAGAAGAAAGTGGGGCAAGAAAAAAATGTGTTTTTTTTTTTGAAAGTTCTATCTTGTTTTTCTTATGATTTTTTTTCTTTAATTGTTTATGTTGGCTTGTCTCTTTATTCTTATTTGGCTTTCGTTGTCATTGTTCTTTGCCTGTCCCCATTCCCAAAGCACCACGTCTGACTTCCCCTTTTGCCTCATTGGCCACTATCAGGTCACATGCCTATCCTTAGCCCAATCACTGGCAATGGGGAGTGGTAACACATGTCTGACTCAGACCAATCAGGCTGTACTCCTTGGGACAGGGGATGGGATACCCAGCTACTCTCAGCACAAAATTGAGATTGTTTGGCAGGAAAACAGAAAAGTGGCTTCTGCTTGGGCAATGAATACAGTCAAACACAATTGTTTATATGTACTATTTTTCAGTTTAAATTCCATGTATGACAACAATATAAGACAGAAGAACTGTAAGCTCATCAGAAGAGACACTACATTGCACAAAGGTGGTGTGTGGTGATGCTTGGTACTGAGTGGATTTGGCTAAACTATTAGATAGGATTCCTGGATGGCTGACCCTAGCTGTGTATATTATATTTCATGGGTGATTTGTGCAGGCTTAGAGTTTGTCAGAATAACCCCAGGACCTAGGAGAGATGGTAGAGTAACACTTAATGTTGTTCTTAGTTTTGTTCCTGTCTCTGCCAGAAAGACACTCAATGAGTGCCAGATGGAGAAGCGTCTCTGTTTCCCAGGCGTAACTGGATGTGTGGGAACTGGCAATTGGCATTCAAGGTGCAGCAAAGTTAAGCTGTCCCTCAGGGTAAATCACAGCACAGCCACTCATTCTTATAGTGAGGGGATGCTGGGGCACACCTCTGCACCTCTCAATCCAGTTTTCATTTTTCTCAACTTGGACATAAGATTTCCAGCAAAAGGCTGAGGATCTGTTGTTCCAAAGGAATGAACACATTCTGGATAAGGAAGAGTATGACCAATTGCTCATTAGCCAAAACAAACTAAGGTTTCCGATTCCATAATTTTTTTTTCTTTTCAAATAAGACTGTTGAGAATTCAGAATAGAAGTGCAGCAAAATCGTATACCCTTCTAATTGACAAACATTAATTCTCCATTAGTTACAGTTTGAATTATTAAAATATTGACATCAAATATAATAACTGTCAAATATAGTACTTATGGTATTCAAATAAAATTTAAAAACATCTAACCACACTCTTTTTCCCCCAAATACCTTTTAAATCATTTGATACCCCAGCAATTTGGGAGGCCGAGGCGGGTGGACCATTTGAGGTCAGGAGTTCGAGAACAGCTTGGCCAACATGGTGAAACGCCTTCTCTACTACAAATACAAAAATTAGCTGTGTGTGGTGGTGCATGCCTGTAATCCCAGCTACTTGAGAGGCTGAGGCAGGAGAATTGCTTGAACCTGGGAGGCAGACGTTGCAGTGAGCTGAGATTGCACCACTGCACCCCAACCTGGGCAACAGTGACATTTCATCTCAAAAAAATAAAAAATAAACTAAATAAATAAATAAATCACTTGATAAGACTAAATTGTCACTATCTTATCAGCTCAGTATAAATGTGGACCTGTTTATTTATCCCTTGCAAGGGCTGGTAGTACTTCTGTACTTCTATCATTTGATACTATTAATTTTGAAATATTTTATTCGCTTACCAGATATTTTCTTAATTTATACCTTGTCCTTGTCCAAATTATCATAAATTTCAAATGAAGGGCATTTGAGTTAATAAGATTTATGAACCGCAAAGTGGTTTTAGAGATCAAAGGAAAGTTTAATCAGGTCTAGGTATATGTAGAAAGCTCTTTCTTTGCCTCTTCTCAGTTGTTTTCC
Organism: Homo sapiens; assembly: GCF_000001405.40. Lineage (NCBI taxonomy): Eukaryota > Metazoa > Chordata > Mammalia > Primates > Hominidae > Homo > Homo sapiens. Next base: position 127,638,717 of record NC_000012.12, on the reverse strand, counting down.
CTTTTTTTTTTTTTCTGATACAACTCACAGACTTGAGAGGATTTCCAAACTCCTTTGTCAAAGACGTGTAACTAAATCCTGGTCAAAGATACCTGTGAGGACATCTCAACGGGCACATCTGTAAGGGGATTCTTCCGTAATTAGTGAGATGCACATGTAGAAACCTGACTTTGTCCTTCTTTTGACCATGGTTGTGTGAATACAGTTGTATGGTTGTCTGATGCTAGGAGCTCTGGTAGCCATTTTAGGGCATGAGGTGGCAATATAAGGACCAAGCCAGTAGTCAGAAGAAACTGGAACAGGGGGATGGAAAAAGCCTGGGTGTTGGAAGACACTGGAGAGTTTCTGAACCAAACACATGGATGTGTGGCTTTAGGTATCTTGTTGTAGGAAAAAATATAACTTAGTCTTGGAAATCCTCTACTTGAGTATTTTTTAGTTGGCAATAACACAAGGTCACACTGGAAGAGGGTTTCCAATGAAACTGATTTTCTAAAGCTGAAGTTCCAGAACCTGAAATACATAGACAGAATATATTCTGGGTTCCCATGTAGGATTCCCAGAGGCCCTACAAGTTTTTAAAAAAATTAATAAAATATAGAATATTTCTTATTGTTTTGGCATGAAATTGACCTTAGCATAACTACTAGTTCTTTGCCACTGCAAATATTGACGCTTTTCCATGCATGTGTGAGTATAGATTTCTTCCATGGCACAAACTCAGCAAAGTGCACAGACCTCTCCCTTCCTTCTATTCAGCATTTTGAGCTCTGGGCTAGACATGTGAGACAGAGAGTTTCAATAAAGAAAGACTGATAAATGCAGTCAAAACCATTGGGATCTGGAATTGATTTATGGAGGTGGGGAAATCTGGCTTATTTCTTTCTGTTTCCAGTGAAAATCACAACTTTCTAATGCCACAGTATTTTGGAATATCTCATAAGAAAAACATAAAATTACCTTTTTTTTGGTAAGTGGCCTTAAAAAAATCTCCAAACTATATTAGCAAACTGAGCATATGAAAATTATTTTCCAGTTCAGATATATCAATTCTTCCCCCTAAAAGAAAAACAAAAACCAAATCAAGCTGAAACTGAGCTTCCTCCGTATTTTCCATGATTTTATTGGGCTTGTAAAAAGTAGAGGTTTTATTAAACTGTAAGACCATGGCAGATGGAGAAAGTATAATTTAGGGAGAGTAAATGAGCTGGGTTTTATATGCCTCCAGTATTTAAGGCATTGAAAAATATCTAAATAATTGGAAAATGATGCATTGTAGACACCAGGCTATTTCTCAGCTGAACGGCTAATAATCACTCCTTCCAGACTTCGAGATGTGTGTGTTTCCTCTAATGATGAGGAGTTAAAAATAACACTCCTGATTCTTCCTCCTGATGGGCAGGTCCCTTGCCACCAGGCATTCCACAAGAGGGAGGGTTGCAGGGATCTCCAAAAGAGCCCCACAATAAAACAAATGTGCATGTTCATCACATTATTCAAATGAAACATTAATTATTTCAGAACTTGCTCCAAATGTTCCCAAGCCTGGCTCATGATAATGAGCTCCTGGGCTTTTGTCTTACAGCTCACTGTTAATGTCATGCTAAATGGACTGCAACTGGACATGCTGCTTGGATGAATATTTATGTGCTGGAATGTTGTTTGATCTGGGGTTTCAGGGCCTGATGACATAGCTCATTTCCCTTCTCCCCTCCCCAGCTCGGCAGCTCCTTTCTCATCCATTTTTGTGGGGTAAAATACATGGTGCTGGCATAAGCTTCTGGTGCTACAACGAACACCAAGGGGTTTCTTAGCTCAAGGGGCTGATGTTAGGGTTTCCTCTACTTTACACATATGGAACGACTCTAATACTTAAGCCAGCCACTGCACTTTGTGGATGACACAAGAAAAGGGACTGAATGGTCTCTGGCACTACATTTTGTAGCTGTAGCAGCAGCCTCATTCTCATGACCCAAGGGCAGTGGTGGACTTCCATGTGGGATTATTGGAATGAACCATGGAATAGGAGGAAGGCTTGGATCCTAATCATAGCTCTTCCCTCAATTCACTGAGGGTTTATGGGCCAGTTCTAATGGCCAGGGTTCTTATCTGCAAAATGAAACACTAATATTCTGACCTAGCTGCCTCCAAGTTTCTTGAAAGGGTAAAATAATAGGACTGTGGGAAGTTATTTCCCAAGATAAGTAGCACCTGCAACTTTAAGTCAACATCTACCCCCAATCAATTGTGAGGTCAGACCAGGAAGACAGAGGCCAAACCCAGCATCACACTTTGACCTGCCCGGGAACACAGTGGGTAAGAGAAGAAAACATGGAGAATTATTTTACAGCTGTGATGTTGTCAATTGTACAATATCTACTCCAATTTCCTCCCATCTTTGAGATGACTGATAAGAATGCCTTATGTGTCACACAGGATCATAACACAAACTTTCTTCTCTTTCCTGATGCCCCTCTCAAATTTACTCAGTAGGGGGAACTTCACCTTCTCCTATGTAAATGGGCTTTTCTGCTTATGTTTAAATAATAGGCCATTGTGTGGCAAACAACTCTATCAAAAGTTGTGTCTTTTACCCTAGCTCCTGGGAAATAACCACTAAAGTCTTGAAATGTCTTGAGTGATTGGAGGACCTTTATTTTTCACGCCTGATGCCTTATGCTGATGAGATGACTCAGCAGGGGATGGCCAGGCCAGAAAGACCAAAACTGTATCCTGAGGTTTGAGTTTCTGAGCCAGGTGATGTCATCCTCCAGGTAAGGAAGGGGGACCGAAAACTGAGTTTAACCATGCGATCCATGGTTCAATAAATCATATCCACGCAGTTCAGCCCCAATACAAACTCTGCACATTGCAGCTCAGGCGAGCTTCCTGGTGGGCACCACTCTGTGTGTACTGTCATACATCATAGCCTGAAGAAGGCAACACTGTCAAGGCCTTCATGAGGAAAGGACTCTGGAGCTTCGCCTTGGACCCCTCCTTATGGGTCTCATCCTTTGCTTGGTTCTAAATTTGAATCATTTCACTAAACAAAACTGTACTCATAAGGATAGCACTTTTCTGGGATCTGAGCATCATCCCAGTAAAGTGTTAAAACACAAGGTAGTTTACAGAAACCTCTATGCTGGGAGTTGGTGTCAGAAGTGTCTTGTGGGATCAGTCCCTCAACCTGTGCAGCTTGCCTACCTCTTCACATCCACCCATGGCCAGCTTGGTTAATGAACACAGTCTCACTGTCCCAGATACAGATCCAAACTATGTCCTTGATTTAACTGCAGACTTTCTCTCCTTCTCTAGCTTGGCCGGCCTCTTTCTGGGAGCCTCTGGTGTGAAAGAGAGCAGGTAAGGGATTAGGGAAGGTTGTACTTGAGCTGTTAATTTAGTAAAAGAACATATGCTCTCCAATCCAGCACATGTTCACGCTGCTTCTTTGGTCTTGTCAGAAGATCCCTGTTGGGTTAAGCTCATCTCTTGCTGTTTCCATGACCTACGTGAACACATCACTGGTCCAGCAGGTCACTAGCTCCTCATTTGCTAACCCATAGAAATCTCTACCTCATTCTCCTTCCATGCATTGCTGCGTTCATGCAGACGCCTTATCAGTCTCCTGGGAACTTCACTCCAATTCTCTCTCAAACCTATTCTAGAAGCCCAGAACTAATTCATTGCTCTGAGACAATAGACTGTAGCTGAGGACTAATGACTGGTGTGCAAACTAATTTGTGAGAGGACGGCCTGATATTTAGATACATATTATAGATAAGCAATGCTGTCAACATTAATTTCCCACTGATACAGCATAAAAGCCATTTCCCCCCAAGAGCCCAGGTATAATTAGGGAAAGTGAAAGTGTGTATCTTTCATAGGGTTTTATAACCATTTCTTTGTTCCTGGTTTTGATCATTTTTGTTATTTAATTTTTCACTTCCAGTGCTTGCCTTTCCCATGTCTAGGAGTTTGCCTAAATCTTCAAAGATATGTGAGGCTTGCCTAGAACATCATCATCAGGAATGCTGGTCCTTCAATTTGTTTTTTGAATTGAAGTGTAGTTTACAGTGATCAAGTTGAAAATAAGGCTCTGCATGAAAGCTAACTATTAAAAGGGTGTGGGCACAGGAGCAACCAACACAGACCCCACAGAATCCCAAACCTATGCTAAGAGGGAGCACTTCCATCCCTCCAAACCTGTGCTAAGAGGGACACCTCCATCCTTCTAAGCCTGTGCTAAGAGGGAACACCTCCATCCTTCCAAACCTGTGATAGGAGGGAGCATCTCCATCCTTCTGAACCTGTGCTAAGAGGAAACACCTCCATCCTTCCAAACCTGTGATAGGAGGGAGCACCTCCATCCTTCCGAACCTGTGCTAAGAGGGACACCTCCATCCTTCCAAGCCTGTGCTAAGAGGGAGCACCTCCATCCTTCCAAACCTGTGATAGGAGGGAGCACCTCCATCCTTCCAAGCCTGTGCTAAGAGGGAGCACCTCCATCCTTCCAAACCTGTGATAGGAGGGAGCACCTCCATCCTTCCGAACCTGTGCTAAGAGGGACACCTCCATCCTTCCAAGCCTGTGCTAAGAAGGAGCACCTCCATCCTTCCATCTGGCAACCCCACATCTTTCTGTGCAGCATTGGCTCATGGAGTTTTGCACAATCTGTTGCCTTAATGCAGCTGTGAGGTGGTAAACCCCATGCCATTGCACAGCTGTGCTGGTGGAGTCTTCAACAACAGAGGGATGAAACGAGAGTGCTGAGTGATGGGTGGAGTGTGCTCACAGAAGCCAGCTGTGCTTGCCCCACTCCCACCCAAAATGTTTACCCACGTGGGAAATGCCTGCCCTGCATAGGAGTACCCAAGGAACCCAGGATATAAAGAAACTTCTAAAATGGATCTGAAAGGGGGAAGAGCCCTCCCCTGTAAGGAAGCGAGAGAGGTAGGAATTAAGTGCCTTATACAGGCAGTGTCTACACTTGCACATTTTTGCTATTTAATTTGTTGGGTCAGATTTCATCATAAAAGTAAGGAGGTATTTAATTCTCAATTTGCAATAAAATATAAAAGTTAAGAGTGCCTGTTTTTTTACATGACTTTAGGTCTAAGAAATAGAGGGAACAGTGTCAGGTCAATGGTGATTTAAGCCATCCTAAAACAAAGTAAAATACTCTTAAATGAGGAGAGGAGGCAGTCTCTCACAGACCCTACATTTCAAATTGTTCATCTCATCATATAGCCCTTTAATCCCAGTGACTAAAAGGGCTGCCCCTACTCTTAGCCTCTGCAGTGTCTAAAGAGATGATCCTGAACCTAAAATAAAATTAAAATATTTCATCTAAATAAATAACCCAAAGCAACAGTTAAAGCCAGAGATATTTTCAAGCTCTCCTAAAACACGAAGATTGGCTTGTTTTTTCTATGGATAACATCCCAGCCTTCTTAGGGTGAGAGGAATATGTCCCTGATGGGTTTGAAAACCTCCTGGGTTGTTAATTCCCGTCAAGAAAGTATTAGTGTCCCGCTGGTTTCCAGCAAGGGGAGGGGTTTACATTAATCTATTTTCTACACTTTTCTATATATTTTATTTTTTCTAAAAAACAAACATCTCCCACCGTAACCCATATAAATTATCTAAATACATAAAGAAATTTTCAGTAACTGTTAAGAACTTCAATATCAAAATATTTTCAATGCAGTGTTTGCATTTTGCAAATAAACTCCCAAACACAAAGTGTTTTTCTTTTCTGAATCTTATTTCAAAATGTCTCTGTTCCTTCTTTCTTTGAATCCAATTATACTAAAAGCTATACATACATGCTGAGATCTGGGAAAAACTCTCGGTGGCCAGCAGCTTGGCTCTCCTGTTTTCCCGTAGAAAAAGAACAGGATGAAGCTATTAGTGAAAACGGTGTTTTTTTCTAGTTGTAGGAAGTAATGTCGATAGGGAAGAAAGGGCTCGTAAGTATGGGAGAGCATTTTGCCTCCTATTCTATCGACTCTTTGAAGCATGCAAGCACGCTGCTCCACAGGCTTAGCTGCACAGAGACGCACTACTCCATTTACTCATGGGCTGCCCGTGGGGCTTGGCGAAAGAGCAGGCTTGGCTTAGGGGAACTACTGAGACACATCCAGGTATTCAAACCGTGGGTTGCCAAGACTTCTCTTTTCATCCTGAGAGTATGGAATAACATTTGCTAAAATGTCAAAGGTGATGCTGGCAGTTTTGGGAGACGCAGAGATGGCTGAGAGTCTGCGGGGGCTTGGCAAGTGCACGCACCAGTCTCCCAGCTGACACATCTACAGAAACCTTCAGGGAGCAAAACAGAATCCAGGGTCATTTTGCACTTTTCTTATGTCTGAGTAGGTCTTCCTGTTCCACAGCATCAGCATCCCAGGGAACTTGGACCCATATAAATCCCTCCCCTCGATATGCACACATGCAACACTTAAACACACAAACATATATGCACATACAAACATACAAATGCATGTGCATACACACATAAATATATAATACACATCAGACACTCATCCAAGCACACAAGCACATGCCATACATAATACATAAATGCACATACAACCACACACACACACAGTACACATACAGTTACCATATGCAAACATCCAAGACATACACACATACACACCATATATACACACATACATAGACACCCACATAAATACACACACACACACACACACACACACACACACACATACACGCATACACACATCTAAGCCATGAACAAATACAGCCCAATAGTGGAACAGGGATAACCATCAAGTAGACATGGAATATTAACTTTGGCTCTGAGTTTCAGTCTGGTTTGGCCCCTGAGCTGGGGTATAAGAAATACTCTACCTCTTCCTTTCTTTAACACTATGGGATATGCATCTGCAAATACCATTTGGCTGGCTACTATGAGAATAAATAAAATGCCTCTTGAAGGTAAAATTTCTACATGCTTTTAACACTTTTAAGTTCATATTTATCTTTTCAGATTTATTAAAAATCATCAACTTCAAATTATTTGGATGGAAACATTGCCAAATCATAGAGATGTTTGCTACCACCCGCACACCAAGCAGCTGGGTAACTAGAAGTGCAGGATCAGCTTATTCACCTCCGAAAGCCTGCATGCAACCACTGAGGCCGCCTCTATTTTTTACATAGTTCTACTTGGTGTATGTAACCCCACAGAGAAACCTGGAAGAATGCATGAAACCTAGTAAGGCAACCAGCACATGCAACAGAATGAACCGTTTCTTTCCATCTGAATGCCTAAATGTGGACTCTGATCCTTTCTACCAAGTCCTAAGTTTGGGAAAAGAGGACAAGGACAGGGGCTCTGTCCCATATCATAATGTGCTTGTGAATGGCTAAAATTACAATGCTGAGATAAGTGTGTGTAATAAAATAATTGCACCCCGAATTGAAGAATGTTTCACTGTTTATTTTCATGTTTCAATATATGACACCCTGTGGTGGAAAGATGTCTTTATGCTGGAATATGAACTCTTTTCACTGCTGAAGTAAGTCCAGGAAAAATAAAATCACAAGGAAAACAGAGAGACTAGAACATGCCAATGATACCAGCAACCATCCCAAACGTGGGCCAGATATTTAAATGCAGTGCATTTTACCTTGTCCTCTCGAAATGCCTCCTCCCCTTTCATTTAAATATTTCAGAGTTCGATGGCCGTGCGTTTAAAATCTACACCTTTGCATGCTTTTACTTGAAAGCATCCTTGTTCCAATATACATTTTAGTGTTTCAGTATGCTGTATCCATTACATAAATGGAACTCTATAGTCAATATTTTAGCATAATGTTCCACTATCCTTTTAAATTAGTACTCTTTGTAAAGTAGAGAATATGTGTTATATTAGTCAAGTGTGGTTTTAACTGGGGAAATGGCTGTTTAGATGGGAAGGCACATATGCTATGCTTACACAGACAGAGAAGGGGAGGACTGAGGCTATTAAATGAAGAGAAAAGGATAGTTTGAATGCGTGTCGAGATGGGATGCAATTATTCTCCCTACTGCTAATGGACTTGGTTAACCCTGATGGGTCCAGCCTGCATTTTTTATTTGTTTCTTCTTCTTCTTAGTTTATTTTATTTATTGTATTGTGTTTTATTTTATTCCCATCTTTATTGAAGTATAGTCAACAAAGTTCTTTACATGGGCCTGGGCAATGATTTTTTGAATAGGACTCTAAAAGTACAGACAACAGAAGCAAAACACATAGATGGGAATGCATCGAATCCAGAATCCCCCAAGTCCATGGAAAAGTTGTCTGGTTCCCAAAAGATTAGGGACCACTGATCTAGAGCACAGGAACTGACATCTCACATACTCAAATCTTTTAAGCTGCATGGTCTTATTGAAGCATTTGGACTTCTGCACCCAAAGCATTTTGTAAATGCTTCAATAAGCATTTGGACTTCTGTACCTGAAGCATTTGCAAATGAAAGAATTCTGAGATGATGTCAGGAGTTCTAGTATCTGCCTCAAGATCTGAACCACTGCATCCTGGAGAAAAGGAAGGGACTTTATGCCAGATTTTGGATGAAATTGTTTTTCCAGATCAAAAGTTTGGATACCTCATCCACTAAGATCCTACTTGATTCAGGCAAATATCTTAGGACCCACCAAAAAGCTGCATCTCAGAATCTAATAATTCATGTTCATTTTTCCATATTGGTTTATGTTCTTCGGAGTGCAATACATATTCTGTTTGAGGAAAACAAGGGTAAATATAACCCATGGTTTCTAATTGGCAAGAAACATTTAGAGAAGAAAAGACATTAATAAAATTATATTAACCTGATGAAAGTCAATGGCAAACCTGAGAAAAAATGAAGAATCACAATCCAATGAACTGCAGCCTTTTGTTGAGTTTTTGACGAGGAGCTGAAAAAGTTCTGGCACAAGGAAAATCGGTGACTGCACGGGAGAGACTCTCAGTGAGCACTTCTGTCATCTCTAGATGTTCTCTTGACAGAGCTCTCTTTGAAAAAGTGGTGCAGTTTCCAGCTTGGATGAGAACTTCTGCCACATCATCGTACTGAGTTTGCTTCCTGTACCACACTGAGCCCTCTCGCCATGGGAACTGTTATACTTCAGGCTGCCTTAATTGGGTTTTTCATCACTAAGGTGATATCCATTTTCTCTCCCACCCACCAGGCAAGCTCTCCCCATCCAACCCCCAAATTCTACAAAGTCCCCGTTTCCAGAGGGATCTGTCCTGGCTGACGGTGTATGACTCATCCTGTAATGGGGTTTTGAGGATCTGGTTTCAGAAATGAATTCTCATTATGCCTGGGCCAAATGTCAAGCATTAAAAAGGAGAGACCATGGAAAGTAACTTTGAGAGGCAGCAGGTTTCATTTGAATAATTATATCTCAATTAGCATGTACTTCTCTCTGCCACGTGGGGCTGTCTCCCCAGGGAACACTGCAGAAACCGTGGAGCTGTACCCTGGCTAGCAGAGGAGCTCTGACTACAAGCGCTAGTCATCTTTTTAAATAATCTGTTTACAGCAAATGTCTTGGGTCTCCTGGCTTCACTGGAATTGAAAAAGAAAATCAAGTGTTACCAACTTCACCTTCCAACTACAATTTGAACATCTACAGGACTCACTGAACACCCGCTCATGGTGACAGACACACATCACTCATGATTTGCACACAGACCCTAGACTCACCATGGACCCATGGACTAGAGATACAGGAAGAACTTCTTGTCTACTAATGTGATGAGATCATCAGGGAAGAGAGCCTGGGATGCTTCCATCCATGGACATCTATAATTGGAGGATGGCTGCACTCTATTTTGAATAACTGAGTCATCAGCCTCTTGAAGTCATGGAGCTACCTCAGATGACTCCTGCGAGTCTTTCCAATGCCTGCTCCTTAAAACTCTATTGCTTAGAGAAGAAATGGTTTAACGGAGACTCTCATAAGCCAGTCTAGATCAATATCTGTCTCAGCAGCCGATCCATCTTTACAGATACATTTTTTATTAAATCTTCCTGCTCTTGCATTCTTGCTCTGTGTAGGATCATTTCTGTGGTTAATTCAGAAACATTTTCTATTTTAAAAGTAATGCAGAAACTATGCAATTTTTTTCTTTGTCACTTTGATTTACAGTACCTGTGTTTTTCCTGAAAATTGCTTCTCAATTTTTAGAATGTCTATTCACTTCTATGATTTTTTTTTTTTTGCACTACCTGCCAGTTTCTCCCTCAGTGAGCATACTATGAATGTTTTCCCTCTACCGGAAAGACAATTGTGAATATTTTCTGGTCACCCTACAGGTGGATATCTACATACTGGTAAATAGAAACATTCTTCTATATATTTATTTTTATTGTTGTTCAAGCAAATGGAAAGTCTCAGCTGCAGATGTTTCCCAGGCAGTTTCATGTTTGTGCATATCAATACTATTTTTAGATTTCATGTTGGATACCGAGATATGATGCCTACAAAATGTTTGCATATGTAGAGCTAATAGTATTTTAATTGGGAGATTTTAACCCCCCAAAATATTAGCTCTCCATGAAGTTACAACTACCAGAGAGGAAAAATATATATATATGTATATGGTTCTCAGTGTTTCCCCAAACTCTACAAGGTTTATCTAAAAATCATTTATAAACTAGTACTTTTTTATTGTACACTCACATGTTAAATAAAACTTCTTGTCCAATTCATATACAAAAGATTTCTGGAGGTTATCATCCTTAGCAAACTAATGCAGGAACAGACAACCAAATACTGCATGCTCTCACTTAGAAGTGGGAGCTAAATGATAAGAACTTATGAATGCAAAGAAGGAAACAACAGACACTGAAGTGTACCTGAGGAGGAGGGGAGGAGGAGAGAGAGGAGCAGAAAAAATAAGTACTGGGTACTGAACTTAATATCTTGGTGATGTAACAATATGTACAACAACCCCCAACAACACGTGCTCATCTATGTAACAAACTTTCACATGTATCCCCAAGTCTAAAATAACAATTAAAACAGACAAAAACAAAAACAAAAAAAAACCCTCAGGATTTCAAAAAGGGAAACAGGAAAAGATAAAGTCGGGATAAGAATTTAGGTACTGCCCCTGAACACTTATGTGAGGAAAAGTGGAAAAAAACTGACAGCCAGCATGGATACCCAGTAAATGACATGAAAAATCCCAGGAAATAAAACATATATGCCAATCAAACAGATTCTTGAAATAAACATTGATTTAGTGTTTCCTATTCCTATTTCCAGAAAAATTACACAGGCCAAAGAAATTAGCTGCTAATGCATACACAGGGAGGGTATAGGAAGAGATGGATGAGGTACACTCAGAGTCATGTAGTACACCCTGCAGTACCCCGCAGCACCCTCCAGCACCCTGCAGCACCCTCCAGCACCCTTCAGCAGCACCCTGCTGTGCACTCCAGCACCCTCTAGCACTTTCCAGCAGCCTCCAGCACCCTCCAGCACCCTCTGCCACCCTGAAGCAACCTCCAGCATCCTGCAGTACACTGCAGCACCCTCCACTACCCTCTGGCAGCCACTCCTTAGTCCCAGCCTTTTGCCCAAGTACTCAAAACAAGAGCAGTGCTCATTCCAAATAAGGGTGGTAACATTCCATTATCTTTTATATGCACCTACTCTCAGGCCAAGGACAAGCGGTGGCCACTATGCTTCGCAAGAGATTAAGAATAGAAAAATCAATACCCAAATCCTTTCTAATTCCAAGTGGCTGTTTACCCGCAGATGACTAGTAACATCAAAAGTCTTAGATTTATTGTATAGCACTGGTTCCAGGAAGTATGTGAAAATGTTGTCCTATGATGTTTCCAGCATCTCCTTGTCATTGTCTGGGGCACACCCTCACTTAAAAGCCATCTTCTTCAAACCTCTGTTACCTGCCTAGAAAGGGATCCTACAAGACTTCCACAAATTAGGCTTTGCTAAATCATCCTCTATTGACGATAAAACTCACCACTTCACTATTTAAGAAACCAAAAGATATGCAGATGAATACAAACATAAGAAAGAAGTTTACATCTGGTCTTGCAGTTTTCCCATATTAAATAGTCCCTTGGCATCCACGGGACATTGGTTTCAGGAACCCCGTGGATACCAAAATCCAAGGATGTTCAAGTCCCTCATATAAAATGGTGCAATATTTGCAGATAACCTCTGTACATCTTCCGCTATACTTTAAATCACCTTCCCCTATACTTTAAATCATCTGCAGATAACCTATGCACATCTTCCCCTATATTTTAAATCATCTTTACATACTTATTCTATGTAAATATTGTTTATGCTGCATTATTTTAAATTTTCATTGTTTTTATTGTTGTATTGTTACTTTTCATTGTTTTTGGGGGGACTATTTTTCAATTTGAGATTCCTTGAATCCACAAATTTGGAACCGCAAATGCAGAGGGCCAACTGCAGTCTCCAAAGTCCTGGGATTTCCCCAGCTGCATACCTTGGCAGACCCACTTGATGATATCATCACTGTCAAACAGGACAGAGTTGTATATGGCCCACTGTCCCCTCAGAGGATGCTGGTGTAGGAAGTAAACTTGACTCTTTTCTTCATCGCGAACCTGAAAAGCTCACTAATCATCATTTCTAATTTAAACAAGGGCACCTGTCCTTCACCTTCTGCAAACACTACCAACCATTTGGACTCAAGGTTTGCCTGGACAGACACCACCATTTCATCCAATGATAAGACAGCAACTGAAAAATCCTCAGGTTAATAAATCTCTAAAGAGATCACGGGACAAAATCAACTGAGCAAACCATCACTGAACAACATCCAAGGACTATTGCTTCCTAAAGAAAGTGAAACCAACGCAGGTTCTTTCAAATTTGTGAACATGTGCACAAATGTGGTCTCCTATAAAATACGTTTTCTGCATAACAAGGAAAATAAGCTTCTGTGTTTCAGAATCCAGAACAGTGGCTGTCATATATTCAACTGACATCAATAATAGTTTCTAGCTCCAGTGGTGCAAGGAAAAAAGATATACTTTAATGAATTCAGTCATGTGTATATTAACTGATTGAATGTCATATAACAGAATGTGACTTTGACGTTTCCAAAAGAGTTTGAAAGATCACATGACACATTTGAATCAATTTCAGGTGCAACTAATCAGGCTCAAGACAAGATCCTGTCAAGCATTTTTATTAGGAAGCCATGCTAAAAGTATCTGAGGAAAGATGCATTATGGGAGATTGGCATGCTTGAAGACACAGTGAACTTGGGATAATTGAAACAGATTGGCTTCAAGTTCAAAGATGGGTCTGTGGTTTAAGAGTTGTTAATAATTAATATAAACCAACAGGAATTGGTGCCTTTTAGCCTGTAAACCAAAAATAAAATTTGAAGGCCTCCCACTCATCGCTCCAGCATCTAAATGAACTTCCTCCTCGCCAGAGTACTGTAAAATTTAATCTGAAAAACTGGTTCAGGCCATGACGGGAAGTGGGGATCCAACACGCCTCATTATGCCCCTCCAGCATTAACATCGACACAAATCTTAAATTTGATAAGAAACATTTGCAATTTATTCTCTCTAAAGCCTGCAACCTGGAGGCTTCATCTGCATGATAAAACCTAGATCTCCACAACTCCTTATCCTAACCCAGACATTCCTTTCTATTGATAATAACTCAACAACTCTTTCAACTAATTGCCAATCAGAATATATATAAATCTACCTATCAACTGGAAGCTCCCCCTACCTTCCAGTTGTCCTGCCCTTCCAGATGGAACCAATGTAAATCTTACATGTACTGAGGGATGTCTCGCATCTTCCTAAAATGCATAAAAACGAGCTGTACCCCAACTACCTTGGGCACATGTTGTCAAGACCTCCTGAGGCTGTGTCACAGGTTCGTCCTTAACCTTGGCTAAATGAACTTCCTAAATCGACTGAGACCTGTCTCAGATATTTGGGATTTGCAAGCTCTATTTGTTTAAATTGCTGAAATAGAATTTCAGGAATCAAATATAATTTGTTCTAGAAAAGTGAAAACACGTGATCCTTTGGTCATGGTCTAGCAGCAGGCTGTGCCTGGCACAGATAAGCCCAGGGGAAAGCAAATGGCGTATAGGGATGTGGTGGGTGGAAAAGCACATAAGAGAAAATGTGTCTAAGCCACTGAATACTTTTCTCAGAGACAGGGTAGCCTGGATAAGAAGCAAGAAGCTTCAAGAATCCCCAGTCCTAGGCGTGAGGGCTGTCCTGCTCTCCTTCGCAGGATGTGCTAACTGAGAGAGAAGTCATCTCCACTGACCAGGGACGCAGGGCCCCTGGAATGCTCACCTGCTGTGGGGACAGAAGAACATCCAGGGCAGCGGCTGTGGAGACGATGGCCCTTTTGTCTGCTCGGTGTGGCTGCAGGGAGAGAGACATGCCAGCTACGAGCTGCACTCCCAGCTCCACGATGGCGACTCGGTCATCCAGGACAATCACCGTCTTCTCAGCCAGGATGGAGTCAGACAACGGCGAGAGGACCTGAAAAGTCAGCGAGGAGACTCATGCATCTCTGCTCCTCATGAGTACCACGAATCCCTTAACTGGGGCTCCCAACAAAGTGCTCTCCCAGCCCTCAGCTCAATGCATGCACCTGTGGGAATCGGTTAGGAAAGTGTTATGCTGTTGTTCAATCACACTTAACACTTGCAGGAGTTTTATAAAGATCATCTTGGTCTATTTACTTTCCTCTGATTTATGCCATGATATCAGCAGTGTATTATTCATGAGTTTTCCGGGAAAGGGGTGGACAATTCCCAGAACTGAAGGTTCCTCCCCTTTTTAGACCATATAGGGGAACTTCCTGATGTTGCCATGGCATTTGTAAACTGTCATGGTGCTGGTGGGAGTGTCTTTTAGCATGCTAGTGTATTATAATTAGCCTATAATGAGCAGTGAGGACAAACAGAGGTCACATCATTGCCATCTTGGTTTTGGTGGGATTTGGCTGGCTTCTTTAATGCAAACTGTTTTATCAGCAAGGTCTTTATGACATGTACCTTGTGCCAACCTCCTATCTCATCCTGTGACTTAGAATGCCTCACCTCCTAGGAATGCAGCCCAGCCAGTCTCAGCCTCATTTTACCCAGCTCCTGTTCAAGATGGAGTCGCTCTGGTTCAAATGCCTGTGACACATCCACCTATTCACTCACCAATCTGTCTATTCGCCAGGTTACTAGGGTGCTGTTTACCGGGCGCTAGAACTGCTCAAAACTCAGAAGGCAAAGATATTGTCTCTTCCCTTCACCCTGCCTTCTCCAAAGCAGAAACCACAAGCCCCTGACAGGCTGTTATAAGATGAAGAGTCTACGTCAGTGGTTCCTCAACTGTGCTGCAGATTAGAATCACCTGGGAGACCTTCTAAATCGCCCAATGACCAGGTTCAGGTCCTAGCAATTAAGCCAGAATGTCAGAGGGTGGGAGCCAGGAATAGGCATGTTTTAAGAGCTCTTGGTAATTCCACTGTGCAGAAACAGCTTGGGAAACACTGGTTTGAGCTACAGATTGAAACAAACCTAGTTCATTTTGTAACCGAGAACCCCTAATTTACTAGGAGATAGTTGTTTTATTATTTTATCTTCTTTTCTCCTCCTTCCCTTTTCCCAGTTTCCTACTTATCCCTTTAGAAATACAAATATAATCTTTTACCTCCCCCTCATCAGACAATTCCTACAAGCCAAGTTCATCTAACTATGTGCTGTCAAAGAGATCTTTCCTCGTGTATTCACTGACCTCTCCTCACTAGAAATCCTGTAAAAAGACAACAACTTCAGAAAAAAATTGAGGAAAAGTGGCATATGTTAGCTTCCGTTTCTAGTTTAAGAATCAAGGCCAAAGACAGAGCAATGGACAGAGAGACATCACAGCAGGATATAGGACAAGTTCCTGAAGGCCCAGGAGCCCATCATTGCAGCCACTTTTCCTGGAATAGCATGCTCCTGACAGGCAGAGCAGAGCAGGTTTAGAAGAGGTGCTAGCAAGCTAAGGTACACAGACCAGCTCCTGGCTCCCATCAGTTTTTACAAATAAAGTTTTATTAGAAAACATTCACATCCATTTCTTTACACGTTGGCTGCTTCTATGCTACAATAGCAGAGGTGATAGTTGTGAGAGAGACCATCTGGTCAGTAATACTCTAAAATTACTTTCTGGCCCTCCACTAAAAAATTATGCCAAGCGTAAGCATTGATACCAAACTGCTTAAGCCCCAATCTCTTAAAACTCATGGCATAAACTTTGTGTGCCTTGAATTCTTTCTCTAGAGCATGGGATTATTACAGAATTCACCTTGTAGTGACAGAGGCAGGAGGCAGAGAAATCCTAGGCCGACAGGGATGGGTTCCTGGTGAAACCCCATCTTCAAGCCAAAGACAGTTTAAAGCCTGAAGGTCAAGCTACAAGTCAAATCCACAGACTGGATTGAGAACCCGTCTTCCTGTTTGGTGTGCTTTCCTTGGATGGATCCCCACCCTTCACCTATTTCACATATATCTACACTAACTGCCTTTACACTCTGTCCACCTCTGACTGGTGGCTTTAACCTTTTTTGCATACTCGCAAACCAGTTAGCACACACTCCCCTATCCCGTGCCTATAAAAGCCCCAGACTCAGACACACTGAGAGAGATGAACTGACTTCAGGAGAGATGACCCAACCTTCCTGTTCCCTCTCTGCTGAGAGCTGTTTCATTACTCAAGAAAATTCTCCACCTTTACTACCCTTCAATTGTCAGCATGACTTCATTCTTCTTGGATGCTGGACAAGAGCTTGGGACTCAGTGAACGTGGGTACCCAGAAAGGCTGTAACACTGGCCCTTTGCCCTCACCAGTGGAGGGCAGCTGCCCCATGCAACAGAAGCAGCCATGGGGGGAGGTAGCCGGCCCTGGAGCCACACCAGTCCCAGAGCCACGGGTCAGAGCAGGGCAAGAGGCTGGCTGAGGGGCTAACACACCACCATTTGTCGAGCTGCAGGAAGGCGGTGGAACTAAAAGTGCTCATTAGCACACTGTAACACCCCCTCTGGGGCTTCCGGGTCATGAGCACCCCTGCCTGGGCCCTGCCACCTTCCCCTGGGGGTGATATGCCCTGTCTGGCCACGGGCCTTACATGTAGTTTGCTCCTGTGTCAGCACTCCGGACAGCCTGCCAGACCCTGCGCTCACTCCCTTGTGTGCTCCCTCCCACCAGGGGCTGAGCATGGCAGGCTGAGCAGATGGGGTGCCCCCTGCAACGAGTCCAGCAAAGGGGCCAAGAAAAATCCTGCATCAGTAGGACTGTTTTAAAAATTAATTGATTCTTGCAAAATGTTGTTTGGAGTAGTCTCTGGTATGTCATCAGCTCTTGGAAAAACATTAGCTACTATCATCAATTCCTATATACTCGATTTCTAACCATGGGCTATTCCCAATCACCTGCTGTCTCTCACAGAGCATCAGAATCACCCCCCGTGCTCAGTCCACTCACTAAGCAGGACTCTGTTCCAGTTCTTTCATAGCTTTTTAAGCCTAAGCAGCTGCCAAGCTGGGAGATGAGCAGAGTGGCCATTAGCAGCAAACTCTGTCTTCTCAAATAATACCATCCACTTAAGTGGCTGTTAGACTTTATAGGATATAAACATGTTCCTCTCTAATTCACTTTCTGTTTACACAACAGAATAAGCACTTTATCCCCTCATTTCAGCTTTTCTTCTCCCTGAAAAATCAGATATTCAGCCCCAGGCAGTTATCTGTTCTCTCATTAGCCCCCATGCTGAGAGATTCATTGTCTCAAAAATGCTTGATTTCATGAGCTGATCACTATTTCTAAAGTCAAAGTGAAACAACAACACAACAACAAAAATCACTTATTTATGATAGTGTTTAGAAAGCTTTTTTTCTTTTCTTCTTCATCTATCTCTTCCATGGCCCCAGGGTATTTATACCATGTCTCTCGTTATAGACTCTCTGCAATACCAGTTATGGATGTGCTATTATAAAAGGAAATTTTTGTTGCTGTAATTTGTTTTGTGGCAATGTTAGCAACCAAGAAGCTGCAAGCACACTGTTCTAATCTGGGCCACCTTGTTTCTTGATGGAGTGTTTGGACTAAGTAAACACATGAGAGCAGTTTCTAAAAGAAGCAGCCTAGAAAACAAGCCCTGAGCCCCACCGGCTTCCCACTCCTCATATTTCATCACCAGCCTCGCCTTGGGGGTAATGGCTCTAACATCCAGAATGCCAACTCTCCTGATTTGTCAACAGAAATCTAGCCTTTTAAGTGAAATCTTTAAAAATATATAAACAGCTGAATTTTCTTTTATAAAAATGTTTTTCAGGCCAAACTAAATACATATAAGGGTCAGCTTTGGCCAAAGGACCAATATATTTAGGAATTTGGGTTTAAAATATCAGGCTCTGCCTGTGAGCTTTGGACCCGCCAACCACAGGGCATTTATCCAAACTGGATGGGTCACAGCTTTCTCCTCCGGAAATGTGCCTATTACACTTGCCTCCAATCTACCCGATATTGTCACAGGGAAGAAGGAGACATTGCTTGCTAATCCAGTGGCAAGGAGGCAAATGAGCTTACTTCCCAAGCCTCTTCCCTGCCACAGTTTTGCAAATGCAAAAGAGGGTTGGGAGAGAGACAGTAGTCACCCGCCTTTCAGCCAGGGATTGAGGAAGGATTCACCAATTGACTATTAAATCATTGTTGATTATTTAAAAGGCAAAACAGCCAGGAGTGGTGGCTCACATCTCTAATCCCAGCACTTCGGGAGGCCGAGGCGGGCAGATCACCTGAGGCCAGGAGTTTGAGACCAGCCTGGCCAACATAATGAAACCCCGTCTCTACCAAAAATACAAAAAAAATTAGCCAGGTGCAGTGGCACACGCCTGTAATCCCAGCTACTTGGGAGGTTGAGGAATGAGAATCTTTTGAACCCAGGATGCGGAGGTTGCAGTGAGCCAAGATCACACCACTGCACTCCAGCCTGGGTAACAGAGCAAGGCTGTGTCTCAAAAAACAAAACAAAACAAAAAACCTGAAAATAGAAATCACTATCCATTGGCTTGAAATGGTTCCAAATTCCAACATCTTCATTCTTTGGGGCCATTTACATCTCTACAGAAATGTTTTCTCTGAGCTTATGATGCTAAAGATTGACAAAATACACCTCCCCTATCACCATCCTGCCCAGTTAAAAAATTCCTGCTGGGCTGGTCCTAAGGTAGCGAGTTATCTCAATCGACTGTTCACAGTCAGTTACAGATCAACCTCCTTGTTCTACTCTTTCCCTTCTTCCACTACTCCACTTGACTAGTCTAAAAATAAATAAATAAACATAAATTGTTGCTGGAGGAGCAAATTAAGAAAAAAATACTAAAAATGCTTGAAATATATCTTTGGAACTTATTTGCATTCCTCCCTTATTCCTCTGTCTTGACTTCTTCCTCTTTTCCTCAGTCCTCATCTCTTCCTGCCCCATGTGACAACCCAGATTCTGGCCTTCACCAGTTTTTACAAGTAAAGTTTTATTAGAACACATACATAACCCATTCTTTTTTCTTAACTTTTAAGTTCAGGGTTACATGTGCCACTTTGTTACATAGGTATACATGTGTCATAGGGGTTTGTTATACAGATTATTTTATCACCCAGGTACTAAGCTTACTACCCATTAGTTATTTTTCCTGATCCTCTCCCCACTCCCACCCTCCACCCTCCAATAGGCCCAAGTGTGTGCTGTTCCCCTCTATGTATCCATGTGTTCTCATCATTTAGCTCCTGCTTATAAGTGAAAACATGCAATATTTGGTTTTCTGTTCTTGTGTTTGTTTGCTAAGGATAAGGACCTCCAGTTCCATCCATGTTCCTGCACAGGATATGATCTCATTGTTTTTCATGGCTGCATAGTATGCCATAGTGTATATGTACCACATCGTCTTTATCCAATCTATCATTGATGGGCATTTAAGTTGACAGCTATTCTTTTATACATTGGCTATGGCTGCTTTTATGTTACAACAGCAGAGGCACTAGTTGTGACACAGACTATTTGAACACTAATATTCCAAAATATTTACCATCTGGCTCTCTATCAAAAAATTATGCCAAGCATAAGCTTTGACACAAAACCACTTGGGCCCAAATCTCTTACTGCTCATGAACTAAACTCTTGGTGCCTTGAATTCTTTATCTAGAGAGTGGGATTATAACAGAATTCATCTTACAGGATTGTGCTAAGAATTAAGTTATTTGACTCCTGCAAAACGGGGCCTATATGCCTCTGCTATTCTGGGTTCTATGCTCTCTTGCTCTTCTGTTGAAAATGTATGTGTTCACCGGGCATAGCGGCTCACGCCTGTAATCCCAGCACTTTGGGAGGCAGAGGCAGGCAGATCATGAGGTCAGGAGATCAAGACAATCCTGGCTAACACAGTGAAACCCCACCTCTACTGAAAATACAAAAAATTAACCAGGCATGGTGGTGTGTCCCAAGTTGGTTGCTTCCAGTGAATGAAGAATGAAGCCGCAGACCTTTGCAGTGAGTGTTACAGCTCTTAAAGGTGGCACGGGCCCAAAGAGTGAGCAGTAGCAAGGTTTATTGTGAAGAGCGAAAGAACAAAGCTTCCACAGTGTGGAAGGGGATGCAAGCAGGTTGCCTCTGCTGGCTGGGGTAGCCAGCTTTTATTCCCTTATTTGTCCCCTCCTATGTTCTGTTTTTGTCCTGTCAGAGTGCCCTTTTTTCAATCCTCCCTGAGATTGGCTACTTTTGGGATCCTGATGTTTGGTGCATTTTACAGAGCGCTGATTGTGCATTTTTCAATTCTCTTGCTAGTTACAGAGCACTGATTGGTGCATTTTTACAGAGCACTGATTGGTGACTTTTACAATCTCCTTCTAAGACAGAAAAGATCTCCAAGCCCCCACTTGACCCAGGAAGTCCAGCTGGCTTCACCTCTCAATCCCCCCTCTAAACAGGACACCCCAACTGCTGTTGGGAATTGGGTGATGACTGCTCTAGCTACTTTCTGCTGGATAGGGATGAAGAAGGGGCCCTGCAGTTGTAGTGTCCTCCAGAGGGGAACTCTCTAGGCCAGTCAAAGGGCCAGTGGGTTGGTCCAGGGGTTCTTGGTAGAAGTTGTGAGTTGAGCTCATTTGGGGTTCCATTCGTAGGAACATCTGTAGCTTGATGGCCTTGATCCTGGAGGAAACAAATTTGACAAGGAGGTTAAAAATACAGGGCCCGAAGGTGAGTAATAGCAAGATGGCTGTCACAGGACCTAGAAAGGGGAGAAGCCATGTCACCCAACTCCAGAGGTTGGTATAAGAGTTTGAAAGGCATTGTCTGATTTCAGAAGACTTTTCCTATAAATGCTGGATGGTGTCTCCTGTTATCCCTGACTTGTTAGTGTAAAAACAACACTCTTCCCCTAAGAAGGTGCAGAGTCCTCCTTTCTTAGCAGTGAGGAGGTCTAGGCCTCGACGGTTTTGGAGAGTCACTGCTGCCAAAGAATCTATTTGGGATTGTAGAATAAGGATAGATTTTGTTGTTTCTTGCAAACTGTCTGAGAAGTCCTTTGAGAGTGTGTGGTAGTAAGATAATGAAGTAGATAAACTGGCTATTCTGGTTCCTGTAGCAGTGGCCATTCCTAACCCTGTAAGTAGGGGTATTAGTCGTATGGCCCTGTGCTGATGAACTTGAGCTTTGAGGGGGCACTGATAGGGTCTAATTTCCTGGGGCAATGTCAATGTTGGGACTTAGGAAGACTAAGGTGCAGGTGCCTGTCCAGTTGGTGGGGAGGCAGATATAGGTTTAAGTTTCACATAAGAATATACCTTGGCTGGGTAGACAGAACTGGTTGTTGTGTATGTTAAAAAAAAGTGTGTGAATTTGTTGTTTTCATTTTCCCATACTCCTAGAGTACTTGCCAAGGTAGCTGCGGTGAGCGGCTGGAAAGGGGTGTTAGGAGCAAACTGAGTGTCTCCCTGTGTTCTATTTTTCCCATTGGAGAAAATACCATTTTGTATTTGACATCCTTCGGGTAGGTTTTTAAGGTTTTGTTGGTATTTTGCCAAAGAAATGATATCTTTGACCAAGTTGGCCATTTCCTGATCAAGTAAGAAGTAATTTGTGAGAAAAAGTCGTCCATATAGCATTTCATATGGACTGAACCCCATTTTGTGAGGAGAATTTCAAATTCTCAGCAAGGCCATGGACAAGAGAGTAAGCCATGGGAGATGAGCTTCTTGTGTTAGTTTCCTTAAGTGCCTCTTGAGTATTTCATTTGCTTTCTTGACCTTCCCTGAGGATTGTGGCCTCCAGGTGTAGTGAAGGTGATATTGTATCCCTAGTGCCCTGGAATTTCCCTGAGTTATCGTGGCTTTAAAAAATGGACCATTGTCACTCTGTAAGCTTTGGGGAAGCCCAAATCTAGGAATTATTTCATGAGTTAGGACTTTAACCACTTCCTGAGAATTCTCTGTCTGGCAGGCGAAGGCTTCTATCCAATTTGTAAATGTATCAACACAAACAAACAAGTATTGAAATCCCCTTGAATTAGGCATATGGGTGAAGTCTAACTGCCAGTCCTCTTCGGGATAGTGCCCTATTCTTTGTTCCCCCAGAGGTGCCCTACGATGGAACAAGGGATTATTCCTTTGGCACACCTCATAGGCTTTGACTACTTGTCCGATGGTCTGGAGGAGATTTGGCCCTGTAAATAAGGATTTGGCCATTTGATGAGGGCTTTTAATACCCATATAAAAAGTTTGGTGGAGGGTCTTAACTATTTTCCACTGGCTGGCTTTAGGTATGAGTACCTTTCCCTTTTCTGCCATTAACCACCCCGAGGGGAGAAAACTACGCCCCTGTGAAAGTCCCCATTCTGTTTTGGTCAGGGAATACTGGGGCTTAATCTCTTGGAGAGGGTTGTTCCATACCAAGGGTCCTTCCCTTGGTATTTCTAATGGGAGGTTCTGCCTGGCAGCAATTTTGGCCTCAGTGTCTGCCTGACGGTTTCCTTCTGCCTTTCCTCCTACACTTTTTTGATGGCTTTGGCAGTGTAAGACTTCCTCTTCCTTGGGTTTTTGCACTGTGTGCAATAACTCCATAATTTCCCTATGGTATTTAATGGGGGCTCCACCAGAGGTTTGAAACTCCCTTTCTTTCCATATTGCAGCATGGGCATGGAGTATTAGATAAGCATACTTGCTATCTGTATACACATTTATTCTTTTTCCCTTTCCCAGTTCTAAGGCTCAGGTAAGTGCTGCTAGCTCTGCTGAGTGTTGGTCCCTGGGGGAAGAGGCTTACCTTCAAGTACCGTTACATCACTAACTATGGCATAACCTGCCCTTCATATCCCATTCTCCACAAATGAACTTCCACTGGAGTACAGGTTAAGGTCAAGATTAGCTAAGGGGACTTCTATGAGATCCTCTTGGGTGGCATAAGTCTGGGCTACAATTTGTTGGCAGTCATGCTCGATTGGTTCCCCATCCTCTGGGAGAAAAGCGGCAGGGTTGAGGGCCACACATGTGTGTATTTGAAGTATCAGTCCCTCAAGGAGTAGCTAAGCAGGTGGTTGTCTGATAACCATAAACTTCCTTTGGCACCTAGTATGCCATTTACATCATGAGTAGTCCAGACAGTGAGATCCTTTCCTTGTATTATTTTGATAGCCTCTGATATTAAGATGGCCACTGCTGCAACTACCCATAAACAGTGAGGCCAGCCTTTTGCTACTTCATAAGTTTCCTTACTTACGTATGCCACTGGTTGTGGGGTTGTCCCACGAGTCTGAGAAAGGACTCCGAGAACTATCCCCACTCTCTCTGTGATGCATAAAGAGAAGTTTTGTTCTGTGGGAAGGCTTAAGGCTAGAGCTTGTAACTAGGGCCTGCTTTAAGGTTTTGAAGGCTGTTTCTGCCTCTGGTTCCCATTCTACTAGATGAGTATTTGCCCTCTGGGTCTCTTTGATTAGAGTATAGAGTGGCCTGGCCATCTCACTGTATCCAGGGATCCATAGTCAGCAAAAGTTGGTGATCCCAAGGAACTCCCACAACTGTTTTAATGTCTTAGGGTGAGGACAAGCCAGTATAGGCTGTATTCGTTCCTTGCTGAGGGCCCTGGTTCCTCTGGCTAAGACTAGGCCTAGATATTTGACTTGTTGTAGGCAGAGCTGGGCCTTCAATTTAGACACTTTGTACCCTTGATTAGTTAGAAAGTTCAAGAGATCTAAAGTAGCCTGCTGGCATGAGGCTTCTGAGCTGGTAGCCAAAAGTAAATCATTCACATACTGAAGGATCAGAGTGCCTGGACTTGAGAAGTGGCCTAGATCTTGGACCAGTGCCTGACCAAACAGATGAGGGCTATTGCTAAACCCTTAAGGCAAGACTGTCCATGTAAGTTGGGTTGTGTGGTCTGTGGGATCCTCAAAGGCAAAGAGAAACTGGGAGTCAGAGTGCAGGGGAATGCAGAAGAAAGCATCCTTGAGGTCTGGAACTGTGAACCATTCTGCTTCTTCTCTTTTTGAGAGAGCAGGGTGTAAGGGTTGGGTACAACTGGATATAGAGGAATTACTGCCTCATTGATGAGTCTAAGATCTTGCATTAGTCTCCACTGACCATTCAGTTTTTGTACTCCTAGAAATGGGGTGTTGCAGGGACTGTTGCATTTTCTTAATAAGCCTTAAGCTTTTAAATGTCTAACAATATTGTGTAATCCTTTATGAGCTTCAGACCTTAAGGGATATTGCCTTTAATAAGGAAAAGTGGTGGAGTCTCTTAGCCTGATTTGAACTGGGTGGGCATTTTTTTGCCCTTCCGAATTGTCCTTCCAATGCCCAGACTTCAGGGTTGATTCCCTCCTCAAATAGGGGACAACAAATGGGCAATTTGTTCCTCACATTGATGTAGATAATAGTTCCAGCTTTGGCTAATATGTCTATCCCTAATAAGGGTATGGGACTTTTATCCATAACAAGAAAGGCATGTGAAAAGACCAAAGTCTCCCAATTACAACTGAGGAGGTGGGAGAAATACCTGGTTACAGGCTGTCCCAGGATTCCTTGGATGGTAACTGACCTTGAGGAAAACTGTCCAGGGCAGGAGATTAACACTGAGAAGGCTGTGCCAGTGTCCAGGAAGAAGTCAATTTTCTGGCCCTCAATGGTTAAACTTACCCACGGCTCAGTGAGGGTGATGACATGAGCTCGGGAACCCTCAGTCCTGTCGTTGGATCATCTGATTGGGAGCTTCTGGCCCAGAGAACCTTTGTCCTCTGGGGCAGTGTGCCTTCCAGTGATCACCTTGGCATAGTGGACATGGGCAAGGGGGCGGCTTGTTTCTCATTGGACAATCTTTTTTAAGGTGCCCTTGTAAACCACACTGATAACAAGCCCTACCGGTTGATTGGCCTGCTCCATTTTCTGTCCACCAAGGTTTGTTTGTCTGAGGGCCATGACTAATGCTGTGGCCTTTCTCTTATCTTGCTTTTCCTTTTCAGCCTGTTCCTCTTGGTCCCTATTACAGAACACTGAGATTGCCAGGTTTAATAATGCCTCCAAATTTTGTTCCGGGCCCATGGCTAGCTTTTGAAGCTTTCTCTTGATATCTGTGGATGATTGGGTAATAAACTTATCTTTCAGGATCTATTGACCCTCGAGGGAGTCGGGTGACAGGGGAGTATATTTTCTTAAGGCCTTCTGTAGCCACTTGAGGAAGGCAGAAGAATTTTCTTCCTTTCTCTGAGTTATGGTAGACATCACTGAATAATTCACAGGCTTTTTCCTAATTCTCCTTAGTTCTTCTAGAACACAGGTCAACAGATGTTTGCGACTCCAGTCCTCATGATCTGAGACGGGGTCCCAGTGGGGATCCATACTGGGGATGGCTTGGTGACCAGTAGGGAATTTGTCCTTTTCTTTGGCTGTCATTCTATCATTTACTTGACTAAGATACCAGGTATCTCCAAACTCTTGGGCTGCAGCTAAAGCTGCATTCTTTTATTAAAGGCCAGGGTTTGATCTAAGAATAGCATGACATCTCTCCAAGTGAGATCAAAGGTTTGTCCTGTAGAACATCTATGTAACTATTAGGATCACCTGAAAATTTCCCCAGGTCTACTTTGATCTGCTTTAAATCAGAGAGGGAGAAGGGGACATGTTCCCAGGTTGGGCCAAATTCCCCTTCCCCTACAGCTTGAAGGGGACAAAACTGATAACCTGGGGTGGGTGGGGGAGGGTTGTGGTGCCTTGGAGATTTCTTTGCTTGTTTTCTTCTGGGTGGGGGAGATTAGAGGAGGCTCACCATTAATAGGAAGGGGAGCTGTAGGGAGGCTAGGATATGGGGGTAAGCTGAGAGGTCCTCCTGTGGAATGTAGATTGCAAGCTTTGCATAGTTGTGGATTATCCTTCAATGAAAAGAAAGCTTGGACATAACGTATTTCACTCCATTTGCCTTCCCTCTTACAGAAAAGATCAAGCTGCAGGATAGTATTGTAATTCATACTTCCCTCAGGTGGCCATTTTTCCCCATCAGAAAGAATATTGGGACCAGGCCATAGTGCAGAAAAAAAAAAGCCACTTCTTTTTCAGAGTTTGCAGGTCAAAGTTGTTCCAGTGGCTTAGGATATATTTCAAGGGTGAGCCTGTTGATGCCTGAGTGTTTCCCGTCTGAAAGAAAAAACTGCCCACAGTTTTGGTTTTTTTTTTTCCCCTGCCCAAGAACCCGCCATGGTCCCTGGACCCTGCTGCTTGGAATAGTTGTGCTCACTGAAGCAGCAGCGGAAACACTAGTTTTCTGCCTAGACCACAAAGAAGACTGAGGAAGGTCAGATTTAGTGGCCCTTACTGATGCCTTCTCTAAAACCTGCACCCTTGCCTTTCATCTTAGACCACAAAGGGGACCGAGAAAGATCAGATTTAGTGGCCCTTACCAACACATTCTTGAAAACCTGTTAGAGTCCTAAGCATTTTCTCCTGTTGGTATTGGGACCTTACCCTTGTCCTATAAAGATGATATGCCTCAAAATGGAGTGGAGGGCCATATCCTGAGGGAGGGAAGGGATCTCCATGGTTGGAAGAGTGACACATTTTGTCCTCACTTCTCATCATATGAATAGGAAGGATATTCCCCTAATTTTGGAGTCTATGATTTCTGAGGCTCCCCATATCCTAGCTTTGGGAATAGCCTTTGTTAAACCTGCTAGTCTGAGGAGGGATCCTAAAATTCCAGATAGTCGCCCCCGATGGGCTTTGGGCAAAAATTATGTCTTTCTGATTGGTGAACCCAAGTGCCTAAAGAAGGGAACAGAGTCCTGGAATTTATTTTAGAAATCATCCTTATAGGGGAAACTAGAAGAGCACCAGGGACAGGGTGTCGTTTTTAGAAGCAGGACTAGCCTCAGAGAAGAGAGGCAAGAGGAAGTTTGTCTGACAGGCATTAGGACCCAGGAGACAAGGGTCAGGATAGATAGGATAGATGGGCGAATCTCGCTTGGGTGACTTAACTTTAAGAGTTCCACTCATGGCTACAGGGTCAACCAACTTTTTGTCGGGAACCCGGGGGTGAATGGCTTTCCTCCCTTTTGACCCTTGGCTCAGCCTAGAAGTGCAGGAAAAGCAGAAGCTGATTCCAGGCAAGCCAATGCTCCTGACTCTGAAGAGTTGGGGGCTGTTAGAGAGCCCTTTCCTAGAAAGCCTGACACCCGTGTCTTTAGCCCGGCAGCCATGCTAGTCACTTTTAACTGGTTGACAGGTGCCCGGTGTTTAGCCCCCTAATTCTAAGGAAAAATAGGACAGAATAGCAAGCAAAAGGGGTCCAATGGTACTCACTGCATGGCGATATCCCAGATGAGCCCCCAGGATGTGTCCGGAGTTGGTTCCTTCTGGTGGGTTTGTGGTCTCACTGACTTTAAGAAAGAAGCCGCGGACCTTTGTGGTGAGTGCTATAGCCCTTAAAGATGGCACGGACCCAAACAGTGAGGAGTAGCAAGGTTTATTGTGAAGAGCGAAGGAACAAAGCTTCCACAGTGTGGAAGGGGACCCGAACGGGTTACCACTGCTGGCTGGGGTGACCAGCTTTTATTCCCTTATTTTTCCCCTCCATGTTCCGTTTTTGTCCTATCAGAGTGCCCTTTTTTCAATCCTCCCTGATTGACTACTTTTAGGATCCTGCTGATTGGTGCATTTTACAGAGCACTGATTGGTGCCTTTTACAATTCTCTTGTAAGACATAAAAGCTCTCCAAGTCCCCACTCAACCCAGGAAGTCCAGCTGGCTTCACCTCTCAGTGGCATGCATATGTAGTCCCAGCTACTCGGGAGGTTGAGGCAGGAGAATCACTTGAACCCAGGAGGTGTAAGGTCAGCTGAGAGAAAGGAATAATAGACCCAAAGTCAGGTGAATAAGTTTATTGAACCTGCCAGCTGCTCCACTACAGTCAAAGGATGCAGCCCTGAGCTTACAAAATGAGGGGTTTATATGGGGGAGAGAGACCCTGGGGTCGTTTGTTGGTTAACTTTGCCGTATGTCACCTTGTGACATTTTTGGTAGCAGCTAGATGAAGGAACTTATAGGAGGATGTAGCTAAAGTTTGTTTATGCTTCCCACAACCTTCCCCTGTGCAGTCTGGATGGTTTGTAATTGGGGTTTGCTTATTGCAGCAAGTTCTGATAAATGAAGTCTGCTGGCTTCACCATGGTGCCTAGATAAGGGCTTAGAAATGTAAAGGGGCTCAGGAGGAAGAGTAAGTGGCACAGAAAAGAGTTGCAGAGCATAATGGGGAGGGGTGGGCAGCACGGAGAGTGTTGGGGGAAGTGTCGGCAGTAGCAAGAAGTTATTTTGGGGCAGTTTGTCTCTAACAGGAGGCAGAGGTTGCAGTGAGCTGAGATTGTGCCACTGCACTCCAGTCTGGGTGACAGAGCGAGACTCTGTCTCAAAAAAAAAAAAAGTATGTGTTTCACATTAACCATTCTGATACTGCCAATGTGTATTCTAACATAGAACAATTAAACTAATCAAATGGCTGAGAGCGGGACTTTAGAGATAAGCAGAGGAAGAGGTGAAACAATCCACATGTGAATTGATTACAGTTGGAGACACCCTGAGAAATTCATGTTGAACTTAATGCAGATGCAGATGGTTACATGCAGAAATATTTATAGTTATATGGATGTAGGGGCTAGTATACACATGTGTATTTCCTTTCCGTCAGCTACAAGAACCTAAAAGATACAACACTGGGCAACAAAGCACAAACCCAGTTCCCAGATCTTGGTTTGTAATATTCTCCAGTAGAAGAAGCTAGGGCTCCTGAGAGAAATGGATGATCCTAGGATGGGACAGGAAATATACAAGAGGAACATACATCTTATAGTACTATAAAGTAAGAATGTGCTCAAAAACGTACATTGATGGAAATATGTGAAAGGGAGACAGGGGCTAAGTGAAAGAGCTCCCTGTGGCCAAAGCTGCAATCATTTAAAAAAGAAATATTGACCAGCTAAATAAAAACATCTTGTATTATAACTCAAAGCATATACTAGATATTCATGGGTCCATACTGATATAAATGAATTGTTGAATACACAATTAAATGTTGGAAAAGAGACAACATTTTCCTATGAAGGAATTTCAAATAATTTATGTAAATATTCTACCCTTGAAGAAGGAGCTCATACCTAACTCCTCCCCACCAAGAAAATGTGGGCTGTGCACGGTGAGTTCCTTTCATACAGTATAGTATGCAAAGGGGAAAAAAGAGTCACTCTACAGTGGAGACGCTTGAGAAACACCATCTCAGCCAGGGATCACTGCCAACACCAACAGTGATAAATCATGTACCCCGATATGATGCTATGAAAGCGACATTTTACTTTTGAGGTATTCCCCCAAAAGCCCTTAACCCTAGTTAAACATGAAAGCACACACATGCATGCATACACACACTGGCACACCTACCTGACAAATTCCAATAGAAGGACCTTGTAGAAAATGCCTCATCAGTACCACTCAATATTGTGAATTCATCAAAGAGGCAAGTCAGAAACAATCACAGACAGGAAGAGCCCAAGGAGACATCAAAACTAAATGTAATGTGATATTGTGGTCAGAATCCCGTAACTACATTTTATTTTACTTAGTGTGAAAAGTACAGGCTGGCCGCGGTGGCTCACGCCTGTAATCCGAGCACTTTGGGAGGCCGAGGCAGGCGAATCACCTGAGGTCAGGAGTTCAAGACCAGCCTGGCCAACCTGGTGAAACCCCATCTCTACCAAAAATACAAAAATTAGCTGGGTGTGGTGGTGCATGCTTGTAATCCCAGCTACTCTGGAGGCTGAGGCAGGAGAATTGCTTGAGGTTGTGGTGAGCCGGGATCGCACCACTGCACTCCAACCTGGGCGACAAGAGTGAAACTGTATCTCAAAAAAAAAATTTTTTTTGAAAGTACATTAGGTAATAACAAAAAAAGCTCAATAATATATCAACATGGGCTCATTAATGTGTGTGTGTATGAATTTATGAATTCTTAGAACAGAAAGATGAAGCACTACTTTTATTCCCAATGTGTAAATGTGGAAACTGATAAATGTGGAGTTGAAGTACTCATCTAGGCTCATTGAACTGCAAGTGGCAGAACCAAAATAAAGCCCCAGACAGGCCAACCACAGTGTCTACTTCTCACCTTGTAAGGCACTCAGGAAACTTGTGTTGACTTTTGCAAGTAGAAAACAAATGGCTAATCTAAGAAAAACACAATTGGGAAACGGGGAATGAAAGGTAACCATCAAGCTCTTCCGAAACGCCCGGGCTGTGCTCCAGGCCTCTGAGGGAGCTACCTAATGAGTAGGTTAAGAATGAGAGAAGTTTATGTGCATTATTTGGATGCATCATTTTGTGTAATGTTAACAACAACGCTATCAGGTCAGTAATATGATTATTCCTATTTTCCAATCAGAAATCTGAGGCTCAGAGAATTTCAGTAATTTTTCTCAAGTCAAATTGTGACTGATGAGTAGTCTGGCTGCCAAGCTCCTGTCTCACCAATACCCTCTGGCCTCTATCACCACTAATGGGTGGCAGAATAGAATCCATCTGACCCCCACGCCCAGACCATTGTCATGCACAGTGGGTTGCTTCCTTAGGGCCTAGGCCCTGAGGGTTGGTTTTACCGTCTTTACAACGATGTCTGGGCTCCAGGAGCATCAGATCCACAGTCCTCTCTCTGCTTCCTCACCTTCTGTTGGAGGCCACAGAGATCCTCCAGCCCTTGATCTGGCTCAGCTCCCTGTCGAAGCTCTGAATCCGCAGGGAGAGTCTGGACACCCATATGGTCACCTTGAACTAAGAGCGGGGGTGCTGGACGTGAAGTCCACAATCCTATCCATTTTGCTCTTCATTTTCTTCCTACTCACAAATACAAATTCATGGTTGTTAGATACCTTTGGGGAAAAAATGAGCTGTTGAGATGCATCCACAGAAACAACACACAGGCAAAAATCCACAATGAGATTTTACGAAACCAGAAGTGCTCTGATTCTCTAGACACCAAAACAACCAGACCAAGAGGACTTTTATCTAACATGACTTTTTAAAAGCATTTAGTCCTAATCAATTATAACTAGTCAAACTGTAAGCATAATTTTATGGAATCGCATAATTTCATCTGTGAGTGTATGTGTGTGTGTGTGAGTGTGTGTGTTCCTTACAAGATGTATTCAATCCTCCATAAATCAAATCTTGGGTGCATCAAATTTTATGCTTGAGCCATTTTTGACAATGCATAAATGTTGGCCATATGGTACTAAAAAATAGTTTTATGTCAACCATAAACAGGATCCTTGAAAACCATTAAACAGTAGGATTTCCTGGCAGAGTTAAAATTCTAGAAGGCAAAATGTTCAACAAAGGCTTTGAAAATGAGAGCACTTTTTTTTACTCCTTTAAATTGTAATTTGCAGGATAAAAGTGATGAAAAGCATTTTCCTTATGGTCTTTGTCTTCAGGCCTCTGAGGGAGCTGCCTAATTAGCAGGTTAAGAATTAGATAAGTTAAGGCGCAATTATATCGCACATGTTCCTGTTGAGGAAATAAGACATTTTATAACCTTCTTTCCTGGGCCTTCAGAAAATGTTGCATCTATGTACATGGGAGAAGGAGAATGAACAAGTCTAACTTCCTAAGAAAAAAGTGCAATGTCTCATACTGCCCAAAGCAATTTACAGATTCAATGCTATTCCTATCTATCAATGACATTCTTTACAGAACTAGAAAAAAGCTCTTTTAAGATTCATGTGGAACCAAAAAAAGAGCCTGAATAGCCAAGGCAATCCTAAGCAAAAAGAACAAAGCTGGAGGCATTATGTTCCCTGACTTTAAACTATAACGTAAGACTACAGTAACAAAGCAGCATGGTACTGGCACAAAAATAAACACATAGAACAATAGAATAGAGAGCCCAGAAATAAGTCCTCACACACCTACAACCATCTGATCTTTGACAAAGCCAACAAAAATAAGCAATGGGGAAAGGACTCCCCCTTCAATAATGGTGCTGGGATAACTGGCTAGCCATATGCAGAAGATCGAAACTGGACCCCTTCCTTACACCACATAAAAAAATCAACTCAAGACAGATTAAAGACTTAAATGTCCTTAATCTTAAATGGAAGAAAACCTAGGCAACACCATTCTGGACATAGGAACTGGCAAAGACATTATGAAAAAGACACCTAAGCAATTGTAACAAAAACAAAAATTGACAAATGGCACCTAATTAAACTGAAGAGCTTCTGCACAGCAAAAGAAATATCAACAGAGTAGACAGACAACATACAGAATGGGAGAAAATATTTGCAAACTCTGCATCTGACAAAGGTCTAATATCCAGCATCTATAGGGAACTTAAATTTATAAGAAATAAAATCATTAAAAAATTGGGCCAAGACATGAACAGTCAGTGTTCAGAGGACATACATGAAAAAAAGCTCAACATCACTGATCATCAGAGAAATGCAAATCAAAACCACGGTGAGATACCATCTCACCCCAGTCAGAATGGTTAATGGCTATTACTAAAAAGTCAAAAACAACAGATGCTGGTGAGGTTGCAGAGAAAAAGGAAGGCTTATACACCGCTGTTGGGAGCATAAATTAGTTCAACCATTGTGGAAAGCAGTGGGGTGATTCTCAAAGAGCTAAAAACAGAACTACCATTTGACCCAGCAATTTCATTGCTAGGTATATACTCAAAGGAATAAAATCATTCTATCATAAAGACATATGCACACATATGTTCATTGCAACACCATTCACAATAGCAAAGACATGGAATCAACCTAAATGCCCATGAATGGCAGACTGGATAAGGAAAATTTGTACATACACATCATGGAATACTATGCAGCCATTAAAAAAGAACAAGATCATGTCCTTTGCAGGAACATGGGTGGAGCCGGAGGCCATTATTCTTAATCTATACAACAAACTGCCATGGCATGAGTTTACCTATATAACAAACCCGCACATGTACCCCTGAAACTAAAAGTTAGTGTTTTTACAAAAGTTGCCATGTCCAAGAAAAGTTCTTTCCAGAGTCATGAGCCAAAATAGGTCCCACATTATCATTCTCTAGATGAAGAAGCTGCAGCCCAGAGGCATGACCAGCATGGCTCAGGATGACCCATCTACTTATAGAATACCACATCCTGCGAGGGCTGCCCAGAAGGCCCTCATGGCCACAGACATACAGTTATCCTAGATATCTCTCTTTCTCATGCAAATTTCCGTGCTCAGCTCTGATTAATTGTGTGCTCAGCTCTGGCTTCTCTGCTGAGCTGTGGATCTACTGACCACCCTGACATTTTTAGGAGACTGTCTCAAAAAAGCAGCAAACCCAAACTTCCCAAACAAAATCGTGATACCCAATCCCCATCCCACTGGAGTTTCCTCTCTCAGTAACTGGCATCTCCATATGTTCCACTGTACAAGCCAGAATCTTGGGGATTGTCCCTAATGCCTTTATGTTCTCCACTGTTCACATCCAATCTAGCACCAATATCCTTGATTTTGTCTCTGAAATAGCTCTTCCACCTGTCAATAAAGTGTTGCTTTGGGATGACATATTAGTTGGAAACAACCAACTACCAGAACTCAATCCTGCCTAGTTGAAATCTTGTAGCAGTTATCTAACTTCCATAGTTAAAGAGAAATTTAACACAGAATTAGATTTAGCATTTTTTTCTGCTGAATTATCACTTTGCAATTAATCTGTGTCCAATTTGAGTAAACAACTCTTCTGAACATCACTTTAGGAAGGAGAATTATTAAATTGATATATTATCTTTATGTTTAAATAACATAGATATGTTGAATTCAATTAACAAAGTAAATATTGTCAGCAGATATTTGACTAGCATAAATCTCTAAAGGCTTAATGAAGTTAGTTACTAACATATTGAGGAATCTTTTAATTGAGAAAACGAGAATCATTTTATTTTCAGCATCATTTCTGTTCAACTAACAATGATGGCTTCTTTTTAAAGCCTGGAAAAGAAAAATTTCTAAAATACAACCACTAAAGTGGTAGAGAACCTGTATAATGATATAGACATATTTTGATGAACATATTAGTTACCTAGAGTAAATGCATTAACCTCCCACCCTCAAAAAAAAAAAAAAACCCCAAGTCTTAAACATCTTTTATTTCCAAATGTGAGATTGGACTTGGTCTGTTTGGGCTGCTGTAACAAAAATACCATAGTCTGGGTGGTTTATAAACAGCAAAAACTTATTTCACCCAGTTCTGAAGGCTGGAATATCCAAGATCAAGGTGTAAGCACATCCCATGTCAGTGAGGGACCACTGCCCCATTCACAGACGGTGCCTTCTCTCTGTGTCCTCGAATGACAGAGGGTAAATGAGTGCTCTGGGGCCTCCCTTATGAGGACACGAATCTCATTCATGAGGTCTCCACCCTCATGACCTAATCACCTCCCAATGACCCTACCTCCTCATATCACCAGCTTGGGGCTTAAGATTTCAGCATACGAATTTGGGGAAACACAAATCCTCATTCAGTCTATGGCAGAGATCCTTACTCATAAAAAACCCAAAGTACTTTGCTTCAGATTTGAATACCTCGTAGGAGGTGCTGCTGTAACACCTAAATTTATTATCACAAAGTGAGCCCCGTTTGCTCCCTCTTACGGTACCTTAGGGTGAAAGCTGAGTTGAACTTTGAAGGAGTTTATAGCTGCAGGGTCTACCTAACCACACTGCTTGCACATGCGTAGCAAGTCCTGTGCTGAAGGAAAATCAGAGTGACACACCTCTGTGTTGCACATAGTCCACCCTAAGCTACTGAGATACAAGTTTCTATTCAACTGGAAGAATGAGGAGCTCTTACAGACATATGGTATACCTTCATTGTTGATGACACACTTAGAAAGCAGAGGTTAGTGGGATGGACATTCCTAGTGACTATAGTTGATATCAAGGTTAAAACAGATATTCCACCTCTTCTACTGTCCCTTCTCAACTTCCATTGTTCCCACTACCACCTTTTAAATATGTTCTTCAACCAGTTTATCATCAAAGTAATGGATCAATACGATGTTCTTTGGTATGCCTAGATAGTCCAATTATCTTATGAGGATATTATGAGAAAGGGCAGAAAAGATGACAGAGCCCTGGGTGAAAACCACAAATGTATGTTATTGTCTCTTCCACATGAATGAAATCTGTCTCTGAACCTCTTTCCTGATTAGGCCAGTAAACAATGTATTAAACAAATTAGTTTCCCATATAATGTCTAATATATCCGAGGCAATGCTCATCTGTTCCTGCAAATATACCACATCTGGAATTGTGGCTGTGATTGGTCCTACAATTTGACTGACCTGGCGTGGTCACTGGTCACTTTCCATGTCCATCTATTTTTCCTGGGGGCCATAATGGAGGATGAAATGGAAGCACAACAGGGTTCTGCAATTGCTGCTCTCTGCTTGGAATAATCTTCTTCCAGGTCTTCCTCTAACAGGGAGTCTTATCATCTGCATTAGAAGTGGATATTAACACTGGCTCACCCTATGACCACTTTTATATGCCTCAACACACACACATACACTTTACTATTTTCTAAAATAACTGGAATTTTATTCAGATAATCTATCTATGTCCACTTGCCACATACTTTGTTCTTGCTGGTGATGGGTGTAGGAATGAGGATATGACATGATTCATTCTAGTGATCATGGGTGTTTCTGGAAAAGGTTTACTGGCTTTAAAAAAGACACCATAATAGTTTTCCCCTTTATGCATTTGAGTGTCATATCATGTATGTCTGCTGGAATGGCTACAGCCTGAGGAACAAGCTGAAAGGGGGAGGACACAGTGACAACAGGAAGTAAAGAATCTGGACTTTTAATAACATCATGGAATCATAGAATTAATCAAACCTGAAAGAGGCCCCTAGAGTATTTCTTATTGGTTGAAGCAATCTAATTTTTTTCCTATTTTGTTAAGGTCATTTTGAGTCAGAGTTTTCTGTTACTTGCAGCCAAAGGCATCATAAATGATATAAGACCCCAGCTCAGATGCCACTGCTCAGAGGTGCTCCTTGAGAACTGCCAGAGCCAAAATTGTCCTCCTGTTCAAACTGCTTACTACCCATCCTATTGCTACTCTTCATCATTTTAATAGCATTTATTACCATCTGAAACATCTATGCTTATTTTTCATTTTTCTTCTTCCTTAGCCGGCCCATTCATTCTTATAAGAATGAGAATCTTGTGTGTATGTATATACACACGACACACACAGAGATATATAACTATTATTTGGCAATTAAAAAGAACATTTAAAATTTAATCCAGTAAATCACCAAGCTGTGCTTGTTGCTGGTTTGCTTATATGGCAAAGCAGCCGTAGAAAGCACTGAGAATAGGCTGGGCGCAGTGGCTCATGCCTGTAATCCTAGCACTTTGGGAGGCTGAGGCGGGCGGATCACCTGAGGTTGGGAGTTTGAGACCAGCCTGACCAACATGGAGAAACCCTGTCTCCACTAAAAATAAAAATTTAGCCGGGTGTGGTGATGCATGCCTGTAACCCCGGCTACTTGGGAGACTGAGGCAGGAGAATTGCTTGAACCCAGGAGAGGGAGGTTGCGGTGAGCCAAGATTGAGCCATTGCACTCCAGCCTGGGCAACAAGAGTGAAACGGAGAAAAAAGAGCCTGGGCAACAACAGCGAAAGGGAGATAAAAGAAAAGAAAGCACTGAGAATACAAAGTAAATAAAGATACATTGTTGCCCTAAGAAGATCCAATTTAGCAGAGGAAACAGATACGTACAAAATATATAGTCCTCAGTAGACAAATTGGGGTTCCATACTGGAAAATACAAATTTAAAATAAGAAAATTATATATGAATTTTTCCTAGTGCAAAAAGAAATACAGACGTTCCTTTTTCTGAAAGCATTTACATGAAAAAACTTGTAATTTTGAATTCTTTCTCTGCTCCTTTGAGATGCACATGAATTTATTCAAAGTCTAGGTAAGGCTTTTGCCAACTTTCCAACTGAGGCATGTCTCTCTCAAGGACCTAAGAGTCATCACTTGGTAATATAACAATGAAGGAAGCCAGTAGCCCTCTCTCCCAGCTTGCATAGGAGGGTAGCAGCCTAACTTCAGTAAGCTCCTAGTTCCAAGCTGCAAACTGCCTCCTGGAATAGCTGGGAAAAATTTATTTTGCCTTTAGATAAAGACAGTCAGCAAACATTAGAGGCGACCTGAATTCCCAGGTGAATTTAGGATGAACTATGTGTTAGCAGAGATTCTGTTAAATCTCACTTGAGGACCAATTATTATTTATCTTGAGAAAATGTATGCAATAGGTTGTATCTGCCTGGCTGTACAAAAGGGTGAGATTTCTTTCTGTCTTTGTAGTCTCTTAGCAGATTTCCTGTGACGAGTATCACAGTCTGGTCTAATGCTTATTTAATAATACAAGTGTTTTCTTTTTCTTCCAATTCTGTGGACGGGTTTTCTGGGTTAGCAGGAGATTTCATTTTTAATTATATTTTCCCAACAGTTCTCTCGGGGGCCTGGGAGACAAACATATTCACTGGCTGCTTTCATCTTAGAACTACAAGAAGTGACTGCTGCTTACTTTAATTTGGGATATGCAGAAACCTTCACAACAGGCTTCCCTGACAGCCTGCCCTCATTCCACCTGCCACACCCCCACTAGAGGGCAAGAGTGCAGAGCGCAGTATTTTGGGATTCCGTTTGATGACTACCTCTATGAGAAAACCAGGAAGTGTTGATCTTTTCCCCTAGGGAAAGAGCCCTGCCCAAAATATGTTCAATAATGCCTCACTCTATCTTTATAGACAAATATATTCCAAGAAAATTATTCCTTTTTGTATTAGTCCATTTTCACACTGCCGATAAACACATACCTGAGACCGGGAAGAAAAAGAGGTTTAATTGGACTCACAGTTCCCCATGGCTGGGGAGGCCTCAGAGTCATGGTGGGAGGCAAAAGGCATTTCTTACACGGTGGCAGCAAGAGAAAATGAGGAAGATACAAGAGCAAAAACTCCTGATAAAACCATCAGATCTCGTGAGACTTATTCGCTAGTACGAGAATAGTATGGGGGAAACCACCCCCATGATTCAAATTATCTCCTACTGGGTCCCTCCCACAACATGTGGGAATTATGGGAGTATAATTCAAGATGACATTTGGGTGGGGACACAGCCAAACCATATCACTTTTCAAAATTTCAGAGCATCCTAGGCCCAGGACGATTGATACCAAGTTTAGCATATGCTTATTTGTATGATGCCTTTATTTCACCATTTTATCCCTTGACTTGGGAGATTTGAAAAGTCCCACCAACCTTTGTTAGCTTAGGAAAAAATCCAAGCATTTCATATTCATCAAACGGTGCCCCAGAAGGGATTGGGAGTTGATTATCTGGTGAAAGCCCAGCATATGGTGCTGCCCGGCTTCCGGCTCCAGCTCTAGCTGCACTCGCTGAACCTGCTGGAGAGAAGTTCTGTTTGTCACGTGCCATTAGCACAGATGCTAGGGGCGTAAGTTTAGATGCTTAGGGTTTACATGCAAATTAATCACATAAAAGAAAAACATTTTGGCAGGATAAACAGATTTTCAAGGGGGAAAATAATAGAGAGAGAGGTCGGCAGAGTTTTCCAAACTTCCTTGGAAATTTAGGGAAGATTCCATTAGGAATAAAAATCACAAAAATTTTTTAAAAGTAGGTGTCGTAAACTCAAGGCATAAAGCAGCAAACACTGAAAGTTTATCTCTGTGGTTACAGGGAAAGGGGAACACGTGAAAATAAATGGTGGCCTCTAAACCACCTAGTCCACAAACAGAAAGTGGAAAATAAGGACTTTGAAAGACCTAAGCTCACCAGACCTGGCAAATACAAATATGTTCCCTGTTGCTAAAAGAAGACTGGACTTCCAAACTCATACTCTTAGTATGTGTTTCTCAAGGGACACAGGCCTTCAGGATCTAGCCAAGCCCATGTGTTTTATGAGAAAATGCTTGGTGCACAAGCGATGTCTTCAGCATTACAAAAGGAGTTAGTGTTGTTAGACTCTGACTTCGGTTCACCAAGGTTAGTGGTGGATGAAATCCCTGCCTATACCTGCCTTTCTCTGGGCTGCCCAAAAATTCTATCTGCAAGCACCCTACCTATCAACAGAAATAATGCTTAATTAAGAATTGTTGGTACATAAGCTGTAAACACAATTTCTGCTCCCTACACTCACGCCGCTGTGGTGAAATTACACCAGTTACTTACAGGTATGTACATCATTATCCTCTTATCCTGTGCATCCATAATATAATTCAATCTACAAACAAATGATTTATTCACAAATTCTTATGACTGCTGGACAGAAGTGGCACTTTATCACGTACTGTTGTGACTAGGTAAGCAAGGAAAAAAAAAACCCTTAAATGGCCCAGAAAAGTGATGTGGCGTTGCATCTGGTGTAATATACCTGGGGATGCAGAGAGCCAGGCAAACTGGAATGAGCATATTTAACTCAAAAGAGGCAACCACCACTTCATCAGACCTAATTATGCCCTTGTGGGAATGCTGGTTCTGTCCTTCTACAGCATCTGCTACGTCAAGAAAAGCAGGAAATCAAGGTATTGGATGAAATCCATCCATTTTCTTTTAATTTTAGTTTAAGTTCCGGGATACATGTGCAGAGTGTGCAGATTTGTTACATAGGTAAACATGTGCCATGGTGGTTTACTGTACCTATCAACCCGTCATTTAGGTTTTTAAGCCCCGCATGCATTAGGTATTTGTCCTAATGCTCAACATTAGCCACTAGCAGGGAATCCATAAAGTAGTGTGCTAGTCAAACAAGGCAAGTGTTAGGACTGTATTTGTCCCAAGAGCTGACATTTTATGGCCTGTGGCATAATGCTGTCCTTGATAGTGAGATTCTGATGCTAGCCGAAAGAAATTGAGGCAGGTTTATGTTTTTTGTGTTTTGTTTGTTTTCAATGTGTAAAACCATCTGGTACAAATTTGTGCCTCATTGTCACCATGTTCTAGTTGTTACTACTTTTCCAGTCTCCTTACAGACTCTCATGTAAATAAGATGTAGGTTTCACCACATTTGTGAATGGAAAATCAATTCATAGGTGCTTCTCTCAGGAGCTGGATCCTGAGAAGGAATCTGGGCTTAGGCGAGAAGCGTGCTAGGATTGATTAGTGATGTCTTCCTCAGGTAGGTGCCAGGGCCCTTTGCTTGTCATGTCTGTCTCTGCCATTCTAGGTTATAAACCCAAGTCCAAAGCCCTCAGGAGGTTCTAAAGCCTTTTATATCCCATTCTGCACACCATGTTCCAATCACCAATGATACATATAACACATTTAGGAAACACTGACTTAGAGGATTTGTTTCTGGAAAACTTTGCATACCCAGTTAAAATGGCTCTGTTGAAATCCTATGTAGATTATTCATAAATGTCATTTGACAGTGCCACTGAGGGTGTCCATGTATGAGGTGTCGTGACTGAATTGAACCCCAGAGCAGCAGCGTTGCCTACTCACCGCATATTTTTACTATAACCTGACAAATAGCCTGAGACAAAATTATCCGCCCTAAATACCAGCAAGTAACTCTCAGAATGCAACAGGCTTGTTTTAACCACCATCAGCTGCAGAAGCCTCCTTTTTTACCTTTTGTAAATTGAATGAGTTTTCTGACCCTCCCTTCTCACAGTGAGAAATACTGCAAAATTACAGTAATCATTTTCAACATACAGACACGCA
Source organism: Homo sapiens (assembly GCF_000001405.40). Classification (NCBI taxonomy): domain Eukaryota; kingdom Metazoa; phylum Chordata; class Mammalia; order Primates; family Hominidae; genus Homo; species Homo sapiens. The sequence continues at coordinate 127,597,326 of NC_000012.12, read as the reverse complement.
TTCCTAGCGGTTCCCAGATGAGATTATCAAGGTAGACTGCAAAACCCTGACTTCCACAAAAGAGTTCCATGTTCAATTAAATGCTGCACAATGAGGGGATGCGGTTACCATCCACAGGCCCAGAATAGCCCACAGAAAACATAAAGGTAGAGGTTTCCTCAGAAACTGGAGTCAAGGCGTTTTGGTTTAGATGTCGATGCTTGGGGACTCTCTGTGCCAATCTGCTCATACAGCATGGACAGAGTCACCACCTTTGCAGGGGTCCCAGAATTAGACTGTGGCCATCTGCTTGCTGCCTGGTGCTGAAGTCACACCTGCTTTCTTCCTAGTATCTCTCGCATGTCACAATAATCATCAAAATTTAAGCAAATGGAAACAACAAACATTGAGATAATTTGACATACTTAATGTAATTTCCTAAACCCTATCTTGGTGCATCCCAAACTTCAGGCATTTTGCATTTTATGTATCATACCCAAAACTTTTGCCGTGTTGACGTATCATCTATAAATTACTGATTTAATGTTCTAAAATCTAATGGTTCTTTTTTTTTTTTTTTTTTTTTTTGAGACAGAGTCTTATCCTGTCCCCTAGGCTGGAGTACAGTGGCACAATCTTGGCTCACTGCAACTTCCGCCTCCCAGGTTCAAGCGATGCTCCTGCCTCAGCCTCCTGAGTAGCTGGGATTACAGGCGCACGCCACTAAGCCTGGCTAATTTTTTTTTTTTTTTTGTATTTTTAGTAGAGATGGGGTTTCACCAGGTTGGCCAGGCTGGTCTCGAACTCCTGAACTTGTGAACCACCCACCTTGGCCTCCCAAAGTGCTGGGATTACAGGTGTGAGCCACCTGTAACCCCACGCCCGGCCTCTTTTCTGTTTTTTAGACCGAGTCTTGCTCTGTCTCCTGTGCTGGAGTGCAGTGGTGCAATTTCGGCTTACTGCAACCTCTGCCTCCCGGGTTCAAGCAATTCTCCTGCTTCAGCCTCCCGAGTAGCTAGGATTACAGGCACCTGCCACCATGCCCAGCTAAGTTTTGTATTTTTAGTAGAGACAGGGTTTCACCATGTTGGCCAGGCTGGTCTCGAACTCCTGACTTCAAGTGATCTGCCCGCCTCAGCCTCCCAAAGTGTTGGGATTACAGGCGTGAGCCACTGTGCCCAGCTGGCTTTCTTATTTTAACTAGTTTCATGCTATCAGCCTTTTCTATTCTGACATTTTATATAAATGGAATCATTTTATATTGATCTTTGGCTGGCTTCTTGCCCTCGGCATCCTGTTTTCAAGGTTTACCTATGTTGTTGCATCTACCAGTACTTTGTTCTTCTTCACGGCTGAATCATATTCCATCCTATGGCTACAGCACATCTTTTTTGTCCACTCCTCAGTAGATGAACACTTGGGTTGTCTCTCCTTTTTAGATATTATGAATAAAACTGCTATTAACATTCACGTACAAATTTGTGTGTGGACATCTATTTTTATTTCTCTTAGGTGCAAACCTAGGAGTAGAATTACTGGACCATATGAGAACTACATTTGACATTTTGAGGAACAGTCAAACTGTTTTCCAAGGCAGCTACACCATTGTACTTTCCCACCCACCAGCTGTCTTGAGTGTTCTCATTTCTACACTCTCGACAGCAGTGATTTTGGGAACAAATTTCTACATCAAGTACCAGCTGCTGCAATCCAGAGTTCTCTACCCATCCACAAACATTTCAAAGAGAACTTTATTTGGGTTGTCTGTCCAAAGGAAGAATTCTCCATCGGGGATGATGCCCTATGCATCAGGGATTCTTTGCAGAATCTAAACGTGGAGACAAAATCATGAATGGAAATATCTTCCAGCTTATATTTTTCAATTTAGACAATGTTTTATTTCTAATACCCACATGTCAACTAAGCATGCTCTGTCTAAAGCACTGACTAGAGTGGGCATTCATTAAAAGCTTCATTGAATATAGGACTGAATACAGATGTGATTAAAAAATGAACAATTGAAGAGATGAATGAATGAGCGCAAGGGCTATTTGTCGAACACCCTGTAGCCGCCTGATGTGGTGCTAGATGATATGAGTGAAGACGTGGACAAGAGAGATGTGGAAACTCCCAGAGATTGCATTCAACTGTGGGAGACAGAAAATAACAAAGCAAACAAGTCAAAGGAAAGGCCCAGCTATAGGTAAATCCTCTAAATTAGGGGTGTCCAATCTTTTGGCTTCCCTGGGCCACACTGGAAGAATGATTGTCTTGGGCCACACATAAAATACACTAATGATAGCTGATGAGCTAAAAAAAAAACTCATAATATTTTAAGAAACTGTAGGAATTTGTGTTGGGCTGCATTCAAAGCTGTCCTCTGCCACATGCCGGCCAAGAGCCGCAGGTTGCAAGAGCTTGCTCTGAAGGAAACTAAAGAAGACAATGGGGTGCAGGGTGGCCAGGAGGGGAGGGCCAGAGCAGCGGGCAGGGTCTGCATTCTCCAGGGCCTTCCAGACAGTCAGGGTGCAAAGCAGAGAGGGCCTCTGGACGCAGCTGTGTCTCCTGCTACTCTGGGCCTTTAACATTTCAACAAAATTGTCACTGTAAACCAAAAACAGAATTCTAAGCTCCACCCCACCCCTCCCCCCTCAACCATCTGAATGGACTTCCTCCTCAGCCAGGGCTCTTTTAAAATGTAACCTGAGAGACTAGTTTGGGCCATGATGAGAAGTGGGGGACGGACAGGCCTCATTGTACCTCTTCGGCATTAACATCAACACAGACTAAGTCTGATAAGAAACATTTTACAACCTATTCTCTCTAAAACCTGCTACCTGAAGGCTTCCTCTGCAAATAAGAACTTGGGTCTCCACAGTCCTTTATCTTAATCCAGACATTCCTTTCTGTTGATCCCAGGCCTTGAGATAAACTCAACCAATTGTCAACCAGAAAATATTTAAATCTTCCTATAAGCTGGAAGTTCCCTCCCCATTCAAGTTAGCCCACCCTTTTTAGACCAAACCAATGTACATCTCAAATGTATTTGATTGGTGTCTCATGTCTCCCTAAAATGTATAAATCCAAGCTGCACCTCAACCACCCTGGGCACATGTGTTCCGGACCTCCTGAGGGCTGTCACAGGCCATGGTCACTCATGTTTGGCTCAGAATAAATTCCTTCAAATATTTTACAGAGTTTAACTCTTTTTATTGACATCACCCACGTTTCTTATTGGTCTCTCCTTAAGGACATCAGTGAATTATTTTGATCCCTGGAAGAAAACTTTAGACATACTTTTACCCCCCTCCTGTCTAACTCCTACATTGTTTCCTAAATTTCATGATTTCACAGCCAATTTTCCAAAATTCTCACCCAATGAACATTGTCCACTGTCTCTTCTCTGACCTGGGAGTCGACTCCAAACTCCTTTGTTCATGAGCTCTTCCCTTGCAGTCTGTGCTCCTTCTCCAATCTCATTTCCTAATACGCTTTCCCAACAAACTGTGCTTCAAGAAAATCACTATCACCCCAGTTTCCCAAATGCATCAGGCGGTTTTTGTTTCTATTTTTTTATTTTTGAGATGGAGTCTTGCTCTGCTGCCCAGGCTAGAGTGCAGTGGCACGATCTCAGCTCACTGCAACCTCCACCTCCCAGATTCAAATGATTCTCCTGCCTCAGCCGCCTGAGTAGCTGGGATTACAGGTGTGGGTCACCATGCCCGGTTAATTTTTGTATTTTTAGTAGAGATGAGGTTTCGCCATATTGGCCAGGCTGGTCTTGAACCCCTGACCTCAGCTGATCTGTCCACCTCAACCTCCCAAAGTGCCTCCACGCACGGCCTCAGGTGGTTTTTAAATAGCCAAGACTTTTTCAATTGTGAGACTTCCTGATTTCTCATTGTCTTCCTAATCAGAGCCCTCTGTTCCCTCTCAGCTCCTGTTTGCCTTTTGGGATCCTTCTCCATCATTTCACCAATCACCAAAATCAAGTTTACTGTCACCTGCTGCTGAGCTGATGTAGCACACTGTCCCATTCTTACCTGTGCGTTTCATAAACTACTCTGTAAACCTTTCAAAAGCTTAACAGTGAGTTATTCATCTTTATAGCATCAACACTCAGCACAGTGAATGGCACAAAGTGTGTGATTGACAGGTGAATGAATGACAAACCCTTTTTCCCTTTCTCCTTAGCTGGAAACCCTGCTCAAAATGACACAGGAGTTAAAAAGCAATTACTTAGGCAGATAAGGTATGGAAGTCCCTAGTAAGGTTTCCCTTTTAATGAAAAGCAGCCCCAAATAATTTTCTTTTCTAACAAAGAGCAGCCTGTAAAATCAATCTGCAGACACAGACAAGCAAGCTGGAAAGTTGCACGGGTGAGTACCTGCAGCTGTGCCAACAGGAAGAGGCCACCTGGGGCCAGGCATGTCCAACATGGAGGCTCCATCTTCCCTTTGCCTTATCAGCCAGTTGCACAGTAAGGAGCAGACAACACAGCTCTGGCCCGGTTAAAAAATGCATTTGCATAATAAAAGATTAGGGTGGGGAGGCCAGCTTCTTCACATGCTATGTAAACGTCACACCTGGTCCAACCAATCTTTGGGCCCTGTATAAATCAGACACTGCCTCCTCAAGCCTGTCTATAAAACCCTGTGCACTAGAGCAGGCTGGAAGTCCCACTCGGGCATCCCCCTCTCTCTCAGGGGAGAGAGCTATTCTCCTTTCTTCTTCTTTTGCCTATTAAACCTCCTCTCCTAAACCCACTTCTTGTGTGTCCATGCACTCCATTTCCTTGGCATGAGACTAACAAACCTCAAGTATTTACCCCAGACAACAGTGCCGCTTCAAAAAGACCAAGATGTGAGGCAATTGGACGCACCTAGCATGTACCTCCCAACACAAACAGCTCCAGCCTGCCTTGCAGTAGACTTTTGACCCAAGACGGCTCTTTCTCGGGAGTTTCGGTTCTGACCTTAGTGGAGAAGATTATTTTTCTCCCTGTTTATAGAATTGCATAGATATGAGCTTGAAGCTACTTATGGCAACCTTCCAGAGAAGTTTGTCTGGAGAAGTAATAACTTACATATAGAAACAAGAAAAAAAAAAAGAAAGTGTGAGTCTCAGTTTCAGCTCTGGTTCCTGTCATCCAGAAGACTACTGACTTCTATCTATTAGCTTATGAGATCCAATCTATTCCTTTTCTTCCCACCTTTTTCCTGGAGGAAGAGTTCAATGGTGCTCATCTGGGACAATTTTGCCCCCAGGGGACATTTAGCAATGTCTGGAGACAGTTTTGCTCCTCACAACTTAGAGGAGTGTTGGCCACTGATGGTGGGTAGAGGCCAGGAACGCCGCTAAGCATCCTAAAATGCACAAGGCAGCCCCTACACACACATAACAAAAAATGATCAGCCCTCAAATGTCAGCGTTGGAAAAATCTGAATTCGTTCACTCATCCCTTATAGCAAGAATGCTAGCCAATTCATTTATATCTCAGACGTCTGAAGGCTACGCCCTGAGGCTGAAGGCTGCACACTCTACTTTGTGAGGGAAATCCATCAGGTTACATCTGCAAGTCAACTTCACAAAACATTCATTCTACAGAGGGGAAGTTTCCATGCTAAAAGAACTGATTTCTGTTTGCACACTATCTTCACTGGAATGGATGCGAAAAACACTTTCTTCCTTCTTGGTTTGGCTCCCTTTTTGTCAATGTTACAGACATACCTTTGAAGTTAAATTAAGTGTCAACAAAGCTGATTAGCCCTGTTTTTGTTTTTGTCATTGTTGTTTTTGAAACAATTCTATCAATGTTTCAAGGTTTATGCAGGCTGTAGCTGTGGGCTTATTAATTTAACTTGGAAGAATTCTGTCTTCCTGGAGAATAAAGGTCTATTTTTCTGCAATTTGCTGCCTCTGCGCTGTTTAAGAAACCTTGGTCCCTGAAGTCTTATTGATTGGTGCAGGTCACTGATTTTTTTAATGAACTCCTGTTCAATACAGAATATGAGTGGCCATCTATTGATTCAAGTTCAATTTCAAGGGATCCCGTCTTTGCAGAGAAAGGCCCTTCTAAATGTTTCCTGTTTTCCTTTTTTTAGTTTGGCTTTTTTTTTTTTTTTTTTTGCTTTTGCTTCATTCTGTGCTGTTTGCGGTACACCTCACCTTCAGTACAACAGTGAAATGAGATGCTGCTCCACATGAATGCCATTGATTGGCCATCTGGTTCCCTGCAGAAGTGTTTGCTTTTCAGTTGCTTCCCCAGAGGGTCAAAAGCTCATTCTAGACATTGATTGACCTTAGCATCCTCCACCCAGCCCATCAGCACTCACCGTGAAACTGCTATGCAGTCGCGATTCACAGGACCCTCCCATAAATACACCACCTAATTAAAAAACATCCTTGAACATCATCAGCTGGTTCCTCAATTTATAGAATACATTATGGATGGTTGCTCATGGCCAACTAACACACATTCTGGAGAAGGGTGAATCAGGCTCATTTTCCTTGTTTAATCCCCGAAGGATCGTGGGCATGTAAATTCTCAAGCCTTAGTCTCTAGCTGTGAAATGGAGATATCATTCATATTCTAGAAATATGTCTTTCAAACCTGTCTTGAAATAATCAACATAAAGGGCTCCTGGAGGGGCCAGACACCTGAAATCCAGCCAAGTGAGTTCTCCATCCCCTTCTCTCCTGGTTTCTGTAAGGAAAGGATAATGAGAAGGAACTTGAGGAAACTGGCAACTCTTCTCATATTAATCCTAAAACAGACCAGAGGACCCTTCCATAGAACAGACTACTTATTTTGAAAAGACTAAGAAACCAAGTCTTGGAAATATGAAGCCACTTGCCAAGGTAACCAAGTGTGGTGGAAACAGGATTTGAATTCATCCTGTGTGGCTCCAGACTCTGCATTCTGCTGCGTGGATGTCAACACAGGTGTTTACCCAAACGCAACCACAATTCTAAAGGCTGTTTAAAATGTGTCATCAGAAATATGAAATAAAAAGGAATGGAGCATTTTATTTCCATTGTGAAATGAACATGTGTGTGTGCAGGACTAGAGGAGAAATAGTCTTGGGGAAAGCTGTAATAGATAAGGTGATCGGGTGGAATTTGGATGTTTACAAAATCTATTTAAGTATAAAATGGAGTAGGGAGTAAATGACAAAGCCTCCAGGACTCTAGGTGAGCTAGCAGTGAAAAGAAGGAATCAGGGCCCTCCTGGAACTTGGAAAGGGTGCAAATGTGTCTGCCTGGCTCTCAGGCTAAACTCCAGCCACCTGCTAGAAAGCTGCCCAACGAAATCTCAGGAATCTGTATACCTGACAGCCACACTTAGCAAGGGGCAGGGTCACTGCCCTGTTCAATGTCAATTGGGCAGCCAGCCGGGTGGCAGCGGGGGCAAACTTCAATCAGAAAAACTAGTTTTCTGCACACATCTTTAAAAGCACCTTACTCTCTGCTTTGTAGAAGCAAGCACTATGCCTTACAGTCTTTTATGGAAAGATCAGCTTTCTGAGACAGAACCAAGTGGGGGAAACCAAACTCCATAAAGCAGGTGCCCTCAAAGGTCAGCCAGGCTTAATCTGCCACCACTAAGGATGCTGAGAGGTGTTAGCCGAGTGAATGCAAGACAGTGTTGCCACTGAACTTCAGAATGTCTGAATGTCACTTTGTGTTAGAGCAAAGATCACAAGGGAGAACTTGACAGCCTTAATAGCTGTGACTAATAACAGCCTATAAGGTTTAGTAAAAAGAGCCTAATAAGGGCTGACCACAGCTGAGCTATGGCCCTTTTGAGTGGTCAAAGGAAAGGGCTCTCCTTTCTGTTCTCAGCACACCTGGAAAATGCTCCCTTGCTTAATTCTTTAGCCCTGCAGAGACACAAGTGAATTATTTCCAGGAACAGCAAAAATCATTATAATAAAATGATATTTTATATTTGTTTCACGATTTGCATTTTACAAATTCCCAGTTGTTCAAAATTCCTTACTCAGTACCGTGTCCCATTTGGCTTAAAGACGCACTTGGAAACATTACTATTTGCTATTTAACTGAGTGACGAATGATGGTATTGTGTCAGGTTCACATGATGACAGGGCTTGGGAGATGACCTGCATTTATCTTTTTGTTAAGAGGAAGAAACTGAGATGCTCAGAGTTGAATTGATCTGCTGATGTTCACAGCGTCAGTAGCCAAGAGAGGATCCTTGGTCCTCTATATCAAAGGCAAAACAGAGTGGTGGGTATAAACATAAAGGGCAGGATAATAGATACATAGGTTCAAATTCCAGACCCACAACTTATCACCCGTGAAGTCTTAGCCCAGTTACCTAAGCTAACTGTCACTCAATTTCCATGTCCGTAAAATGGGGGATAGTAAAATTACCTCCCTTGGAATGATTGAGCCTTCAATGAACTAGGCCACGTGAGTTTCTTGAGCAGTAACTGGTACATAGAAACCATTGCACAAACATTAGCTGTTATCATTACTTCAGTGCTATTTCTTCTATGCTATACTCATGTTTCAAGAGATCAGTCATGATGGAGAAGAAATTCATTATTTTTTGTCTGCCTAATAATAATTTCTGTTTCTTGAAGTAAAAGCACTCTGCTTTTCTTTTGGATAACCTCCACTTTCCAACGGCCAGTGCCTGCTATTTGAGTATAGGGCTGGATCCAGAAGTGGTCAAGTTATACAAGCAGAACTGACCAGCATATCCCATTCGCCTGACCAAAGCCATTATTTTGGACATGAGCATGTGGACCGAATTGCCCCAGTCAAAGCCAAATTTCAGGGCTTATTCCGAAACTCTTAGGAAAGAGAAGTTCCCTGAAAGCTTGGCTTGCTGAGCCTGGACTGCTTGACCCCCATTGAGAAAGGCATTTCCTGAAAGTAATTCGAATCAAGACAAAAGCGAAGCCAAATGTTGGAGTCAGAACCCTGCATGCCTTGCTTGTGAACCAAGATCCAGCTGGACCTAAGTCTGGGTCATGTTTAGTCTGACGTGAGTCAATATTCCATCACTTCCCTTAATTTCGCTTGAGCTGCTTTTCTGGCCCATGAAACTGAAGAGATCCCAGCTAATGCTCACAGTAACTTTTACAGGAGCCCAATATAAAGAATAGGAAGCTGATTAATTCTGCATAGGACAGGTGTTTAAATTGTGAACTAAACATCAAAACAGAAATAAAGGCTGTCTTTTGTCTTACGGATCACAAAATAAATATGTCTATAAAAGAAGACAATCAGGGCAATTTTTAAATAGGGTCTGAGGTCTGAGACACATTGGCAGCCCTAAGCGCTCTAAGACATCGCTCTTCTGTGAGACGTGCTCTGGCTGGTTGGAGATTTGGTGTGTGAGGCAGGGCCGAGGAAGGAGAAAAGCCCCTGGCAATGTTATCGAGTGAAAGGGGAAGCAGGGAAGCTTGCAGCTGCAAGGGGCCATGTTGCAGGACTTCAACTAAGAATGTGAGTTCTGGACTGGGCGAGCCAAAACAGAAATGAAGAAGAAAGAACTCTCTAATTATTATTGACATCAGAATCTACATAGTAGAGCAAAAGGTTAAGAACAAAGCTTTATCTATAGCGAAGTCAACAGGAAATAGATGCCACACATCCAATTAGAAAGAAAAAATAAATGTTTAAATTATAGGTGTAAAAAAAGACAAAATTAGGCAATAACATCCACACCGATTGACAATTTATACTTAAATGCTTGACTCCTGGTAACAAAGGGAAGGAAATTCATGCCCAGTAATTCATAGGAAATTTTGCCGACAACTGCCAAGGAGACGTCACCTTGAACATCTCTGGGTTTTCTAAACTTGTTGGTAAAATCGAGTTAGCACGGCTCTGCTGCTGTCTTCTGATAAGAAAGATACACGTGCAAAGGGAGTTAGAGTCCTATTTCTTAATTTCATATACTTTTCTTATGTCACCAGAAGAATATTGAGTCCTTAGCACTAGTTTTAGTTGTACCCACATCTGTGACTAAGAATCTACCTTCCACACTTTCTTCAACTGACCCTGATAGGAAGGTGAACCTATCAGTCAACAGGCAGAATTTACTTGCAAACTTTTCTTAGTGGGCTGGGGTAGTGTTTTATTATTTAATTTGATAAATAGGCAACATTTAAAAATCAAAACAATGGAGAAGCACTCCTGGAAGGGCAGACTTCCAAAAATTCTACCCTCCATCAACTCAATGAGAGTACTGCCAACAATCGTCAAAATCAATTTATTTTCAGAACTCTGGAAACTAACTAAAGGCTTGTGACAATCTCAGGAGTGTTCATTTAAGAAAAATCTACTGAATCTCAGTAAGAACAGTGAGCTTTGTGAATGTCTTAGCTTGCGCCATTTCCATGCTTCCACTCCCAGGCTCTGTGGCAGCTTTGAAAATCTGTCAGCTCCATGGAAAATTTCTATTCTAAAGGTTTTTCTTCAACTGACTTGTTCAGAACTTTCCCAGTCAATAGCCCTTTTTGCATCAAGAGTTGTCAAAAGTAATCTGCAACAACTGTATAACACTGTAACTGCCTAAAGCTATGGTTGTGGCTAACAAGAAGCTGACATAAAACAGAGAAGGAAAACCTTGGGAATGACTGGGAATGACATCCCCACAGGGGCTTTGGAAGGGTCCTACATATTCCTAAGAAAATAAAAGGCCACATGCATATGTAGGACTGTGCACATCCCAGGAATGACCTGAGAATGTGCCAGTCTCTCACCTCTCGCTGACTGTGAGGCTCTGCACAAGCAGGAAGTGAAGGCTAAGGCAGAGAGCTGCAAGCGGTCTGTCAAATTTCAAAGCAAACCTCATCAAGCACACAGAGCACCTGGGTAAAGGCTAGGAGACACATTGTCTCAAAGCCTTTAAAGGGGTATAAATCATTCTACCATAAGGACAGATGCATATGTATGTTAATTGCAGCACTATTCACAATAGCAAAGACATAGAATCAACCTAAATGCCCATCAACAGTAGACTGGATACACAAAATGTGGACACATACACCATGGAATACTATGCAGCCGTAAATCAAGTCCTTTGCAAGAACATGGATGGAGCAGGAGGCCATTATCCTAAGTGAACTAACACAGGAACAGGAAACCAAATACCACATGTTCTCACTTATAAGTGAGAGTTAAGACATCAGACATTGAGTACATATGGACACAAGGAAGAAAGCAAAAGACACTGGGGCTGACTTGAGGGTGGAGGTTGGGAGGTGGGTGAGGATAAAAAAACCACCTGTTGAGTACTATGCTTATTACCTGTGTGATGAAATTATATACCAAATCCCTGTGATATCTAGTTTACCTGTGTAACAAACCTGTACAAATACCTTTGAACCTAAAATAAAAAAGTTTTTAATTGGAAAAAATATAAAATTGCCATAGGCCGAGGTGGGCGGATCACGAGGTCAGGAGATGGAGACCATCCTGGCTAGCACAGTGAAACCCCATCTCGCAAGCTCCACCTCCCAGGTTCATGCCATTCTCCTGCCTCAGCCTCCTGAGTAGCTAGGACTACAGGCGCCCGCTACCACGCCCAGCTAATTTTTTGTATTTTTTTTTTTTTTTAGTAGAGACGGGGTTTCACCGTGTTAGCCAGGATGGCCTTGATCTCCTGACCTCATGATCCGCCCTCCTCAGCCTCCCAAAGTGTTGGGATTACAGGCATGAGCCACTGCGCCCGGCCTCTTTTCTTTTCTTTTTCTTTTTTTTTTTTCTTTTCTTTTTTTTTTTTGACAAAGTCTTGCTCTGTTGCCCAGGCTGGAGTGCAGTGGTGGAAACTCAGCTCACTGCAACCTCCGCATCGCAAGTTCAAGCAATTCTCCTCCCTCAGCCTGCCAAGTAGCTGGGATTACAGGTGTGTACCACCATGCCCAGCTAATTTTTGTATTTTTAGTAAAGATGAGGTTTCGCCATGTTGGCCAGGCTGGTCTTGTACTCCTGGCCTCAGGTGATCTACCCACCTTGGCCTCCCAAAGTGCTGAGATTACAGGCATGAGCCACCATGCCCTGTCTCTGCCCATTTCTTACCTGACTTCTAATCTAATCAAGAAGAGGCTCCAGGAGACACAAAAAACAGAAGACACAGACTTTTAAAAATTTGTCCAGGAAAGCTACTAAACAAAAAGGCAACAAGGACAACAAAAATAACAAACACCAAAAACAGTAAACCCTGGAGAGTAAAGGGGATTTGATTTCTGGAACTGCCACATTATAATATTCAAAATATTTAGCATTCAACAAAAATGTATTAGATATTTTTTAAAAATCTGGGAAATTATGGTGATATGTCAACCAATAAGTCCATATTTAGCAAATGAAGGGGAAAAGAGATATTCCAAAATGAAGGGGAAATAAGAGATTCTCAGATAAACAAAAACCTGAGAGGATGCATTACCAGCAGATTTGCCCTGTTTTAAACACTAAAGGGAGTCCCTTCCAGTGAAAAGGCAAATATTGGCAACAACAACAACATTATTCAACTCTATGCTGCCTACAAGAGACAAATTATAGATTTTAAGACACAATAGGTTGAAAATAAAAGGAGAGGGAACCTACCATGAAATTAGTACCCAAAGGTGAGTTGAAGTGACTATACTGCTATCAAAACTGACCTTTAACAAGAAGCGTTATTAAAGCCGAAGAAAGACATTTGAAAAGATAAAAGCATCAAAAAATATGTCAAGATAAAAGCAATGACTACAAATGCATCTAACAGTAACATCCAAAAATACATCAATTTTTTTTTTTTTGAGATAGAGTCTCGCTCTGTCACTCAGGCTGGAGTGCAGTGGTGCAATCTCGGCTCACTGCAGCCTCCGCCTCCTGGTTTCAAGCTCTTCTCCTGCCTCAACCTTCCGAGTAACTCAGATTACAGGCATGTGCCACCACGACCAGCTAATTTTTTGTATTTTTGGTAGAGACAGGATTTCAGCATGTTGGCCATGTTGCTCTTGAACTCTTGACCTCAAGTGATCCACCCGCCTCAGCCTCTCAAAGTGCCAAAATATATCAATTGATCAATCAATTATTCAAAAATACTGGAAGATGTCAATATTTCACTTTTAATATAGTGTAGAGAAACTAAAAATATTATCTTCAAGGAAATAGAAGATTTGAATATGACTATAAAACAATCATATCAAACAGATATCTATAGAATACTCCACCCAACAATAGAAAAATATACATTGTTCTCAATAGTGCCTAGAACATTCTCCAAGATAGACTGTATGTTAGCCATAAAACAAGCTCCAATACATTTAAAAAGATTAAAAACCTGCAAAGAATCTCCTCAGCTCAAAGTAGAATAAATGTAAAAGTCAATAATATAATGTAATTTAGGAAGTTCAGAAATATACAAAAATTAAACAATGTAAACAATGAGTCAAATAATAAATTATGAGTAAAGTTACAAACTACTTTGATATGAATGAGAACAAAAGCACAGCATGCCAAAACCTATGAGAAGCAGCTAAAGCAGGGGTCAAATGAAATTTATAGCTATAAACACACATTAAAAGATCCTAAAAATTTCAAGTTCACAATCTCAACGTCTATCTTAAGAAACTAGATAGAGAAGAAGCAAACTAAAGTTAAGTCAAGCAGACAGTAAACCAGGATTAGCAAACTAAATCCAAATAACAACAGTAATGATACCATTAAAGCAGAAATTCAAATCCAAACTAAATCCAAATAAAACAGTAATGATACCATTAAAGACTGATTCAGGAATGGGCATCATGATATAGAGAATAGAAGTACAATAGAGAAAACCTACAACATCAAAATTGGTTTTCAAAATGATCAATAACATTAACAAATCTTTAGCTAGACCAACCAAGGACAAAAAGAGCAAAGACTTGAGTTTCTAAACCAGGAATGAAATGGAGGCAGCACTACTGAATGAAATAAAAGTGTTGTAAGTTGATACTCTGGAAAATTATATGAGAACAAATTAGTTAACCTAGATGAAATGGACAAATTGGTAGACACTACCAAATCTCACTCAAGAAATACATTTATAGAAAATATGACTCAACCTATAATAAACTCAGTGATTAACTGGAATTGCAAAATTTTCCACAAAGGAAATCATTGTCCCAGATGGCTTCTTTGGTGAATTCTACCAAACGTTTAAAGAAGAATTGAGGCCGTGCCTGGTGGCTCACGCCTGTAATCTCAGCACTTTGGGAGGCTGAGGTGGGCAGATCACCTGAGGTCAGGAGTTTGAGACCAGCCTGGCCAACACGGTGAAACCCCATCTCTACTAAAAATACAAAATGAGCTGGGCATGGTGGCACACATCTGTAATCCAGCTACTTGGGAGGCTGAGGCAGGAGAATCACTGGAACCAGGGAGGCGAAGTTTGCAGTGAGCAGAGATAGTGCCACTGCACTCCAGCCTGGGCGACAGAGCAAAACTCCATCAAAAACAAACAAGCAAAAAAGAACAAAATGTATTTGCATGCATGACTACCTACCAAATACAAATTGTTTCATTTAAGAGATTTCACACACAAGTTAAATACTATTGTATCTGCATTTGAGTCTGTCATTGTACACAACGAACATGAATAATAAACCTCAGACTAATAATTTAAATTTAAAATTTTCTTTAAAGATATCAAATAGCAAATGTAGAAGAGTATGCCAAGTTAAGAGAAAGACTGTGAAAGATAGAAAAACACTTTATAAGGTAGTACCTTTAATGTCATATTTTCCTGCTGTTTGAAGAGAGGCCCCACATTTTCATTTTGCCTGACACATCATGGTGCCTGCTCTGATCAAGGGAGGCGGACATAAGATCTGCACACCACAAAGTCACAAGAAATGTGTGGATGGACAACAGTGTAGATCAAAAGGCAGCTCTCTCTCTTTTACATTTTTAGAGCACATTAACTATATTTTTTGTATGGACTTTGCCACATTTTAGTTTGAATTTTGAATATTTTGTGCTGCTTTTCCATGTTCCACCACCTATCTGTGAGTTCCTGGCGATCTGGGTCTGATTCATCTCCTTGTAATCCCCATAGGACCTGCCGTAAGAGCAGATACTCAACAAATGCTTGGCATCTTGAAATTTTTCTCCCAAACCAGACCTCAGAATGCCTACTGAGGTTTCCATCTGCGTCCCTGCTTTGCTGTGGTGCCTGGCCTGGAGCACATCACAGAGCAGACACTCACTGTGCGTGGACCTACTCTGTGTCCTTGGAGAAGGCTTCATGGGAGCCGCCATCGGGAATAGAGAGGGTGGCCACCAGTTCTCTCCAGACCCCCTCCTTTCTGTTCCTGATGAAAACACCTCGGTTTTTCTCTGAAGAACTAAGGCCTCTTTACCCTCACAGCATGTTCAGGCTGAATTAATCCCTGCCCCAGTCCTAGCAATGGGCATGGCACCCTGGCCTGGCCGATCAACATAACCCATCCCACACCCAGAGAAAGACTGATTCAGGAATGGGCATCAGACCCAGTCCTGTCTACTCCTGTGGCTTTCGTTGGTATGAACTTGTCCACTGGAATTAAAACTGGAAAGATAAAAACCATGGCGATTGGGGCATGGGGTGGCGGTGGCCATAGAGAAAATAAATATCTTATTAATGCAGATAACACAGAGGGAAGCAGAACTAAGTGATGGGGTGAAACCGAATCCTGAAGACGCTCAGACTCCAACTTGGACAAAAATCATCACAACCCTTTTAGTTCCATGAGCCAATAAACTTATTTTAAGGAAGAGAAGGCTTAAGCCAGTTTAATTTGGGTTTCTATTACATATAACCAAAAGACTATCCATTTTTTTTTTCAGTACCAATGGGGTCTCCCTATGTGGCCCAGGCTGGTTTCAAACTTATGGCTTCAAGTGATCCTCCTATCTCAGCCTCCCAAAGTGCTCCCATAAATTATTTCAGGAATTTATAGTAGACTTGCCAGTACCCACTGCTTCTCTGCCACTCTGGCGTCGATCCTTCCCACCAGTATCTTCAGTGGTGTCTTTATCTCATTGTCTAAGGCTCAGACAGGCCCCTCTGCAGGAATGCATTCAAGACACACACCACTTGCCAATGTGTTCTTCCTAGGAATTAAACCCTTAAGGAAACCTTCGTATGCGAGCTCTTTTGGAGCTGCCCTACGTTTACCCAGGAAACAGAGCTGTGGACAGAGGTGACATCAGGCTATTCAGTAATGAGCTCCCCACACATTTCTCGGGAGGTGGCAGATAGCTTCGGATATTGTCTAACAGCACATGCCTGGGAAGACACTCTGCCTCACCTTATCCCCTTGGACCAAGTTTGGAAACAAGATGCTTCCATGGCTGCAGAGAAGGCTCACTGTATAGTAATTCAATAATGTCCCCATGCTGGTCAGTGTTAACTCTGGAGCCACCAAGCACCAACTACCTGTAGGTCCACCCCCTACCAGCTGTGTGACTACGGGTGAGTGGCTTAACCTGTCTGTGCTTCTGTCGCCACATCTGTAACATCTCATAGTAATAGTATTATCTACCTGTACAACAGGCTTAAATGAATCAATACATTTGACATGCTTATAATAGTGCCTGCCACATAGTGAGAGCTTTGATTATAATTAGCCTCATTATAACCCATGAAGGGCAGGAGACATAAGTTCCATCCTGTTAGATCACAAAGGTCTTCGTGCATCACTCTGCTCAGAGGACATCATCGGTCTCTACACTGAACAAAAGCATTCCATGAAATCAAATGAAGACTTGGGATCATAATTCCTAAGGTCTCAAGACCAAGTTAAATCACCTCAACAAAGATATTGCAACTCAGATCCTCTCCTTTTTGAAGCTTTGCAATGGCAGAACATTCACTGGGGATGTTTTAGCAAGGCTGGGTGGTTACTCTTACAGGAGCCCAGTGTATCTTGGAATAACTCTAATATTCATTCATTCTACATACACATTGAGTACCTTTCGGATGATAAGGATGGGTGAATAAAATGGACATGCTCTACCCAATGGAACTTATAATTAAGTGGGGGTTAAAATTACAGAGATATATACCCCTACATGTACATACTAACTCATATATAAGTAATGTTTCTTGACATAACAAATCATTATGCAATGCCTTTTATAAACATCATCTTATTTTCTCCTTCCCAAAACCTCACAGAATTACATTATACACATGTTTAACAAATATATCATTTGATTATATGATCTCAGAACAGAAGGAAGAATGAGAGAAAAATAGAATTACTCTCTGATCCCCTGACACCCTCTAAAAAATTGGATCTTGCTCTGTGTTGTAACAGAGAATTTGGAGACAGCCCATGCAAAGAGAAATAAGAAAGAGTAATTCTTTCTATTGTGAGTGTTTAGGGATTCAGGTCCTGGTGATCTCAGAGGAATATGACAAGTGCTTTCCAGGGGTTACCTTGACAATTTGCAACTTTTGCACTATATGGTCACATTGGAGCCAATATTCCATATAAGAATTAATTCAATTTTATGATTATCATCCACAGTTTACAGAAAATGGAAATGAGTCTCAAAGACTTGAGATGATATGGCCAAGTTCAAAGAGTTAGAAAGTGGTGGGGCCGGGGTTGGACCAAAATGCTTGACTTTGAAAATTTAGTCCTTAAGCTATGTTTGGGTCTGGGATACTTTTGTTCTTCATCATCTCACTATGTTGCCAGGCTTCTTACACAATTATTTGCAACTGTGTAAATCTTTCTAACCTCCCCACAAATAGCATTTGTACTGATTTTTTTTTCAAAGTTCTCTATTAACTTCTCAGAAACCCCAAGCACTATTCCTGCCTACTTTTGATACAGGGAAAAACTATTGCTTTGTGTTAAATATTTTCTGTTTATCAACAGATAAATAGAAGAGTGGGCCTAACCTTTATAATTATTTTTGAGTAAGTATTTTATATATTATTTGTGTAATAAGCAAATTGTGTGTGTGTGTCAATACAAGATAAAACAAAATAAAAACAAGTTATAATTGGTCCAGAAGGTCTAATCAATCAAAACAAAATTTGAATTCATATGAGAGTTCTAAAATCTGGCTCTTCACCCTACATCATAAGGTCCCTCCCAAATTAATAAGAGAGTAACAACACCTACAAAATGATGATTTCTAGACATTTGAGTCAAAGCCTTCTAAGGAGGGTCCAAGCTAGAAATCACAAAACAGATGTATCTAATTCGTCTACCTTGCCTTCTTGTCCGTAATCTCCCCATGACTCCCTTTGGTCCTGGGCAGGAAGAATATTATAAGTGTTATTTGGCCTGCATTAATGTCTTGGATGATTGAGCAAAACTTGACACCTCTTTCTGTCTCATATGCACCTTCATTCATTGAAAAATGAAGGTATTTTTTGAGTGCCTGCTGTATGCAGCACAGAGACGACAAATGAACTAAGACTTGGTTTCTGTTCTCATGGAGTTCAGATCATGAGAAAGGATTAAAAAAAAAAAACAGTTAACCAAACAAATACAAAAAATAATAATATATAAGTGTGACAAAGGACTTAATTAATATCATTCAACTTTTAATAAAGCCTTAATTATTTGTCAAGTCCTGTGCTAAGTAATTTACATTCATTACCTCTTGGTGATACACATTCATATTACTATACAAAGCATATTAATATATGATGATAATATGTTATCATCATATTATCTGGTACTGAGCACAGTGTCTGGTACTTTGTAAGCACCTCAATAAGTAATCAATTTTCTTGTTATAATCTCATTAATCTTTACAGTATCCCTTTTAAGAGGCTGGTATTGTAATACTCATTTTATTAACAAAAGATTGAAGCTCAAAATGATGATAATTGCCTGGTGGCAATTATAGATTTTACCTTTTGAGTAAAATAATAGGTCAATTTTATACGTTAACTTGCCCAAACTATAGACCCCAGTTGTCCAATTAAACACCACTCTAGATATTGCTGCAGAGGTAGTTTGTAGATGTGATTAACCTCTATAATCACTGACTTTTCAGTAAAATAGATTATAACCAATAATCTGGCTGGATAAGCCTAATTTAAGAGGTGAACAGAGGTTTTCTTGAAAAACAGAAGGAATTCCCCATGTCCCACAGCATCAGTTCCTGCAGAGGGATTTGTAGTTTCCCTTCCTGAAAACCTGCAAATGGATTTTGGACTCACTTAGACAGCCCCTACCTTTCCATAGGCCAATTCCTTGAAATGTGTCTCTTAAATATGTGTGTATCATACTGTTTCTGTTTCTCACCACCTGACGGATACAGTTGAAATAATGCCTACTTAGTAGTACAGCCAGATTTGAACAGATACTCAAAAGTTGAAGTCCATAATTGCCACAAGACAATTGCTTCATCAGTCATCTCATAAGATACATGAAATTAAAATTTCATCTTATCTAAAAAGAAGTCTTCAAAAGTCAAAATTAAATTTCAAACACCTTGATTAAACAAAATGTCCCAAAATAACTGATTAAATGTATTTTATGTAATGTGAGGTTGTATTAGTAGCAGAAATATCTCAGGATCCTCAAATCTCATAAACACTGACAACAAGGCTTATAGTTTATTATATCCTGGATTCTGCTATATGCAAAAAGCCCCAGCTTAAGAACCAACTCAGAGGTTCATTTTCTTTATCTGCTGTCAGCTGGCATTCCCACGCCAGTCTCTGGATGTGTCTCTCATGATAACTTTATTTTGTTTTCCTCCCTTTGCCTTCAGTTCTGATTTCTAAAGCTGCAAGACAGCTGTAAACTTCAGTGAGAGAAAACCTAGGATGTTTGGCTCAACTTAAATGATAATTTGCAATCCCAGTGCTAGGCATTAGATATCTCTGGAGCCGGCCTAGCCCAACATTTAAACTCTATTTTTGTGTCCTCTGATAACATACTAGCATCTTGGTATATGCTTTCAAAACTCAAATATCTGTTGTTCCCTGAAGAAAATGAAGAAAGTCATTTCAGATAAGATAGTACTTGGTGAAAAATTCAATAAAAATTCAGTTCAGCTCAATGCATGATTTTTATGTCAAGCGGTTGATAGCCAATATGGGGAAGAGTGGAAAGTGTTTGAAAGATCCTTCCATTCTCTCTCTCCTTGTAGGCAGCGAATGCCCATCAGCAGCTTAGAGAAACCAGGTAGTAACTTCCACCTACTTGACCCCACTTGGGGTCACTACAGGGGAGATTCCTGGCCAATGGCTTGATGTTTGGCTCAGCAAGTTTTCTTGATCAAATATATCTGCAAAACATATGCGACAAAATATAAAACCGGTGTGTCTTTAACCTCTCTGTGGAAATCTTGAAGCTAGTGAAGCAACGATAAAGCTAAAAGTTTCTAACATAGAGAGATGGAGGAAATACACCAAGAAAAATTAAAGAGACCATAAAGCCCGTGAAATAGAGGCCAATTTAGTGTCCAGAACATTAAGAGTGATCAACCAGTGTCCACTGAATGAATGTGAAGTCATCAAACAGTGCTATACTAACCAGCCCTCAGAAAATTCCCTTTTCTTGGTACCATCTCTATGGAGATAGCAACAGTGAAGCATGATCCTGCCTGCCCTGGGCTGCTGACTGGTTTATAGGTGAACACCTGCCCCAAACTAGGCCAGTCTGCGACAGGAATGAAATTTAGGCATCGAGTCTCTGTCTTAGCTTTCTTCTTGAAAAGAAGGGATATAAGCTTGGGAAAGTTGGTGGTCATTGGCTGAGACATGCACTGAGAAACAGAGCTTTTCTCTATCAGAGAGAAGCAGAAATAAAAGCGTTGGTTCCAGCTTGTCCTTAAGGGAGGGGTGGCTAATTCCCTGTCCTTGATGTCCACAAGACACTCTGACATTATCATAACAAAAGTCAGTGCCCTTTTCATCTTGAGTCTTCCGGGAGGGCTGCTGGCCTGAAGTCTCTACAGCTTTCACATAATCCTGAAGAATTTAAGGCACCCACCCTGGTCACATTTTTCACATATAAGCCAGAGATCAGAATAGACCCTACTACACTCCTGCGGCACATCCTTGGCCTCACTGCTGGGAAGGTAGAGGGGTCATCATGAGAGGCACTGAGCTGAGGGTCACAGATGAGGGTTCAATGCTCAGTTACACTGCATGTTTCCTGAGTGATCCCACGTCAGCAAATTGGCTGTCTTACTGGTCTCCTTTTTCCTCATCTCTAAAATGAGGAGTAATAATATGTCCCACTGGGGTTCACAAAGATGAATAGCACTTTGACAAAGATGAAAGATGAGGGGATGGAAGGTGTGTTAATCTGTTCTCATACTGCTATAAATAACTACCAGAGACTGGGTAATTTATGAAGAAAAAAGGTTTAACTGACTCAGTTCTGCAGCTGTCCAGGAGGCATGGCTGGGGAGGCCTCAGGACAGACACTGCTGGTGTCTCTTCCCTTTTTATAAAGATAGTAATTCCAGCAGGAGGACTTCACTCTCGTGGTCTCACCTAAACCTAATCATCTCTCAAAAACCCCATCTCCAAATACCATCACAGAGAGCGTTAGGGCTTTAAAATATGATTTTTGGGAGGAGACAGTTCAGTCTATGGAATGGGCCAAAGGGAACAGATGAGGGTCCCTCTGAAAGGTCCCTTTTCTTAGAGATGAGAGAGAGAAGACACAGAAGAGAGACAGAGACTCTGTAGTAGGTTGATGACTGACGTCTACACTTAATCCCTGGAACCTATAAATTTTCCCTTAATGACAAAAGAAAAAAAAAGGGCTTCACAGATATGGTTGAGTTACGGGTTTTGAGATGGCATGACTATCATAGATTATCCAGGTGGACCCTAAATTTAATTACATCCATCCTTAAAAGAGGGGGGCAGAAGATTTGACAGACAGACCAGGAGAAGGCCATGGGACTACTGAGGCAGAGACTGAAGACAGCGACCCCAAGCCAAGGAAAGCCTGGAGCCAGCAGAAGGTGGGAGAGGCGAGGAAGGATCTCCTCTAGAATTTTCAGAGGGAGCACAGCCTGCTGGCACCTTGATTTGGGCCCTGAAAAACTGATTTTGGGTTTCTGGCCACCAGAACTGTGAGAGGATGCATTTCTGTTGTTTTAAGTCACCTAGTGGGTGGTAATTTGTTATTGCAGAAGCATGAAATGAATACACCATCAGGCAGAGAGAGATGGAGACAGATGACAGCAAACACACAGCTGAGAGGCAGAGAATGCTGGAGGGAGAAAACAGAGAAACAGAGAACAGAGGAGAGAGTGGAAGGAGAAGGTGGAGAACACCCCGGTTTCAACATGAGTCGGTTCTGCATTTGTGTGCCCCGTGTTTCCACTCATTCAGAGGGGTCCTGGTTACTGACAGACCCCAGCAACTACAATGAATAATGAGTGCACACGTGCTCATCTCTAATTCCTTTCCTGTATGTGAATCTGTTAGCACTTCAGTCAAGCTCTGCCTAATTACATCTGTAACCTGCTAATACAACCTTCTTTGTTGACTGAAGGAATCATCTTATCCAGCTTAGGCCAAATTAAAATTTAATACAACACCAAGTTGCCACAGAACAAGAATGCAAATAGCAGTTATTTAATTAACACCTAAACCTGATTAGGCAGCTCCACTGAAAGAAATTCTCCGGAAGAAAAGCATGCAACTCAAGCCCACAATAGCGACTTCATCAAAGCATGACTAAAACCTCATGTGCGGTCACTGCAAGCCAGGTTTCGGAAGGTCCACGAGTTAGGATAGACCTGGCTGGAGTCTCTGGCTGATTCTCAATCCCTTGGATAGATCTGTTTTCTGGATGTTTGGAAAGGAGATGGGAATGGAGAGGGAGACAGAGACAGAAACTGACAGAGTGGGAAAGACAGACAGATAAAGAAAGAGTGAGAGGCTACGTGCCTAAATAAGGAGTCAAAGGCAGAGAAACAGAAAGACAGAAAGGTACCAAAGACACATGCAGAAATAATAACCATGAACAAAAACAAAGACAGAACAAAGCAGAGACAGAAAACAAGCCAGGCAGAGAGATAGAGGCACAGAAATATCCAGGGAGAGAGACAGAGGGAGAGAGAAAAAAGGAAGGCATGGGAAAGGACAGGGGAGAGGAGGGAAGGAGAGAAGGGAAGGAAACTGAGTGGTGAAACCAGACTGATTTTAACAAGAGCAATGGGAAGTCCAAGAGAGAGCAGAGAGATAAAGAGACAGAAAGAAATAAAAGGCAACCACAGCACAGATAGATGAAAAGACAGATGACTCGATACAGGTGAGGTTTGTTTGTTTGTTTGTTTTATAGAAAACATCTATGGCTGGGTACAGTGGCTCATGCCTGTAATCCCAGCACTTTGGGAGGCCGTGGCAGGTAGATCACTTGAGACCAGGAGTTCTAGACCAGCCTGGCCAACTTGGTGAAACCCTATCTCTACTAAAAATACAAAAATTAGGCTGGCGTGGTGGCGCATGCCTGTAGTCCCAGCGACTTGGGTGGCTGAGGCAGGAGAATCACTTGAACCCAGGAGGCAGAGGTTGCAGTGAGCTGAGATGGTGCCACTGCACTCCAGCCTGGGTGACAGAGTGAGACTCCATTGCAGAAGAAAGAAAGAAAGAAAAGAAAAGAAAAAAAGAAAGAAAGAAAGAAAGAAAGAAAGAAAGAAAGAAAGAAAGAAAGAAGGAAGGAAAGAAAGAGAAAGGGAAAGAAAGAAAGAAAGAAAAAGGACAGAAGGAAGGAAGGGAGGGAAAACATGAAAACATAAAGAAAAGAAGGCTCTGTGTCAAAGATGGGCAAATCTGATAGGAAACCTTGCTTTTGTTCCCCAAAGCCTTTGGAGAAGCTATCTTTCAGAAAACGCTAAGAGAAGGTAGAAATGGCCAGAGTCTATGAAGACTAGACCTCATTTTCTACTGATCACTTCCACATTGACCCACCTATTGGAGAGGGGCTGTCAGAAAGAGTCTGGAAGGACTATCCTTTCTTTGTGCCATTCAAAGAATGCAAATTAAAGAATGGAGAGTGACTTGTTTTTCTTCTATTTGATATTCATCACCTATTTTTTTTTTCTCCCAATGAAAGAGCAAGGAGACATGCCTATTGAGTTAGCTTAATATACAAATTAGATGATTTGCTAAATTATGGTAATCCAAAGCAACCCTGACGTGCTGCACCAGCGTTTCAGAGTCCTACTTCAGGGCAGGAATATGTGTGAATTGACCTGACAGCAGCAAGGCTATTTTTGATTTCTCCTGTTGTATTAATACTCACCCCATCATTTCTTTTCCTGTATCTTAGACCACACAGTAGGCTCATTTCCCAAGGCAATGCGAGATAAAACACAAGCCAATCAGTTCCCGGCATTTGTCTTGCTAGAAAAACACATACAGAAACCATGATGGGTCGCACCTGTATTGAGAGAAAAAGCTTAATCTTTCTTATTCTCTAATAAGTACCTCAGTAATTTTGGGAAATCATTTGGTTTTCTATTTTTGCAAAGAATTCTTAATTTGCAAGACAACCGTTTCCTGGACCCCCTTATTGCTAAGAGGAAACCTGACAGTCAGTAACATACTGTAAAGATCACCATGAAGGGCCGGGCACGGTGACTCATGCCTGTAATCCCAGCACTTTGGGAGGCAGAGGCAGGTGGATCACGAGGACAGGAGTTCGAGACCAGCCTGGCCAACATAGTGAAATGCGGTCTCTACTAAAAACACTAATAATTAGCTGGGCGTGGTGGCAGGTACCCGCAATTCCAGCTACTCGGGAGGCTGAGGCAGGAGAATCACTTGAACCTGGGAGGCGGAGGTTGCAGTGAGCCAAGATCCACCATTGCACTCCAGCCTGGGTGACAAGAGTGAAACTCCCTCTCTAAATCAATCAATCAATCAATCAATCAATCAATCAATCATCATGAAGGTTGTGTACTTGCTGCAGAAGGGTCTGTTCCAGAAAATGATTCTTGTTTTGTTTCTCTTCCCCTTCTCCTTCTTCTCCTTCTCCTTCTCCTCCTCCTCCTCTTCCTCTTCCTCCTTCTCCTTTTGAAATACGGTCTTGCTCTGTCATCCAGGCTGAAGTGCAGTGGCACAATCATAGCTCATTGCAGCCTCAAACTCCTGGGCTCAAGGGATCCTCCTCTCGCCTAAGCCTCTCCAGTAGCTGGGATTTTTTATTTATTTATTTATTTATTTACAGAGACAGGGTCTCACTACGTTGCCCAGGCTGATCTCAAACTCCTGGGCTCAATTGATCCTCTCTCCTCGGCCTCCCAAAGTGCAGGGATTAACAGGCATAAGCCACCATGCCTGGCCCCCTTGTTTATTTTCATGAGGGAAAAAGGATGTAAACTTTCCTTTTTCCTCTGCAATGCTGCCAGAGCTGTGTGCTCTTCTCTAAAATGTGCTACTGGCTCTATAGGGATTGAGGTCTGAGACAGATGTTCTCTAGCGGCTGCTCAGGCCCTGCACAGATAAGTGACCACCGAACAGTGCTGATGATGGGTGGACAGGGCTCTGAAGACCTCCTGAAGAGAAAGAAAATGAGATTATTTACAGATCCCTGGGAACAGAACACCAAAGCAGCTCAGCAATTTATTCAGATTAGGCTGCTCCCAGAAATAAATGCGTCTAAATTCCATTTGGAAGAGGAGCCCTGGGGTAATGGTTTTGGATGTTTGATTTGAGCTGATCCTGTGATGAGATAGAAAAAAAAAATCCATGCTTCCATTTAATAGATCAATTTAAGTGGTGGCTTTCTTGATCAGGAAGGCAGGTGAAGCTTGAGGGAGGATAGACACAGAGTTATTGAACCCTGTAATTTATGCCAGCAATGCTCAAAGAAATCGAGGATGCCCAGAGTGAATCTAATTTCCATGTTTATGTGTCATGATGGGATTTAGAAATGACTCTCAACAGTGGCGCTGTAAATGTTGAAGCTCACAGGGCCGTGTAAACCCCACGGAGTAGAAGACCGCCGAGTGACTCCTTATTTCGGGAGGGGAGACTTGGGCCACGTCTCCGAAGTCATTGAATTTACTTTCCCCTTGACAGACAGGAGCAGCAGCCCAGGAAACCTGGCCGTCTTCCTCAAGGGTTACCAGCTAGAAAATGAAACTCACACTGATTGGCCTCAAATTTATTTCAATGTCTTCTCACTCATGAAGGCATCCAAGTATTAAACTTTTCAGTCTTTTGTGTAATTTGGCAGGAGACCTGGAAAAACAATATTCATAATCCCTAAATCAAATGTAGTTGCTGCTTTGATTTACAAGAAGTCTTCATTTAGATTCCTGGTTTCATTTAGAGAAACAAACCAGTGTTGTGTGTGGACATGGTGCCCCGTCGGCTACGCTTTTGCAAAAACAGCTGCAAGTAAACCTTTGGCCCAGTGAAGTCTGTGATGCACCGGTGACAGTAATCCTGCCCGCCTTTCCACGGCACGGCAGGCCTCTGAAACTCCCTCTGCAACAGTGAGTCGCACAGCCACCTTGGGAGGTAAACAGGAAAGGGGTGATCATTCCCTCTAAATAGATGAGGAAATTGAGGCAGAAAGAGGTCATCTGGTTTGTTCAAGGTTAGGCATGAAGTTCTGTGAGAAGGTGAACCTAACTCTCATAACTTCTAGGACAATGATTTTTCCCTCCCTCCCTCCCTTCCTTCCTTCTTTCCTTCCTCCTTCTCCTTTCCTCCCTTTTTCCTTCCTTCCTTCTTTCCTTCTTCCCTTTTCCTTTCTCCTTTCCTCCCTTCCTTCCTTCCTCCTTCTTTCCTCTCTTTCCTTTCTTCCACTTTCCTTTATTTCTTCTTCTTGCCTTCCTTCCTCCTTTCTTTCCTTTCTTCTTCTTCTCTCTCCCTTCCTTCCTACCTCCCTTCACTCCTTCTTTCTCACTCCCTGCTTTCATCCTTCCTTTCTTCCTCCCTTCCTTTTCTTTCTTCTTCTCTCCTTCCTTCCTTCTTCTCTTTCTTCCTTTCTTCATTCTTCTCTTCCTTCCTTCTGCTACTGTGACTATTCAATGTAAAGTTTATATAAATCACTTAAACACATCAAACTTGTGCTTTGATCCATTGTGTTTGACATTCCCCCTGCCTGAAACCATCTTCCCCCAGACCTTTGCTAGCCTGATCCCTTCTCACCTGGCTGAAGTTCAGATATCTCCTCCTAGGTGGGGTATCCTGGAGTAGTCATCCCCACTAAAATGTTCCCCACTAAAATGGCCCCTTCTAAAATGGCCCCCACCCACCCCTGCCTCTCTATCCCTTTACCTGGTGGTGTTCTCTCCATAATATGTGTCATCATCGCAACTTCTCGTGTCTGTGTCTGTTTCCCAATCCAAACATCAGCTCCTTGAGGGCAGGGACTGTCTCCCTCATGTTTGCCACTGTGTCCCCAGTCTGAGAACAGTGCCCGACCCAGAGTGGTCATAGCAAAGCCTTTTTGAATGTATAGATCCAAAGATGAAGGTTGTTGATTGAATAATGAATAAAGGAAGAGCCAAAGGAAGAAAATAAAGGAAGGGAGGATGGAAAGAAGGAAGGAATCAATCGCTTGGCACAGAGCCTGGCATACAGTAAGTGCTCAATAAATTCCAATCGTTGTTGTTGTTAATAATAATAATCTTACCATAACTCCTCTTCCTGCAGGTTTTACAAATTGCTCTGGAGGCTCAGAGCCTCTCCTCTATGTAGTAGCCCTGGTTTAAGCACACTGCCCGGCTGTGGAGGTGGTGCCTGCACACTGTCTCAGTGTGTAAGCCATGAACAACCACGTGTCCTTTCCTGGAGAGAAAGGACAGCCTTGTTGGGGAACAAGTGCTCAGGGGATTTGACCTGTAATAGGGTCACAACGGGACCATCCTGAGATTCCAAAGACCCTCCTCACCTTGCCACTAGCTCCTGCCTTTTCAATGCTGCTCCTGGACAGACACCCACGCTTGTCCAATACCCCACCTAGAAGGGAATATCCACTTCCTCTCAAGTCTGCTGCTAGGGTGCCTGGAGGGGGCTTGGGGTTTCTTACCAGACATAAGGGAGCTGGAGCCCCTCACCCCTGTGCTGAAGGAGGTGAGTGTCAAAGCTAAGATGGCAGTGGCCATGCCTTGCCCCTAAATGCATGACCACATTGGTGACCAGCCTAGGCTTTGTGGAACCCAGGAAATACTGAGCTGCCAATGTTTGGAGACTACTCAGAACTGAGTTCATGGGAATAAAAAAGATTTATATTGTGGGTATTAAAACATGTTTCTATGTGTGCTAATTTGTATGGACATAGTGTTGCAGTCTTGGGCATGTCTCTCTCTCTCTCTCTGTCTCTCTCTCTCTTCCTCTCTCTCTCTTCTCTCTCTCTCTCTCCCTCTCTCTCTCTCTCCTCTCTCTCTCCCTCTCTCTCTCTCTCCTCCTCTCTCCCTCCCTCTCTCTCTCTTTCTCTCTCTTTCCCTCTCTCTCTCTCCCCCTCTCTCCCTCCCTCTCTATCTCTCCCTCTCCTCTCTCTCTCCCTCTCCTCTCTCTCTCCCTCTCCTCTCTCTCCCTCTCTCTCTCTCCCTCTCTCTCTCTCCCTCTCTCTTCTCTCTCTCTTCCTCTCTCCCTCTCCTCTCTCTCTCCCTCTCTCTCTCTCCCTCTGCCTCTCTCTCTCCCTCTCTTCTCTCTCTCCTCTCTCCCTCTCCTCTCTCTCTCTCCCTCTCTTCCTCTCTCTTTCTCCTCTCTCTCCCTCTCTCTTCCTCTCCTCTCTCTCTCCCTCTCTCTCTCTCCCTCTCTCTCTCTCTCCCTCTCTCTCTTCCTATCTCTCCTCTCTCCTTCTCCTCTCTCTCTTCCTCTCTCCCTCTCCTCTCTCCCTCTCTTCTCTCTCTCCCTCTCTTTCTCCTCTTTCTCACTCTCTCTCCCTCTCCTCTCTCTCTTGCTTACTCC
This sequence comes from Homo sapiens, assembly GCF_000001405.40. Lineage (NCBI taxonomy): Eukaryota > Metazoa > Chordata > Mammalia > Primates > Hominidae > Homo > Homo sapiens. The sequence goes on along the minus strand of NC_000012.12, from coordinate 127,568,477 downwards.
CCCTCTACTCTCTCTCTCCTCTCTCTCTCTCACTCCTCTCCCTCTCTCTCACTCCCTTTCTCCTCTCCCTCTCTCATCTCTCTCTCCCTCTCCTCTCTGTCTCTCTCCCTCTCCTTTCTCTCTCCTTCTCCCCTCTCTCTCTCTTTTTCTCTATCTCTCTCTGTTCTCTCTCTCCCCCTCTTCTCTCTCTCTCTCTCACTGTTGCTTTCCTACTGGACAGCACCATGCTATAGAAAACGCTGAAAAAAATTTGCATTATCCAAAAATATGTGTACTAGGAGGCTTCTGTTGGTTAGATGGTTAGAATAAATCCAGACCCACACCATGGTGAGGAAGACCCCATGACACTTCTTCTCTCTGTCCTCCTACCACTCTGGCTCAGCCCAATTGATTTTCTGCATGTTCTCCATACCAGTTGAGGTTACTGCTACCTCAGGGCCTTTGCACATGTGAGTCCCTCTGTCTGTAATGTTCTCATCTCCTGATACTGGTTTGAGCAACACCAGCATTCTACATTTGGGTCTTTGCTGCCATGCTGCCTGCTCAAACTCCCTTTCTATGACCACCTGCATAAAGCAGCCCTCTGTCCAGCAGCCTAGTGGTCTCTTTCCCAGTGGCCTGTTTTATATTGTTTTCTCCAAAGTACTCATCACCATCTGAAGGCTCATAGACTGTCCATACTCTGGAACAGAACCACAAGGGAAGAAATAGCATTTGTCTGGATGGCTCCCAGTTGAGGGCCAGGACCTTAGAACACTGCCAGGCACAGAAAGTGGATCAAGATCTGATTGATGATAAACAGAGGAGAGGCAGACAGACAACGTGGGGATGAATCCATTTACAGGTAATTCGATGGGTCAGCCTACTGACTGAGTGATCTAGCATCTAGAGTTCTGCAGTGACTTGAACCTACAGCAGGCTCTTATGAAAATGTTCCTTCTCACAACTGCTCCTTGTTTAAAAACAAACAAATACAAAAAACCCTAACCATGCCAATAAGTTTCCTAAGAATTTTATTAAATTATTAATTTATTTCTTTAGGAATTTTTTTTTTTTTTTTTTTTTGAGATGGATTCTCAGTCTGTTGCCCAGGCTGGAGTGCAGTGGCATGATCTTGGCTCACTGCAAGATCTGCCTCCCGGGTTCAAGTTATTCTCCTGCCTCAGCCTCCTGAGTAGCTGGGACTACAGGTGCCCGCTGCCATGCCCGGTTAAGTTTTTGTATTTTCAGTAGCCACAGGGTTTCACCATGTTGGCCAGGCTGGTCTTGAACTCCTGGCCTCAAGTGATCCACCCGCCTCGGCTTCCCAAAGTGCTGGGATTTCAGGTGCGAGCCACCGCGACCAGCCAGGAATTTTATCTTCCCACCATCTGAATTATGGGGAAATGAACTTTTTTCTTTATTTTTATTTATTTATTTTTATTATACTTTAAGTTCTAGGGTACATGTGCACAACGTGCAGGTTTGTTACATATGTATACATGTGCCATGTTGGTTTGCTGCACCCATTAACTCATCATTTACATTAGGTATTTCTCCTAACGCTATCCCACCTCCCTCCCCTCACCACATGACAGGCTCCGGTGTGTGATGTTCCCCTTCCTGTGTCCATGTGTTCTCATTGTTCAATTCCCACCTATGAGTGAGAACATGTGGTGTTTGGTTTTCTGTCCTTGAGATAGTTTGCTCAGAATGATGGTTTCCAACTTCATCCATGTCCCTACAAAGGACATGAACTCATCCTTTTTTATGACTGCATAGTATTCCATGTGTATATGTGCCACATTTTCTTAATCCAGTCTATCATTGATGGACATTTGGATTGGTTCCAAGTGTTTGCCATTGTAAATAGCGCTGCAGTAAACATACGTGTGCATGTGTCTTTATAGCAGCAGGATTTATAGTCCTTTGGGTATATGCCCGTAATGGGATGGCTGAGTCAAATGGTATTTCTAGTTCTAGATCCTTGAGGAATCACCACACTGTCTTCCATAATGGTTGAACTAGTTTACACTCCCACCAACAGTGTAAAAGTGTTCCTGTTTCTCCACATCCTCTCCAGCACCTGTTGTTTCCTGACTTTTTAATGATCGCCATTCTAGCTGGCGTGAGATGGTATCTCGTTGTGGTTTTGATTTGCATTTCTCTGATGGCCAGTGATGATGAGCATTTTTTCATGTGTCTGTTGGCTGCATAAATGTCTTCTTTTGAGAAGTGTCTGTTCATATCCTTTGCCCACTTTTTGATGGGGTTGATTTTTTCTTGTAAATTTGTTTAAGTTCTTTGTAGATTCTGGATATTAGCCCTTTGTCAGATGGGTAGATTGCAAAAATTTTCTCCCATTCTGTAGGTTGCCTGGAAAATGAAGTTTTTTTCTTGTTTAGTAGTTATAGTGCAGGTACCCGCAGTTTCTCCTTCTGAATCCAAATAATACGTGGCCATGTGTGCCAACGAATTCAAATCAAGAGAAGTCACCTCAAACCAGGCTCTACCTGGTTGATTCAGTTCTTCTTCTTTTTTTTTTTGAGAGGGAGTCTCGCTCTGTCACCCAGGCTGGAGTACAGTGGCATGATCTCGGCTCACTGCAAGCTCTGCCTCCTGGGTTCATGCCATTCTCCTGCCTCAGCCTCTCGAGTAGCTGGGACTACAGGCACCCGCCATCAGGCCCGGCTAATTTTTTTTGTATTTTTTAGTAGAGACGGGATTTCACTGTGTTAGCCAGGTTGGTCTCGATCTCCTGACCTCATGATCCACCCACCTCAGCCTCCCAAACTGCTAGGATTACAGGCATGAGCCACCACGCCCGGCCAATTTAGTTCTTTTGTAAAAACGTAAGTCATGGTCTTTGTCTGACTGTCAGTTTTGCCTCAGGATAGACTTCGTGGTTCCTTCCACCAATTTCAAAGACTTCTGACACATTTCTCAACTCTAAATTTACTGGTCACCTCTCTTGAGGGGAGGATAAAACAGCCCTGGCTGCTGAGTTACTGAGTTACAGATGGCAGAGCAGACGGAAAAATCCAAGCTGATTCTGCGTCACCTGGCCGGTCCACACTCCTGCAACAGCCTTTGATGCCAATGCCAGAGAGGTGAGGAAGTCACAGGAAGACAGGTTGGAAGCTTGCTATCTAAAGAGAAAGGAGGGATGATGGATCCAGCCCACAGATGAAATCAACCATCTGCAAAGAGTCCTGTCCATGAGAAGGTCCAAGTGGCTTCAGGACACAGAATCCAGGCTCCACTTTCCCTGAAGGTTCTGCAGATGAGGAGCTTTGGTCAGTGGCCCAGCCCTCCACGCTCCTCCCTCCTTGGCTGGAGGCTAGGCATCATCCAGGTCTCTGTCCGCATGTCCCCCAGCAGGATCCTCCCTTCACTCCCCCACCTGCCTGCTGTGAAGCCGACTCCACCTCAAGTGAGTCTCTACCTTCCCATGCTGTGCTATTGCCATCACATCTTTTCTCAGTCTCTGAGATGATCTAGCTTATTTTCTGGTCAATTGCCTCTCTCTCACTCTACATTGTGAACTCTATGAGCATGGAGGACTGGCCTACCTCCCTTAGTGTGGGATCCAGAGTGTTGGGCACAAGGCCCGGAGTTAGTAGATGCTCAATAAATACTTGTGGGAAAAATGAGTGGAGCCAAGTCAGCCCAAAGCCAAGTGTTCTTCTCATCTCTGCAGATACAACCTTAGGCAGGGAGGTCAACTGATTGGTGTCCTAAACAAAAAATCCCCCAAACACTTATTGACATAGATGATATAGAACAGACCCTGACTTTTGCCTCCCTGGTACTTACCTGCTTGCTAACAGAGATCAAAAATTGATCAGATAGAAAGTGGAAGTCCATGATGGCAGAAAAGATGGACTCTCATAGAAGTAGATGAAAGGATGGGGGTTAAACATGTGACAAAATCGCCTAGAACTAGACACAAGCACACACACACAAGGACAAGGATTACACACAAGTATTAAGTTGGTGCAAAGGTAATTGCGTGTTTTGACATTATTTTAATGGCAAAAACTGCAATTACCTTTGCACCAACCTAATACTTATAAAACTGGTGAAATCTGACCGGGCTCTGTGGATTGTACCATGTCAATTTTCTTTTCCTGACATTAAACAAGGTGTTACCACTGGGAGCCTGGACGAACGGTATACGATACATTTTTTTTTGTATTTTCCTCTGAATCTATAATTATTTCAAAATAAAAAGTTAAATAATGTATAATGAACACCCGTACCTTGTAGGGAGGGGATAGAGCAAGGTTATCAAGTGTAAAAAGGTAACAAAGGTATAGCAACACCAACCTCATATTTTCTTCTTGAACTAGTCTCAAAGATTTAAAGAGAACTGAGTACAGGTCACTCTCTTACTGTCTGGTTTTGTGTTATGCCCACTGTTAAATGGAGAGCCTGAAATCATCATGCCATTAAGGCTATATGTCTTCCACATTGGAGACTCTAGACTATAAGGTAAAAGTCCACTCTCCTCAGTCTAAATTTCATGGCTTTCTCCAGCAGACTCCACTCACCTGACCTGTTCATTCTGGAACACCATGTTGAGCCTCCCTCTTTTTTGCATTCTCACGTAGACTTGGACTCTTCCTTGGCAACGCTTATTACAACTGCAAACACAGAATCCAGTGTATCCCTGGTTGCCGATCTTCTACCTCTCCTATAACCATGCAAGTCCCACGCAGCAGGGATCATATTCTTTGTTCCTTTTATGCCTCAGGCATGTCATGGGGGCTCAGTCAACATTTTAGAAATATAATGGAATGAATTACTGCTCCGGAGTAGCTCAGGAAGCAATACATTCAGTGACCGTGTGGCCATTACTACCCTGTCTATTACAACTATGAATTAGACAAAGGCACCCCTTTCTCAAAATACTTTACGCCCATCTGTTAGCAAGCAAATCATCTGCTGATATGACGAGGACAGGACACTGTCTTGCCACCTGCTACTAAGCTGCTTTGCTAGACACTCAAAGCTACACCATCTACGATGGGAACAGCACCATCTTGATCACGGTGCATCTGTATAAAGCACAATCTATGGCATCATATTAGCACCTCCCGGTGCGTGTTCAGGTGGATATTGGCTGGGTCACTCAGTGGGCGAGAACTCTCAAGCTTCAGCAGGTGGGGGGACATCCATGGTCTTCAGTTTCTCTTCCTCTTGGGAGTTGCCTGCCCAGGGTGCTCCTCTGCTGTAGCCACCCCAAACCCCCAGTGCACCCTTCCCTGACCCTACATGGGATGAAAACTCCATTATGACTTTTGCAAGACCCATATAAATGTCAGGTTCTAAGGTCCACAGGGGGTTAAAAACAATATGAGTAAAGAAAAGAAAATAGTAAAGCTACTAAACTCTAAGTTAGCCCCCACCCTGAGAATGACATCATTGCTCAAAAATAAGCAGGGCCCAGACCTTGCAAAGAAAAAGACTCAGTGACTTTGTGGGCAAAGTGAGCAGGAAACAGGAGCCCTTTCTGCAGGGCCCTAGGCATGGAAGCCAAGACTATTGGTTTCGAAAGTGTTCACTGTGTTCCTTCCTAATGGGGTTACAGCAGATCTTGATCTGCTTATTCTAGACCAAGGCTTCCAGCCCAGGGCACATCGGCAGTGTCTTGAGACATTGTTGGTTGTCAGTTTTCAGGGCAGGGGAATGGCACCTAATGGGCAGAATGCAGGGACACCACTAAACATCCCAAAACCGACAGAACTCCCTCACCACAAATATCCCCACCCCCGGCCCCGCAAATATCAATAGTGCTGAGACTGAGAATCCCTGGTCACAATAGCTCTAAATTTTGCTGAGACGACAGTGAATGTACCAAGGGAAGGGGAGACGTTGCCCTTTTATCCATCAAAATGTCAGCGTAAGGGCCAAGCAGACGTCCTCCCCCACCAGTTCTTCTCAGTGGCGTGGGGGGAAACCCACCCTCACTCCTTTCTATCGGCTGCACTCAGTCTTCTACACCATGGCATGGATGCTACAGGATAATGACATTATCCACTATTGTAATCATTATTTTTTCATTGCTATTCGAAGAGAAAATTGCATAGGTTATTATATCAGATGGTGTTTAAAATGAGTCTGGGGTTCATATAAAATGCAATGTGCCAAGAACTATTACTGCGAGGAAGGTGGGAGGAAAAATGAGAGGTTATTTATTATTCAAGAAGCTGGGCACGGTGGCTCACGCCTGTAATGCCAGCACTTTGGGAAGGTGGGTGGATCATTTGAGGTCAGGAGTTCAAGACAAGCCTGGCCAACGTAGCGAAACCATGTCTCTACAAAAAATACAAAAATTAGCCGGGTGGCAGTGGCATGTGTGTGCTATAATTCCAGCTACTCGGAGGCTGATGCAAAAGAATTGCTTGAGTCTAGGAGGCGGAGGCTGCGGTGAGCTGAGATCGCGCCACTGCATTCCAGCTTGGGTGACAGGGTGAGACCCTGTCTCAAAAAAAAAAAAAAAAAAAATCAATCTATCTATCTATATATATATGTGTGTATATATATATATGTATATATATGTGTATGTACATATGTATTTATATATATATGAGGAGGTGGAAAGATATATATATATATATATATTCCACAGGGCTCATCCACCCACTTCCTTCCATCTTCACTCAAATGCCACCTTTCCAGAGAGAATTTCCTTGGACTCTCTCTAAATTACAAACATTTATCTTACCCATTTATATGCTATCCATTCCTGGCTTCATGTTATTTTTTCTTTTTAGCACTTTTCATGATCTAACATACTACTTACATTACGTATGTATTTTATTTTGTGGCTGCCTCTAAAGAATCTAAGTCCCATGAAGACGGAGATGTTGTTGTTTTGGTCCTTGTAAAATTCCCAGTTCCTAAAGTCATGCCCGGTATAAATAGGTTTTCAAAAAATATTTCTTGAATGAATTATTGAGGAAAAGATTGGAGAATTGTTAGTTACGTAGCCTTAATGCACCTACTGTTGCTAAAAATTTCAAAATGTTTCAACTATGTATGTCCTATTTTTCAAAAGAATAAACATCAGGAATCAATAAGAACAAAAATTCTACCTTACAAGTGATAAAGAAATATAAATAAAAACAAGATAATATTTTACTTGCCAAATTAGCAAGTATTAAAATAAATAAATTGGTACTACCCACTTTCAGTATGTATAAGCATTTTCTACACCACCAGTGAGAACATAAATTGGCTCAAATTTCCAGCAAAAATATTTTGTCAATGTATGGCAAGTCTCTAAAATTATTTACAAAAATTAAACTAATCATTCAATGTTAATAAGTAATCCAGGGAAATAAGACAGGTGGACAAAGACATATGAAAAGATTTATTGAAACTCTGCTTAATATCAAAAATTGAGAAAGTTTTTTAACTCACAAAAATAATTGGTTAAATAAGTTATATTTCAGCAATTTAGTAACATACTCTGGTCAATAAAACCCTGTGTATAAGCTTATTGAGGGGTGTAAGAAAAGCTAACAATAGATTCTCACGGTAGATTAAATGTTGCTACAATTCCCTGCCTCTCCCTGTGTTTACACATGCTTTCAAGATGGTTCAATCTTTTATTTTTCTCCTCGCACACTGGATGTTCTAAATCAAGAGCTAATAGAACACTGCTTATATTTGAAAGAGCTGAATAGTCATTGATTAGTCCATTCTCATGCTGCTATAAAGGAGTGGTCCAAAACTGGGTAACTTATAAAGAAAGAGGTTTAATGGACTCACAGTTCTGCATGGCTGGGGAGGCCTCAGGAAACTTACAATCATGGTGGAAGGGAAAGCAAACACGTCCTTCACATGACGGCAGAAAAGAGAAGTGCGGAGCAAAATAGGGGGGAAAGCCCCTTATAAAACCGTCAGATCTCATGAGAACTCACTCACTATCACGCGAACAGCAACATGGAGGTAACCGCCCCCATGATTCAATTACCTCCCACTGGCTCCCTCCCACAACACGTGGAAATTATGGGAACTACAATTCAAGATGAGATTTGGGTGGGGACGCAGCCAAACCATATCAGTCACTAAGGCCAAAATTAGTTGAACCTGGCCTTTCAACAGAGGTAACTAAAATGGAGAGGCTTAGCAGGGAGCTAACCCCATACAGCAAGTCAGTAAAGGGATGAGAGGTAGAGTTGTCTCCCAGGTCAGTCGCCAAGCCCTCCTGTCATATCTGTGCTTCCCCTGGGTCCTTTAGGTGATGTCACAGGGTGACTCAGTGTCCCTGAAAGGTTCAAAAAGCTCCGCACAGCATCCCAAGGAGTAGGCTGACCTGACATCCATTTCCATGGAGGGGACTGCTTGCCCGTTTCCCATCTTCTCTCCACAATAGAGCAGAAACAAACACAAGTTTCTCCTGCTGGTGATGCCATGAAAACAAAAACAGAAACACAAACTCCACAGTGAAACCCGTACCTTACGCTGCAGAATGTGAGAGGGCAACAGAGGACACGTGGACACAACCCTCTGAAGCAGCCCAGCAGGGGCGCCATGGAGCTAGTTAGGCCCAGAGAAGCACCGGTTTCCATTAATAAAGCAGATCAACCTCAAAACCACTTGGCAGCTGAGTCAACATCCTGCCTGCTAGCAAACAGGCGTTATTCATCTCCGCATTGAGAGCAGCACGTCACGACAGGATGCCAAGTCTATCTTCAGCAGTGGTGCTCCTGTTTATAGTTTATAGAAAATGATTTATTCCTGGAAACGTTCTAAGGGCTACATTTCCTGTTGGCTAAAAGCATCTTTCAAAGGAATCGTAACTAACAATAAATGCAACTGACCACCAAGCCTTTGGCACCCAGAATTCCCTAATACTTCACTCAGGTCAATTCAGGCCACACAGAAAAACCAACTCAGGGGCTGTGGGCTGCCCTTCAACATGACCTTAGCACTTCCTCTGTCACCACCTGTTCCCAGCCACCAGCACCCTCACCTGAATCTGATGGCAGCCTGCAAAGTAGCCTCTCTCCGTCCAGTCTTGCAATCCCTCCTCCCACTCCCCACACAGCACCCAGACTTCCAGTTTGATATTTTTTTAATGTACAAAAGTGAGATAATGTCACTCACCTGTTAAAAACCCTCCAGTGACTTCCCACTGTTGTTGGAAGAAAATCTAAACTCTCTCTATGGTCCTGGGAAGCCCCACATGATTGGCCATCTGTGTACATCCCTAATCTTATTTTGTAAAAATTTCCCAAACATTCAATGCATAGGAGCCCCACTGGCCTTTCTCTAGGTCCTGAAACACAACAGGCTCTTTCCCATTATAGACCCACACCGACACGGACCCCACAGCCTTGAGTGCTGTTTGCCCTACACTCTTCATCTCCTCACCTGCAGGACTTCACTTAAATGCCAAATTCTTGTAAAGCAGATCTTTTTTTCCAACTATAGATCGTAATCCATTATTGAGTCATGATGCTAAGATAGCTGGTATTCATGAGAACGTTTTAATAACAGAACAGAATATTGTTCTTAGAGGTAAAGAGTTTAACAAATAAAAATAAATATTTAAATATTTTTTAAAAGAGAAGAATAATGGAGGTCATTAGAATTTAGCCTCAGTGACCGTATCTGTCCCGTTCTCCCCTCTGCAGAGCAGCCTCCCTAGTCACTAAGGTATTAGTGCTTTAGGTGCTCCGTGCTGCCCCGCTCCGTCAATAACTGTGTGTGTAGAATTGGCCTTCCCTTCCTATGACCTCAGGGGCTCAAGAAGCTTTAGTGATGGTGACTGTCAAACTTGGAGGGCCCCTCAATGTCATAAATACACCAGACAGATTGAAGATGGGGGAAATCTCTCTCTCACACACACACACACCAGCAGCTGCTGACCCTAGTTTCCAGCACATGTTTTCTGCTATTTATTCTCCCAGTCCACGACACACTGGTGGCTGTCTTTAATGCACAGTGAGTCCTTCTGTTTTCTTGTCTGACTAGGCTGGCAACAGCCAGCGCCACATCGTATGAAGTCTTAAGACAGAGCTGTCTCTTTCCTGGAAATCAGAAGGCCTCCTCCTACTGCCTGTTTGACCTTAAGAAAGTCACTTTTGGCTCTCAGATTTTCTCATGGGAAAAATAAAGGGGTTGCTTTCTGAGAACTTTTAAGTCCCTTCTGCGGTAGGGACTTAAATATAGATATAGACCCTTCTGGTCTATTATCTTCATTTCAATAACATGTTTTTTCATCTTCCTGAATCCTCAACAAGGCAGGACATTGTTAGTTCCAAATGACAAAAATTTGCATTTTAAAAATGTAATATTTAAGTGAAAAAAAAAAGAAAAGGAAGCCATGGAATCTTATACAGGAAAAGTCCAGGGGTACCTCCAGGGACCTAAAGCAAGTCATCAGAAGACTGTTCCTCTCCATCTTTTCCCTCTACTGTACCATCTCTTGTGTTGATTTCCTTCTCAAAAACACTCTTCTTTAGTAGAGGCAGGATGGCATTTAAAAGCTCTGTAGTTTCAAGACAAGTCCTGGGAAAATTCTCACTGAAGCATTTGTGATTAGGTGGCCACTTGTGAAGTGACTTTGGCGGCCGCAGAAATAGAATGTGTGGATTGGACGGACCAGGCGTCGGCCCCACCCAAAGCTCACAGTTTGGGAGTCAAGGGGAGATGGTTCTCCAAGGGAAAATTGGTCTAGAGTGGACAAAAGGGAGAATGTATGTGTTTTTCTTTTTCTTTTCTTTCTTTCTCTCTCTTTTTGTTTTAGATGGAGTCTTGCTCTTTCACCCAGGCTGGAGTGCAGGGGCACATTCTTGGCTCACTGCAACCTCCACCTCCTGGGCTCAAGCAATTCTCCTGCCTCAGCCTCCTGAGTAGCTGGCACTTTACAGGCATGCACCACCACACCCAGCTAATTTTTCTATTTTTAGTAGAGACAGAGTTTCACCATGTTGGCCAGGCTGGTCCCAAACTCCTGACCTCATGTGATCTGCCCGCCTCCACCTCCCAAAGTCCTGGGATTACAGGCATGAGCCACTGCACCTGGCTGAGAATGTACGTTTTATGAGCAAAACAATAGCTGCCACTCCCAGTGTGTCCTAGCTGGAGAATCAACCTTCACGATCACCTTCCCTGTTTAAAAAAGTCTATCCAAAATGATCTATGGATCCTAGTTTACTGGAAGCCAAACCTGGTGATTACAATTCCGAGCCATGCAATCATTTGACCCCGAGGTGACATTTAATTCAAACCTTTGTTTACTTGTTATATTTTATATTCTCTCAGTATTGATCTCTTGTCTATGACTTGGGTCTTACAACCACTCTGAGATTGGGTACAATTTTCTTGATTTTTTAGGCTCTACCTACTCCTAACTTTTACCCTCTATCCTGATCCCAATATTTTGTGCTTGCTGTTTTTCCTGCCCCTTCTTCCTTTTATTCAGGTCTTTGCCCACATAACATCTTCTCAGAGAGTCCCTCCTGGATTTATAAAATTGTGGTTATTTCCTGGTTAGTTCATCTTCACTCTTAGCTTGACCTCCTTAGCTTCTACCTCCTGGCACAATATATGCGTTCACCTGTCTGTGTTTCTGCCATTTGTCTGTCTCCTCTTTCTTCTGGGTTCCTTAATCTGGGATCTGTGGATGGAATTTAGTTCTGTGGACTTTAGTTGACAAAAGGGAAGGAGTCACAGTTTTCACTTTCATTAAATAAGTTTTTACTTTCATTCAGCATTCTCTTCAATTATGATTACAGTATGATTAGCAGTCTACTGCTCATACTATTAGGTTTGTATTGTTGTGTAATCATAGGCCAGTGTCTTTGTCACCAGTGCAAACTGCACACATTTCCATGTTATTTTAAGCTCAGCAGATGATTTGAAATAACAGCTTTTTTGCCACTGTAGAGAAAATTCTGAGGTATATCCTATAGTCTCTGTGAGGCCTGAAGCAAGATTAGTGCCCAGCTGCCTGGTGTTAACCTAACCATTAACACACTTCCATGGACTTCCCTATGTTACTTCCCCACTTCCCTAGAAAACTACTTTTATGCAAATTTTTGTCTTAGAGAACTTTTGAAATAACACAAATGAAACCAGTTCCTCTTACCCCACAGAATATGATGTTATATTGTCATTGTCATGTGAACTTTTATCCAATAGCTCACATAGCAGGTGAGATTTATTTTGAAATAGAATGAGACAAAACTAAACTGAAAAACCAACAAAAAATTTCAAAAATCTTCAATCAGGTGTTTATGTCTTCATAGTTCCTGGGGAATAAGGTACTAACTTTTGCATCAGCTTATGACCCATGAAACTGACCCTAAGTGACTCAAGTGGGTTTAAAGCCCTGGCAGTCATCTGCAAGCACTCATCCAACATAGAAAAATGAACACTTTTTTTGCTATGTGGGTTTACTTTACATTTGTAAAGTATTTAACATAAAGTTTTACTGTATCATGATTGAAGACACTATGGAAGCATTCAAACAAAACGGATGTTGAATTGATACACATAGCCTCAAATTTCTCAATAGACCGGATATAAAGAAACTCAGAGATACTTGCAGTCTCAAGAATGCAGACTCACAGCCTGTGGGTGAGCCTCTGTCCCCTGTGGGTGGATGCTATCCACCATGCAGAGTCAGTCTATGGATGGTCCCCTCTGGGCCCTAAATGCATCCTTCAAAGGAGCCTGCCCCAGAGCATGGGAACATTAGAAAGATGGCTGGGAAGACCTTCCTATGAAGATGACACCTGGGCTGTGACTTGAATGAAGAGAGGAATTAGCCATTAATAGTGAAGGAAAAGCAGGCTTCAGGCTGAAAGAGGAAGAACTAGAAACAGGAATGGAGATGTGGCATTAACAAGGCAGGACAATACTAAACAGAGTGGTATTCAGGTGCCAAGTGAAGAAGGGGTTTGAAGAATAAAGGGATAATCAAACCCTGTTTAATGCTGCTGAAAGGTCAAGACAAAGATTTGTACCTTCAACATTCAGACCTCACCATCAAAAATGAAAGAGCACAAGGCCCTTTGTAAATATAGATCTCTATAACAACAAAAAGGAACATTATCTTTATAAATTCGACAAGTATTCCCCCTTTTCCTGAGTTCAAAGGTGTTCAGTTAAGCTTTCAGATCGTGGGATGAAGTGTCACTGGGTCAACACACAGGGGCAAAGTCTCCAGGTGCAAATAAAATGAAATGACACATTGGGATGCCACAAACCACATGTCAGCAGTTGACCCTTTCAATCGCTATGCTGAGAATTGTCATCACTCTTGAAGAGTCCAGGCAAGGCTTGGGCCTCTGACTATCCAGAGTGATCCGGAGAGAAAAGGGCTTCAAACTTCACTATCTTACTGGAAGTGCATAGTTACTTTCACCCACAGGCCAGCTAAACTCCATGCACATGGATGAAGGGTCACTTAGCCGACCTCCTCAAGGCTCCTCCGTGAAGGATCTCCCTAAAATGGGGTCATGTTTCATTTTATGGAAATTAAGCAGATGTACAAGTTAAACTTTAATGCCAATTTTTAAATAAAAATTTTATAATAGAATCTATTTTCATTATTTGAACATCAAGTTTATTTTTGCAAAAATGTAGTCACCTTTCTATAAAGAAAACTGGTGGCCAGGTGCAGTGGCTCACGCCTGTAATCCCAGCACCTTGGGAGGCCGAGGTGGGCGGATCATGAGGCCAAAAGATCGAGACCATCCTGGACAACATGGTGAAACCTCATCTCTACTAAAAATACAAAAATTAGCCTGGCGTGGTGTCAGGTGCCTGTAGTTTCAGCTACTCAGGAGGCTGAGGCAGGAGAATCGCTTGAACCTGGGAGGCAGAGTTTGCAGTGAGCCGAGATAGTGCCACTGCACTCCAGCCTGGCAACAGAGTGAGACTCTGTCTCAAACAAATAAAAAAATAAAAATAAATAAATAAATAAATAAAACAACCTAGAAAACTCGTTAGGAAAAATGATTCTGATTTCACAGAAAGAATAATAAATCTACCTACTGAAGATGTGTTTTCAATCCTGATCTGCTGCTAAACTAGCGTGGCAGAGACACCAAAATCCACACCGTGGCTCTGCCAGTTTCTTGCTGTGTTGCCTCGGGCAAATCACCCTCAGCTTTCTCAGCTGTACAATGGGGATAATTATATCTTCAATATGGAAAGCCGTGAGGATTTAAAGAGAAAAAAGATGTCAAAGGCACAGCACAGGTGCCAGCACACATTAAATGGTATCATTGAGGGTAACTTTGTGGCTAACATCATACATTTTTGGGTCATCTCATTCCAAAGTAGATTTTGGTCTTTGGAATGGGATGACCCGAAATGGTATCAGGTTGCTGGAGTGCTATATGATTTGTAATATGTGACAGTTAGGAATTTCACTTGCCTGCTTGACCTTCTAGAAATTAAATGGCTTAAAGAGCTTGAAGAAACATACCTAACTGTGAAAAGCTGCATAAACATAGCATCATTATTTAGGATGCCTGGCAATGCTTGGACCCCTCACTCCATGCTAAGCACCATGCTAAGAACTTTACATACAGTAGTATCTCATTTAATCTTCCCAATGGCAGTGTGTGTTAAAGATGTTTATCATACCCATGACTATAGGGATATTAGCAAAACATGATTTTTTTTTTTACTTATAAGGGAATTTGTCATGAACTTCACTCACTCAGTGTGAGTAGATACATTTGTTCCCTGAAGAAGTTAAGAAGAAAAGAAACAGGCCAGGCGCGGTGGCTCACGCCTGTAATCCCAGCACTTTGGGAGGCTGAGGCGGGCGGATCACGAGGTCAGGAGATCGAGACCATCCTGGCTAACACGGTGAAACCCCGTCTCTACTAAAAATACAAAAAATTAGCCGGGCGTGGTGGTGGGCGCCTGTAATCCCAGCTACTCGGGAGGCTGAGGCAGGAGAATGGCATGAACCCAAGAGGCGGAGCTTGCAGTGAGCCGGGATAGCGCCACTGCAGTCCAGCTTGGGCGAAAGAGTGAGACTCCGTCTCAAAAAAAAAAAAAAAAAAAAAAGAAGAAAAGAAACAGAAGATAAAGTTGAAGCATATTCAGTTTTTAATAATGGGGAATGAAGTGACCACATCTCAGCTATATTGATCAATGGAAGAAGATAGACAATTAAATTTTCATTCAACATTTGAAAAGTGTGTTCATAAAACAAGGTATACCATTTATTAATTAGAATTTGAAATAGTTTTATATGTAAGAAAACCCCAAAATAACAGTGGCTTAAGTAAAATAGAAATCCATCCCACTCTCATGTAAAGAAGCCTGAAGGTGAAAAATCCAGACTGATATCACAACTTCATCATTATCAGGAAAAAAACCCAGGGTGCTTCTACCTTTATTTGTTACCTTTCCAGCCTGAAGCCTACATTTTCAAGGTTCCTCATTGTCCAATATGGCTGCTGGAGCGCCAGCTCTCTCATCCAAGTTCAGAGAAGCAGAAAGAAGATAGTAAGGAAAGACAAAAGGGTTAATTTTCAAACTGAATCAACTCCCTTTATTTAGCCACCCAGAAAGTAACCCATGCACATCCACCAAGATTAAGTTACAAGGCCATACAGGAGATGCTAGGAACTCTGACTTTTAATTGAGAACATAACTGCCCCACATAAAATCAGGTGTTATTAAAGAAGTAGAACATGGTTATCGTGTAGACAGCTAGCCATCAAAAGAACCTTGAAAACATTACACAGTTAGTGCTCAGACAGAAATTTGAAAGAGATTATATCCTGCTCTTCCACCAAAGTTGTAATAAAATGTTAAGTTCACTCTGTGGACATATGGATCAAAAAAAAAAAAAAAAAAAGCAAAGTGGTCAGGTGCCCTTCTTCTTTTCCCATCCTCCTCTCCTCCAAGGCTTCTACTGTTCTCCTCTGTACCACTGCCTGAAAGTGGTGTCCCATCACTACCCTGAGTCCATCAAAGCTTCGTGAGTCTACACTGGGGTTTCGTGTTCACGCCTTTAGAAAACACCGTGGATGTCACAAAAAGTCTCCAACACGGAGGAAGCAATAATTACATGGAAGAGCCACAGTGCAATTTCCCTGCAGATTTTACCCTTAATTATGATGAAGGGTGAGGTAAGCCTGATAACGGCCCCTAAATATGTCCACATGTTAGTCTCCAAAACCCTTGACTATAATACTTTACGTGGTAAAAGGGACTTTGCAAATATGATTAAATTAAGAATTTTGAGATAAAGGGATTTTCCTGGATGATCTGGGGAGGCCCAACGTATTCACAAGAGTCCTTATATGAGGAAGGAGCAGGATTAGTGTGGAGAACTCTGTGATGTGATAGAGATAAGGCAACATGCCGCTGGAGGAAGAGGCTCCGCCATGAAGAGAAGAGAGCAGAGTTCAGAGGAGAGAAGATCTGAAGATGCTGCAACGCTGTCTCTGAAGATGAAAGGAAGGGGCCGTGACCCTGCATTCACAGGAGGCGTCTAGAAACTGGGAAAGACAAAGAATGAATTCTCCCCTAGAGCCATCAGAAGGAAAGCAGCCCAATGACCTGTTTTATATTTTTTACCTCCAGAACTGTAAAGTAATAAATTTGTGATGTTTTAAGCCTCTTAGTCTGATAATTTGGTACAGAAGCAATAGGACACTAACATAAAGGGTATCTCAAACACCGCATCAGATGACTCTGCAGTTGGTGCTGGATATAGTTGGGCATCTGGGTCAGGTAGATTTGCCATCAAGGACATATTCGAGGTTGACTACTGTGTGGCAGCTAGCTTTCCCTGAGCAATGTCAGGTGCCCTCTGCACCCTGGTATCACAGGCCGGTGCAACAAAACTGGCCTTAAGGGAAAGCACACGGAAGAATATCAAGGAATAACAATAATGACAACAGCTACTCGTCATAGCCACATGTGTTGGATGCTTGCAGAATGCCAGGTTCCTTCTAAGCACACTCTGTGCATCCCCTCACTTGATCCTCAGCCTTGGGGTAGGTGCTGGAATGTGTCCATTCAACAGAAGAGGAAACCAGAGCACAGAGAGGTTCAGCCACTGATATGGTTTGGCTGTGTCCCTACCCAAATCTCACCTTGAACTGTAAAAATCGCCACCTGTCAAAGGCGGGGCCAGGTGGAGATAATTGAATCATGGAGGCAGTTTTCCCCATTCTGTTCTCATAGTAGTGAATAAGTCTCATGAGACCTGATGGTTTCATAAATGAGCATTCTTTGGCACAAGCTCTCTTGCCTGCTGCCATGGAAGATGTGACTTTGCTCCTCATTCACCTTCTGCCATGATATTGAGGCCTCCACAGACATGTGGAACTGTGAGTCAATTAAACCTCTTTGCTTTATGAAATACCCAGTTTCAGCTATGTCTTTCTTAGCAGTGTGAGAACAGACTAATACAGCCACTTGCCCAGGATCTCAGAGCTAAAAATGTGCTAAGCCAAATTCAACTCACTGGTGTCTGACTCTAGAGACACGGCTCCTTGCTTCTGTGCTATGTGGTTGCCCAGGGATGGGCTGATCTTCTTCCCCTGCCCTCATCCAGTCATGCAAAATGCAATTGCCCCACCCTTAGAGGAATAAAGGTGGAAGGCAAAGAGATAGTGTAAAAACTAAACACAGAAGGCGAAAATAAATGAAGCAAAATGATGGGAAAGGAGGGAGTTAGACAGAAGGGAACACCCCTCAGTTTACACCAAGGATCAGCCTCAGAGCTGAAAAACGATTCTGAGAAAAAGCCTTCTCATTTTCCCTTACAACACACAATATCTTCGCCTCCCCACACTTACCTACAACTGTAGTTTAAGCAAGACTCATGGAGGGGCTCCAAACATACATCAACTCTGCTATTTAGGTCCTCAGCCATGCCCGGAATGTTGTGCTTCGACTTTCGAGGCTAGAAAATGCCTGTGTGTCCCTCAAGACCTCATTACTCAAGGCCTGGCAGAATGACTCGGTTTCTTTCTTGCCTCCCCAAGCCCTGCCCTAGGTGTTCCCACAGCATGTGGTCCCCGTGGCTCTCCAGCTTTTCCAGGCTGGACTGGAAGCATTCCTTTTTATGTGACTGCTGACACATCTAGTCTGGTGGATTGTCAGGAGCAGGTGACTCATCTATTTCCAGTGCCCATTACCTCTTGTCTTGCCCAGGGTTGGGATATAGGAGACACACAATACATAATCATTACGTTCTAGCATTTCCTTCTCATCGATGCGAGGATTTCAAGAAAGATTTCTCAAAGAACTACCATTTCTTTGTAGTTCTTTGTAGTTCTCTCAAAGAACTACTATTTCTACCAAATAGAACTACCATTCCACCCAGCAATCCCACTACTGGGTATATATCCAAAGGAAAATAATGTATTCTATCACAAAGACACACGAACCCATATGTTCATTGCAATGCTGACATAGGATCAACCTAAGTGTCTATCAACAGTGGATTGGATAAAGACTATGTGGTACCTGAACACCACGGCATACTATGAAGCCACAACAAAAAACAAAATCATGTTCTTTGCAGCAACATGGATAGAGCTAGAGGCCATTATCCTAAGTTACCTAACTCAAGAACAGAAAACCAGATATCACATGTTTTCAATTATAAGTGGGAGTTAAACATTGAATACACTTGAACACAAAGTTGGGAACAAGAGACACTGAGGATCACTAGACCAGGAGGGAAGAAGGGAGGGAGGGGGCCATGGCCTAAAGAATCACCTGTAGTCGGAAACTATGCTTACTGCCTGGGTGATGGGATTGTTGGGACCTAAGGCGTCAGTGTCAAGCAATTTATCCATGTAACAAACCTGTACATATAATAAAAGCTAAAATTTTAAATATATATAATGACCGAAAAAGTTCATTTGTCACCCTGAGGTCAGGAGTTTGAGACCAGCCTGGCCAACATAGTGAAACCCTGTCTCTACTAAAAATACAAAAATTAGCCAGGCTTGGTGGTGCATGCCTGTAATCCTAGCTACTTGGGAGGCTGAGGCAGGAGAATCGCTTGAATCCAGGAGGCGGAGGTTGCAGTGAGCTGAGATCGCACCGCTGCACTCCAGCCTGGGCAACAGAGCAAGACTCCATCTCAAAAAAAGACAAAAAACGTTCATTTGTGCCATTTTGTAATCCCTCCTGCCCACCTCTCCCTGGAGTCCCCACTCCCCATCGGCACACAGTTGCTGACCGACCTTCTTACACTGCAGATTTGTTTGCATTCTCAATGATTTTTTAAAATGCAGTCATACATTTTCTGCATAGCTTCTTTGATTTAGCATAAGTATGTCCAGATCTATCACTATTACAGCATATATCAAAAGTAACTTCCTTTTCATAGCTTAGTAGCATTTTGTTATGTGTATTAACTTTTTTTTACAGCTTAGTAGTATTCGTTATACCATTATTTGTTTATCTAGCCACCTATTGATGGGCATTTGAGCTGTCTCCAGATTCACACTAGTTCAAATAAAGCTGTTAAGAACATTCATGGAAAGTCTTTGTATGAACATACAATTACATTTCTCTTGGGTAAATACCTAGAAGTAGAATGGCTTCATCATAGCAAAGTCGTATGTTTCCTTAAAAAAAATAAAAGTGGCTATACCATTTTACCTTCCACAGCAGAACATTCCAGATTCTCCAAATCCTTACCAACACTTGCAAAATATTTTTTAAAAAATTTAATAGATTCTTTCCATGCACAGCTAATTTTTTTATATTTTTAGTAGAGACGGGGTTTCACCGTGTTTGCCAGGTTGGTCTCCATTTCCTGACCTCATAATCCGCCCGCCTCAGCCTCCCAAAGTGCTGGGATTACAGGCATAAGCCACCGCGCCTGGCCTAAATTTAAAAATTTTAGAAGATGCCATTCTAATTGGTATGTAATGGTATCTCGTTGCAGTTTTAATTTGTGTTTACCCAGTGACTAATGATGTTGAGCATCGTTCTGTGTTCACGAATCCATTTGCCGTCTATCCATTTTGCTATACGAGATGTTAGTTACAAATGGTGCCCTTTGAACTGGAGCTCACATTGAAATTACGGAGCAATCAGCTGCAGCCTGGGAGAAGAAAGCTGAATAGATTGGCAGTAACATGAGAATGAGCCTTGTGGTGAAAAATGCAAGTGGCTTCTATCCAAATGACTTCTTAATTGTTAGTCATTTGCGATGAATGAGCTGTTCTGCCACTAACACGAATGGGCTGTGTCTCCTGCCTGTGATGGTGACAATTGCTGGGGCATGGTACTAAGATGAGTAAAGCCTTCCTAATAGAGGTCATTACCCTCCTCACCGAGAGGCAAAAAGACTACACGGGAAAGAGCTGGAACTCCGGTAGTACCAGCTCTGTGGTCATTTACCTCCCGACTGGCTGAGTGATGATGAGCAAATGCTCTCGGAACTCCAGGAAGAGCCAGATAATGACCTGAGCAAAATCTTCCTCCCTACCTGGGTCCCGGAGGTTAAGACGGACAAGGTGATCTACAAGGTCACCATCCAAATCAGACACAGTCTGTGAGCTTTTATCCCATGAATTTCGGCTATTTGAGGCAGGGGTAAATGTGAAGGAAAGGCAGACGGGTGGGTAAATGACAGAAGCCAGCCTGGTTGGGGTGGAGGGAGGTGTGCTACCGAGAAGAGGGCAGTGGTGGAAGTGTGGATTCTGGCCAGCACTACTCCTTCATTCTCTCAATGGTGTCATCTCCGCTTGGCAGACAGGAAAGTAGAGGCTCAGAGAGGCTCAGGGATTTGGCCAAAGTCAGACTGCCACTACCTTGATGTCTGACTTTGGCAAGTTCTTCAAACTCTCTGCCTCTGCATCCTTGCTTATAAAATGGAGACACAACAGCACCTATGCAGGAGACTTTTGCAAAGCCTCCATGAGAAAATAAACGTGTGAGCGATTATCG
This sequence comes from Homo sapiens, assembly GCF_000001405.40. Taxonomy (NCBI): domain Eukaryota; kingdom Metazoa; phylum Chordata; class Mammalia; order Primates; family Hominidae; genus Homo; species Homo sapiens. The sequence continues at coordinate 127,547,576 of NC_000012.12, read as the reverse complement.
TGGATAATCTCCATTATGATGGAGAGAGGGTCTGGGGTTTCTGTTTATTGTTACCAATGAATGATGTAAATCCACTTTTGCTAAATCTTTTTATTTTTTTAAATGTTAATCCATAATGCTTGACTCCAAATAAAATTCCTAAAATCAAACCTTGAAAATTAAGTCAAAAATATACAAATATGTAGTGGGCCAAAAGATGTTGTGTTGAGCCCACAGGTTTACAGATTGCAATCACATAGGCATGTCACGTGGAATGAGGCAAGCTCGTAATTTGAGAGCTCCAGTGTTAACCACATTGCTGCCACTTTTCCTCTATTGTTGACCATGTGTTTACTAAGTGCAGGACTCTCTGATCAGCACCACTCTTATTCCCTCAGAAATATCACAAACTTGGCAGATGAGGAAATAGAGGCTCAGAGAGGTTCAGGGATTTGGCCAACGTCACACAGCCAGTAAGTGGCGAAGCAGGGATTTGAACCTAGACCTAGAAGTGTCCATATGAACTCTGCTCCAGAGCCTCTGCTCCTGCTCTTTCTCTGGACTATCCACTTTTTCAACCTGCCTGCCTGGGGGCAGATGATGGCCAAACTAAAACTGGACCAGATGTCTTCACTCAGTACTGAACAGCCTGGTGAGGTGTGGACAGACATCACCCCAGGCAGGAGGGTAAGCTTCCCACCTTGGCCCCTGCTGCCTTGAGTGTGGAGAAACAGCCAGCGATGAACTGGGCTAAGCCCCAGGTAGCTCATTTTGTCAGTGTTTCTGCTTAGGCATCATTAAGTAAAAGTTGTTGTTTGTCCTACAGACGAGGCTGTTTCAGCTTGTGTATGTCCTTGTTGATGTTTAGAAGTCCCATTCAATTTAAATCTTGCAAGGTGGCTCAAAATATTCTCAATGACTCTAGGATATGATTTTGCATCTTCATCAGCATTCCTGCTGCAAATTCCCAGGTAGGCATCGACCGTATCAGAGTTTCCTCATCCTATCAGGTGATATTCAGTGTTCTAAAAAGTCAGGGACTTATTACAAGGTCTCCCCTTCTCTCATAATTGGAGTCAAGGTCATGCGCTGAATCAGGCAGGATGAAAGTGGTGGTTGGTCTATTTGTGACTTGAGCAGCCACAGAGCTAAGTCTTCTTGTTAATGATGACGCCCTTTTCTGGGGGCCATTTCAATGGCAGGATGTCTACCCTAGGATGTCTGGAATGCTCCCAGCCAGCAATAAAGCATTTGGGCTTATTAACGATGCAACACAAGGCAGTGACGATAATGACGACCTCAGTTCCAGGGAGGCTTAGCTTCACATTATGTCTCAGCCTTGGTGTCATCTTGGAAAAATAAATGTTTATTGGGTTTGTTGATTTGCTTTTGCTTTGAGGGACTTATTCTGTTATAATGTTGCTCCTTACTGATATATATATATTTTTCCATTTCAAAGCATTTACTGAATAGGTAATACATGTACATAACAAGACAAACAATATTAAAGGGCCCGTGTATAGAGAAACAGATCATCTTATGCTGGTAATGCTTCATTTCTTAGGCATATGTTAATTACAAGAATGCTCATTTGTTGTTATTTTTTCAACACTTATTTCGATTGTGTATATTCTTATGTGTATATATATAAGATACATATACATAAGTATATATGTATATATATAAGATACATATACGTAAGTATATGTGTATATATAAGATACATATACGTAAGTATATGTGTATATATAAGATACATATACGTAAGTATATGTGTATATATATAAGATACATATACGTAAGTATATGTGTATATATAAGATACATATACGTAAGTATATGTGTATATATAAGATACATATACGTAAGTATATGTGTATATATAAGATACATATACGTAAGTATATGTGTATATATAAGATACATATACGTAAGTATATGTGTATATATAAGATACATATACGTAAGTATATGTGTATATATAAGATACATATACGTAAGTATATGTGTATATATAAGATACATATACGTAAGTATATGTGTATATATAAGATACATATACGTAAGTATATGTGTATATATAAGATACATATACGTAAGTATATGTGTATATATAAGATACATATACGTAAGTATATGTGTATATATAAGATACATATACGTAAGTATATGTGTATATATAAGATACATATACGTAAGTATATGTGTATATATAAGATACATATACGTAAGTATATGTGTATATATAAGATACATATACGTAAGTATATGTGTATATATAAGATACATATACGTAAGTATATGTGTATATATAAGATACATATACGTAAGTATATGTGTATATATAAGATACATATACGTAAGTATATGTGTATATATAAGATACATATACGTAAGTATATGTGTATATATATAAGATATATATACCTAAGTATATATATATAAGATATATATAAGTATATATGTATATATGTAAGATATATGTACATAAGCATATATGTATATATATAAGATGTAAGTACATAAGCATATATGTATACATATAAGATGTATGTACATGAGTATATATGTATATATATAAGATATATGTACATAAGTATATATGTATATATATAAGTATATATATAAGTATATATATAAGTATACATAAGTGTGTGTGTGTATATATATACATAAAATATATATATATTTCTTTTTTTACAGATTCTTACTGCCAATCGTGAATCTTAGGACTGTAGTTTCCATCTTCCCCTTCTTTTTTATCTTTCCAGGAACAGTCTGTTCATATACAAATATACATACACTCACACACACAGAGACATGTAAAACACACATGTAGGTGAACGTAGTCTATCTTTTACACAAACAGCAGCATATGAAATAAAGTGGTCTGCACCTTGATTTCCACTTTGAGCAAAATATATTGGTGGATGTTCCATATCAATAGAGAGAATACTCTATCTCATTTTTAGTAACCATTGTACTGGTATATGATTACTTATTCCATATTTTACCCAAGACGTCTCATGAAGGTAGAAATTTTGGTTGTTTCCAAATTTGCTACAAAGAATAATGCTGTGATGTATACTCTTGGACATGCAAATCTTTGCCCTTGTAGGTTAAACTATCTGTGGGATAAAAGCCTAGGAGTGGAAATGCACTCCTAGTATCTTTAGTACACTTCCTTTCAGCTCACTCCTGGGCGGGCTAGTTCAGCTCTCTTGCTGAATGTCTCAGTAACCAATTGAGCAGATCCTCACTGTCTCCACCCACACCTGACAGAATCTATTAGGTTGGTGCAAATATAGTAACTTCGCAGATTAAGGTAGCCTGGTTCATACATCAGCAAAAACATCCCCTTTTTCGCTTTCCATAAAACTCTCACCACTTCCAGGAATACCAAGAAAACACCTTAAAACTGTTCTAATGGGAAGACATTAACAAGTGTTGTCAAGGGTGTGGAAAAACAGAAACGCTTATCATTGCTGTGGGGGAGCTTAACAGGTGGTAGCCTCTTTGCAAAATAGTTTTTCTGTTTCTGAAAACGTTACACAGGTATTTACCAAATGACCCAGCGGTTCTACTCATAGGTATCTACCCAAGACAAATAAAAACCAGTGCACACATTTGCACAGGAATGCTGATTGTTTCATTTTTCATCAAAGCCAAAAAGTGAAAACAATCAAATGTTCACCAACTAATAAATAGATTAAAAAACCTGTCATGTATCCCCACAATGGAATGTTATTTGGCCATGAAAAGGAATGAAGTGTTGACACATGCTACATACAACATGGATGACGACATGGGTGAAACTTGAAAACATGACGTGAAAGAAGACACAAGAGAGCACACATGATTCCACTGATATGACGCATTTATAAAAGGGAATTCTAGAGAGAGAAAATAGGTTAGTGATTGGCAGGTGCTGGGAATGAGAGCAGGGATTAATTCCAAATGAGTATGAGGGACTCTTATTGAGTGACAAAAATGTTGTAAAATTGGATTAAGATGATGATTGCATACCTTGGAAAGTTTGCTAAAAATTCTTGCGTTGCACACTGATTTATGCCAGACACTCTGGAGGATACACAGATGAAAAAGATACGATGATCTCTTCCCTCCCACTGCTGTGGATCCAATAAGGACCTGAACAGCAATGATTCTTCCAAAGTTCTTTATTATTTATGGACTTGGGCTGATATTTTAAAGCATAAAGATTTCACAATGAAGAAAATGGAGCTTTCAGGCTGGTCTTGCAATCTTGGTAAGTCTCCCGCACTATTTGCATACACCCAGATGACAGGAGCTAGGTGGGGCTGAGTCCTGGTGCCCTTGTTGGTTGGAAAGCAGCCTTCCAGTTCCCCAGGCTCCCTTCCCTCTCCCTTCTCCTCCCCAGCCTCTGCACACATCCACTTTAGAAACCTAGTTCCCTGGAGACATTTTCAGGACCTTTGACCTGTGTGTCCTTGGCTCTGTGCCAGGCATCATGGGAGTTGTGTGACCTTAGAACCCCATGGCTGGCATTGGGAGGCAAATGACACCACAGGTGACCATGGGTAAAGACGCAGATGGGTGTTCTTTCCACTCAAGCTTTCCATTTTGAAATTCAAATTTCTATTTTTCTTCCAGGCGATGTCTTCTCTGCATTTATAACAGTTTCATTTTAGCTTTATCTCACTTCTGTCTTTATCAGTTTGGTGTCATCTTGCAATGAAGAAGCATGCAGATATGGCCTCAGTTTGGGGGACTATGTTCAAAACACCCTGTGCCTTCACCCCTTGGTAGGTCAGAGGGACAGCACAGTCAGGGCAAAGCTGACCTCTGACAAGCAGAAAACAAAGGCAGCCTTACATAGCCAGATGCAGCCCCTCTCCCTGCAGAAGTGAACCTGCTTCACGAAGCTGCCTCTTAAACGGGAGTTCTGAATAGCCCACAGGGGACACCCAAATGGGAACTCTGTTCGGATGTGAAAATCATGAGGTGGCTGCATAGCTCTCTCAGAAATTAGACTATGTTCTGTCCCATTAGGTTTTCCACCGCCTGGGCAGCTCATTGTGCTGAGTAACTGCCTCCATCTGCAAGCTCTCGTCCCCTAGAGAGAGATCAGGACCTTATCATCATCAGCTATGAATGAGCTGCCTCATCGGCCAAAGGTAAATATTTTCCAGAGGTAGTGATAATTCTGGGGAGATCAGGAAAGTTTACCAAGTCAGTCCCAAGGTCCACAGAGGCCCCTTTCATGGTCTCTTCCAATTTTTCTTGCTCCTTTTCTGCTGTCAATTAAAAACCCTAGTTTTCTTCATGTAATTTTGAATAGGTTATTTTTTCTCAAGGGTCTCAGTGTCTTAAGCTTGCTATTTAATTGTGGAGTAAAACCTATGGTAGATTGTATTTGCCAAAAAAGCTGTGAAGGCACATTTTATATTATCTTAATGTGACATTAACACTCTTCCCATCCCAAAGTGAGGTCTACATTTCATTTCTCTTGAACTTGGCAGATCTGGGACCATAGTACAAATTATTCTATGTAACATGTGAGGTGAGATCACAAGAGGAAATACAGCTTCCACTGGGCCCCATTTGGGACCCTCACTCTTGCAATATGGCCGCCATTCTGTGAGGGACCCCACACCACATGAGGAAGCCACAGGTAGGCATCTGGCCAATGGTACTGGCTGGCAAGCAACTGCCAGACATGCGAGCAAACGACCTTCCAGATGACTTCAGCCCTGGCTATAAGGTCATTCCCACCTCCCACAACTGTCCCATATACCTAGCTGCGGCCTCACATCTCGTAAAGCAGAAAAAATCCATGCCCATCATTCACCTCAAATCAAAGATGCATGAACTACATAAATGCTTGTCCTTGTTTTAAGCTACTAAGCTTTGTGATGGTTTATTATGCAGCCATAGATATCCAGAACAAAATCCCTCATTCCCTATTAAAGGAAGTCCTTAGGAAAGTAGCAGAAGTCTGTAACTGGGCAGAACACACTTCCTGAAGCCCTGTTGCGCTCACAGATGCTGAGCTCTGGGCACTGTTCGTTGGCCAGATCCAGCCAGAATCCCAGAGACTGGGGCACAGGTCTCAGTCAACACTTGCTGAGCAAATGACTGACTGTTCCTTAGAGTTGCACAGCAGCTTGCAGTTTAGAAGGCAGAGTAGGACTTCCCTGTTGAATGCTGCAGACTGATCACAGGGTAAAGTCCCTTCTTCTCCTCCATGATTACATTTAAATGATGGAAAATAATAAGAAAGGTTAAAAACCAACCATCAACAGATCAACACCACCAATGCATTTTGGGAAGAAGAGAAGCAGAAGCAGTTGAATCCGTGACAAGGTGAGTGATATGGGTTGGCTGTTTCCCCACCCAAATATCATCATGGATTGTAGTTCCCATAATCCCCATGTGTTGTGGGAGGAACAAGGTGGAGATAATTAAATCACAGGGTTGGTTCCTCCCATGCTGTTCTAGTGATAGTGAGTGAGTTCTCACGAGATCTGATGGTTTTATAAGGGGCTTCCTCCTTCAATCGATACTCATCCTCCCTCCTGCTACCCTGTAAAGGGGTTCCTTCTGCCATGATTTTACATTTCCTGAGGCCTTCCCAGCCATGAGGAACTGTGAGTCAATTAAACCTTGTTCCTTTATAAATTACCTAGTCTGAGGCATTTCTTCGTAGCAGCATGAGAATAAACTAATACAGTGAGCTTTGTATAAGATAAATATAGACATAAAACTAAATGACTGCAAAAGCTGGGATTCCACCACAGCAGGCAAATATTCCAAATCTTAAACGATTAATGCAACTAATGAAGACATAGGGTAAAAGAAGTGGGAAGACTGCCAACTCCTTCATCTTTTAAAAAAGAGAGCCTATCCATACTATTATAACTAAAATTAAATCATGGAATTTTAAACAATAATAGCATCCATAACAATTATAACAATGGCTCTAGAAATTGAATTGTTTTTTGGCATAAACACTTTTTGTAACCTCAACATAATATTTTTCTTTTTTTTTAAAGTTCTTCATAATATTCTGTTTTATTTATGCTGTCTTTCATTCTTTTTTTTTTATTTTTTTGAGACAGAGTCTCGCTCTGTTGCCCAGGCTGGACTGCAAGCTCCGCCTCCCAAGTTCACGCCATTTTCCTGCCTCAGCCTCCCCAGTAGCTGGGACTACAGGCACCCGCCACCACGCCCGGCTAATTTTTTTTTTTTTGTATTTTTAGTAGAGACGGGGTTTCACCGTGTTAGCCAGGATGGTCTCGATCTCCTGACCTCGTGATCCGCCTGCCTTGGCCTCCCAAAGTGCTGGGATTACCGGCGTGAGCCACTGTGCCCAGCCCTAACATAATATTTTTCAAAACCAATATCTATTGTAGTCAGCTACACTTTGTTTGAAGTTGAGTAATGTCACTTCAGATTCTTGGTCTCCTGTTAAGCGTAAGTAAAAATAAATTTAGCACATTTTCATCAAAAAGTGCATTCAGAGTACAAGTTGCATTTTTATAATATACTATTCTCATTCGTTTGATGGTTTGTTCATACACATCATGCCTAGAATGACGCCTGGAATGATAAAGGTCGTCTGATATTTAAAATTAAAAAGTTTAAGTCTTATGATTTGAGATGATTTTTTTTTTGTTTTCATGCTTCTACACAGCTTGAAATTTTTATAATCGGCATTATTTTTAATAAAAGCCGAAGTTATTACCAAAACACATAGGGCCTTATATCTCCAAGGAGTTGGCAGTGGTGTTGGCTGATGGAGGCTAATGCACCTTTAAGGCTGCAAGCTTCCATGCGACCATCACATGCTGGTGGACAGGGAGGCTCGGCAAGGAGACTGAATTTATTCACAGGCCGCTGGTAGGCTGGAGAGGCGGGGAAAGCGGAGGGGAGTAACGATGTAATCCAGCAGGAAATCCATAAGCAGGGAGGGTCAGATGAGCCGCTGAGTGCTGGGGAGCAGGGCAGACACCACTGCAAGGTTGACGACAGTAAGTGTCCATCAGCCAGCGAGTGAATACATAAAATGTGCATCCCACAATGGAAGAGGATTTATCCACGAAAAGGAAGGAAGCCCCGATACATGCCACAACATGGGTGAGCTCTGAAAACATTATGCTAAGTCAGACATAAAACATTATGCAAGAAGTCAGACATACAAGCACAGACGGTTTGATTCCATTGATGTGAAATGTCTGGAACTGGCAAATTTACAGAGACAGAAAACAGATGAGTGGTTTCCTGGGCCTAGCAACAGTGGAGGATGGAGGGTTGGGGGGCAATAGGTACAAGGCTTCACAATGAAGAAAATGTTGGAAAATGGGTAGCAGTGATGATTGTACAACTGTGAATGTAATAAAAATCACTGAATCACACATTTAAAATGGGTGAGTTGTATGGCATGCCAATATATTAATATTAATAAGTGTATATATACACATATTTATATAATGAATATGACTATTTGTAGGAGATTTACAGTAGAGAGAAAGAGCTTAACATAATTTTAAATATCTCCTTGAGAGTAGGTTTTAATAAAAGCCACTAACAAATGCTAGAATCAGGAATACACTGTGCCAGGTATGAACCCCAAATATCTGAGACAGGTCTCAGTTAATTTAGAAAGTTTATTTCGCCAGAGTTGAAGGCACACCCGTGACACAGGCTCAGGAGGTCCCAAAAACATGTGCCCAAGGTGGTCAGAGCACAGTCTGGTTTTGTACATTTTAGGGAGACATGAGATATCAATCCACATACGTAAGATGAACATTGGCTTATTCTGGAAAAGGCGGGACAACTCAAAGCGGGGAGGAGGCTTCCGGGTCATAGGCAGGTAAGAGACAAATGGTTGCATTCTTTTGAATTTCTGATGAGCCTCTCCAAAGGAGGCAATTAGATATCCATTTATCTCAGTAAGCAGAGGGGTGACTTTGAATAGAATGGGAGGCAGGTTTGCCCTCTGCAGTTCCCAGCTTGACTTTTCCCTTTAGCTTAGCGATTTTGGGGCCTCAAGATTTATTTTCCTTTCACAAAGGAAGTGTGTAGCAACTTGTTCCTCCACCTCTTGGAGGCAGGCTGATGCAGACACAGCAGCTATACTCAGCCTGGGCCATGCGCTTAGAGCTGGTGTCTGCTCTGATTTGTCAGTGCTCGAGACATTCTTCTCTTAATCATTTTGAAATCAATTTTCTTAAATGTCTCCTTCTCTCTCTCTCTCTTTTAAAACATATAGGCCTAAAATGAAGGGAATCATTCATTTCCGTTCTCTTACTGTGCACCCAGTATTTTGTGAATTAAATATATTTAATCTTCCAAAATACCCTGGTGAAAGTGTTTGGGGTAGGATTTACTTTACCCATTATAGATAAAGAGCCTAAGGTCACATAATCCTAAGAAAATTGTCTAGGTTTTACTGCCAGTCAAAAGAGAGCTGGAAGTTGAACTCACGCAGTCTGAACACATTATATTATTACGCTTCTAAGGAAATTGAAGAATAGCAAGATGAACGCATAGCTACATTTATCACCTGTGTTCAGCAGCAGAGAAGCCAATAAAGTCTCTTTGAAGGCCAAGAGTATGCTCTGGCATTTCCAAGCAGGTGTCTCAGAACTGGAGGGGTGGGGGGGGGGGTTGGTAGAAATTTGGAAGCAATCCTTTGTCGTGTCTCTCATAGACAACTTGGTATTCATGACTTCGTGTTGTGATAAATAACCAGTTCACGCAACAACAGTGATGGTGCTTATTTTTTCAGAGGAGTTTATTGTCAGAGAACACAGCAAGCTGGGGATGTTACCACCTATAAGGGCTGTAAAACAGGAGCCAAGCGCCCTCCCGTCATCCCTCTCCCCCTCATTCAGCACTCATCACTCAACAAAACAGAACGATTCCAGTTTACAAGTCTGCTGTGGAGGTGGCTGCAATAGCTGCTTTTGAAGTGTATCATGAGTATTAACGGTGTTGACAGATCTCTAAAAATTTGTCATGACCCATTCTTGCCACAGAAACACCCAGAATTCTATTCATGGCTGGTAAACAAGTTTCGTTCATGAACTTTGACGAGATGCAGGTCAATTGAATGAAATACCTTTATCCTTTATTTCTCCTTCTTCTTTTACATTTAGTAGTAAAAGCCTGCTGTCTGGGATCAATCCTTTTGTACTCCTATATTTCTGAATGTGTGCTAGGAGATGGCATAACATATAAACCCTGTTATCTGGCAATCGTAGTAATAGGTTAACTGAAGATGCTTGTTAGTGTCATTGGCTATAATAACACTCAGCTGTGGGTGGCTGCCTTGCATCAGGCACCTTGGAAGGGTGGCCACTCTCTCAGCAGCAAGTGCATACAGCCTCATTTACAAAGTGTCTGGCTTTAATCTTATCCAAGAAAGGTGGTGATTTCTGGTCATTTTGCACAGTGTATTCACTGGACATGCATTCTCCTAGAAATTTGCAATTGCTTATTTCAGGTGAGGACATGATGATCAACTAGTTAGAACAATTCATATGTAACTGTGAGGACAGCTGTTTGCAAAATACCTTGCTCCTTCTACTTTATGCAAAAGCATGCAGCATCTACTTGCCTCAAGGTCATTCTGCAAACTAATGGCTTTCAAGCAGACTGCCCTGGGGTGCACAGCTTCAAACAATACTGACAATGTTGCTTTGGGAGGAAGACTATAAAATCTTACATAGTAAGAGATAATTAAAGATAACTTTTGAAGATATGGAAACTGATTTCTTGTCCTAATAAATAAAAACTAATCACACTACATAATGTGAAACTGTACTGTTCTTAATCACGATGAAGATTTATTAGTCTGTGGGAGTCAAGGTTCTATATTTCAGAGGTCACTGGAAATTTGAAAGGTGTAGGAAATTTGGCTAATCCTGTCATACAATTCAGATCCAAGAAGGCAAGACCAGGACACACCTGCTATCCACTCAATGCCTGCACTCGAGGCAGACTTTGCTAATCAATCACATACACTTTCTGTCAGAGGCCAAATTTGTCATCTGAATTTGTTTTAACTTTTAGTTTAGGTTCAGAGATAGGTGTGCAGGTTTGTTAGGCAAATTTTATGTCACAGGGGTTTGGTGTACAGATTATTCTGCCACCTACATAAAAAGCATAGTACCCAATAGGTAGTTTTTCTATCTTCACCCTCCTCCTGCCCTCCACCCTCAGGTAGGTCCTAGTGTCTGTTGTTCCCCTCTTTGTGCCCATGTGTTCTTGTTATTTAGCTCCCAGTTATAAGTGAGAGCATGCAGTATTTGGTTTTCTGTTCATGCCTTAGTTCACTTAGGATAATGGCATCCAGCTCCAACCATGTTCCTGTAAAGAACAAAATATCATTTTTTATGGCTGCATAGTATCCCATAGTGTATATTTACCACACATTTTCTTTATCCAGTCTACCATTGATGGCATTTAGGTTGATCCCATGTCTTTGCTACTGTGACTAGTGCTGCAATGAACATGCCCATACATGTGTCTTTATGGTAGAATAATTTATATTCTTTTGGGTATATACTCAATAATGAAATAATGGATATTCTGTTTAGATTCTTTGACAAATTGCCAAACTGCTTTCCACAGTTATTAGGCTGAACTAATTTACATTACCACCAGCAGTGTATAAGTGTTCCCTATTCTCTGCAACCTCATCTAGTAAACAACTTCAGCAAAATTTCAGGATACAAAATCAATGTACAAAAGTCAGCAGCATTCCTATACACGAACAAGGTCCAAGCTGAGAGCCAAATCAAGAATACAATCCCATTAACAGTAGCTACAAAAAGAATACAATTCTTAGGAATGCAGCTAACCAGGGAGGTAAAAGATCTTTACAATAATAATTACAAAACACTGTTCAGAGATGACACAAACAAGTGGAAAAACATTCCATGCTCATGGATAGAAAGAATCAATATTGTTAAAATGGCTATACTGCCCAAAGCAATTTACAGATTCAATGCTATTCTTATCAAACTACCAATGATGTTCTTCACAGAATTAGAAAAAAAAAATCTCAAAATTACTATAGAACCACAGAAGAGCCTGAATATCCAAGGCAATCCTAAGCAAAAAGAACAAAGCTGAAGGCATCATATTACCAAACTTCTAACTATACTGCAAGGCTACAGTAATCAAAACAGCATGGTACAGGTACAAAAACAGACACATAGACCAATGGAACAGAATAGTGATCCCAGAAATAATGCTGCACACCTGCAACCATATGGTCTTCAACAAAGTCAACAAAAACAAGCGGTGGAGAAGGGACTTCCTATTCAATAAATGGTTCTGGGATAATTGGCTAACCATATGCAGAAGATTGAAATTGGACCCCTTCCTTATACCACAGCAGTCCCTAATCTTTTTGGCACCAGGGAACAGTTTCATGGAAGACAGTTTTTCCATGGACCAGGGGTGGCAGTTGTTTCAGGATGATTCAAGAGTATTACATTTATTGTGCACTTTATTTCTATTATTATTACATTGTAATATATGATGAAATAATTGATTCTAGTACAACTCATCATAATGTAGAATCAATGGGAGCCCTGAGCTTGTTTTCCTGCAATTAGATGGTCCCATGTGGGGGTGGTGGGAGGCAGTGATAGATCGTAAGGCATTAGACTCTCATAAGGAGTGCGCAACCTAGATTCCCTTGAGTGTGCAGTCCACAATAGAGTTTGTGCTCCTAAAAGAATCTAATGCTGCCATTGATCTGACAGGAAGATGAGCTCAGGCAGTAATGTGAGCAATGGGGAGTGGCTGTACATACACATGAAGCTTTGCTCACTCACCTGCCACTCACCTCCTGCTGTGTGACCCCATTTCCTAACACAGACTGGTACTGGTCCATGACCTGGGGACTGGGGATCCCTGTTATACCATATACAAAAATCAACGCAAGAGGGATTAACAACTTAAATATAAAACCTATACCTATAAAAACCCTGGAAGATAACCTAGGAGTACCATTCTGGACATAGGCACTAGCAAATATTTCATAACGAAGACACCAAAAGCAATTGCAACAAAAACAAAAATTGACAAATGGGACCTAATTAAACTAAAGAGTTTCTGCACAGCAAAAGAAACTACAACAGAGTAAACAGACAACCTACAATGGGAGAAAATATTCACAAACTATGCATTCAACCAAGGTCTTAATATCCAGAATCTGTAAGAAACTTAAACAAATTAACAAGCCAAAACCAAACACCACCATTAAAAATTTAGCAAAGGGGATAAATAGACACCTTTCAAAAGAAGACATACATGTGGTTAACAAACATTTCATATGTTCACTCTAATCATTAGGGAAATGCAGACAAAACCACAATGAGATACGATCTCACACTAGTCAGAATGGCCATTACTAAAAAGTCAAAAAATAAGTTTTTAAAATCATAGTGCTCTTGTGATGAGTGCAACCAATTCATCCAAAATGACACGTTCTGGTTTCATCCTCAAACCAGAACAGACTTGAAAGACTGCAATGAGGGGGATAACTAGAAATGTAAACACCCTAAAAGTTCATCAATAGTAAAAGGCTTAATACCAATGACTAAATATCTGGAGTGAAGAAATATTTAGCTTCCTCATATTTTAACATAAGGAAGAACTACTACACTGTTTTGGAAAGTTCTCTAAGACTTAATTTGGGTACACAAACCAATGTATGCAGTATAATGCCCTTTATCTTACAACACACGCATATTCCAAATAATTCCATATTTTTTTACAACTACATACATATGTATGTAAAGAGATAGATAAAATATTTTGACAAAAATGCTAAAATGAAAACAGTGGTTAATTTGGGGAATAGGACTAGATTGGGGAAGCATTTGTCTAGATTATAGTCTTACCTGTAGTTATTTCACAAGATAATGCAATTCATATACTATTTAGCTGATTAAATCTTTTGCTTTTTTTAATTATGGTAAAATACACATAACATAAATTTTACCATTGTAGCCATTCTAAAGAGTACAATTCAGTGGCATTTAGTACATTCAAAATGTTGTGCAATCATCACCATTACCTAGTTTCAGAATTTTTCCATCACCCCAAAAGAAACTCTGTACCCATGAGTAGTCACTCCTCTCTGTGGATTTGCCTAGTCTAACATTTCATATAAGTGGAATAATACAATATATGGCCTTCTGTATCTGGCTTCTTTGAAAATTTAAACACAACAACAACAAAAGACTGAATCATGAGCCTTTAAAATTTTCAGCAACACCTTCTACCAAATCCAGATATCACATTAGATATTCCTTATATGTGAAATCTTAAAAAGTAGAACTCCTAAAAACAGGGAATAGCATGGTAGTTATCAGAAGCTGGGTGTGGGGAAATAAGAGGTGTTTGGCCAAAAGGTACAAATTTTCAGTTAAAAGATGAATCAGTTCTGGAGACCCACTGTGCAGCAAGGTGACTACAGCTAACAATAATATAGTGTATGCTTGAAATTTGCTGAGACACTGAATCTGCTGGCACCTTGGTCTTGGACTTCCCAGCCTCCGGAACCAGAAGCAATTGATTTCTGTTGTTTCTCAGCCACCCAGCTCACAGTATTTTGTTACAGCAGCTCAAATGAATGGGAATCTACATATTATGTTTACCTATATGAGTTGATGGCGAGAGTAGATATTAAGATTCAGCTTCTGGTAACAGTAGATTTTAAGTGATGTCACATCTATACCTCCCTCCCCACTGAATAAAAAGGGTAACTGTGTGAGATGATGGATGTGTTAATTAGCTTGGTGGTGGTAATAATTTCACAATGCATACATATATTAAAACCACACCTTAAATAATGCAATTTTTATTTGTCCATCATATTTCAATAAAGCTGGAAAAAAATTCATGGAGAAAATTGGTTTTCATTTTTCTTTCTTCCCCACCCCCAAAAGGTGGAGCTTCATAGCTGGCAGCCTTCCACAGCTCAACCAAATGAAGAAATGCTGTTCTTATGACAGAGTTCTCAGCAGATCAGGTTGTTTAAAACTGTATAGCATCTCCCCCTTTCTTCTTAGAAGGTAATGTAATTTCAGGGGGTTGTAGATGTTAGGATGTATACAACTGAAATTAATCGAAGTGATTTAATCTTTCTAAACAGCCTTTCAATAATATTGCACATTAAATGTTCATAGGATTTTCTTGAAGCAAATGTAGCAAGATACTAAATAAAAATAATCTAAAGACTTTCTATTAGAAAACAAAGACTTATATTAATAAATGGACACCAAAGGAACACTCATTGTTCTCCCTGCCCCAGGAACATTCAAAACATAAGGACACCGGAGGATGCGTGTGGTTCAGGCTCTGGTGTTTCTGTGCTCCCCAGGGCTTGCATCAGGGGCCTGGAGCTGAGACTCGATGACCAAGTGCAGCCCTTCCTCCTCCTTGCTTGCAGAATGAAATCCAAACTCATTCTTTGAATGCCGGAAAAAAAACCAGAATGACACTCCA
The DNA here is from genome assembly GCF_000001405.40 of Homo sapiens. Classification (NCBI taxonomy): domain Eukaryota; kingdom Metazoa; phylum Chordata; class Mammalia; order Primates; family Hominidae; genus Homo; species Homo sapiens. The sequence goes on along the minus strand of NC_000012.12, from coordinate 127,532,084 downwards.
GATAGCTTAACTGGAATAAGGGACTTATTTGTTGATGTAAATAGAAAGGATTTGTCAACACCCGGGTGCTAGGACTAACAGCAGCGGGCCACAGTCAGGAGAATATATAGTTTGATCTGAGCTCAGTGAAGCTGGGGCACTTGGAGAGGGGACAGGCAGAAGCTGCAGTTGTTCAAAGAGGCCAGATATGTGGTACAGAGAAAAAAAAGGAAAGAAAGCAAGAAAGATAAGCCCTGTAACACTCTCTTCTTCCACAGTCTAAATTCCGATTGAGGCCTGCACTTAGCTATGTCCCCTCCCCAATCAGCAAAGGAACCCAGGCAGGTGGGCGGGCAGTAGGGCTCAGTCTCTCAAGTCACGGAATGAGGCTGTGGATGCTGGAATGGGGAGAACAGGTCAGGAAGTGACAAATGTGGCTGGAGTGCAAAGCCTTTTATTTCTGAGCTTGTTTGGTGGCCTCCTTTCCAAATGTATCTCCTACAATATCCTTTTCAAATTCCATAACAAAGTGAGAAAATGTGCTCTCATGTACTGCTGGTGGGAGTGGAAATTAGTGCAGCCTTATTAAAGATTAACCTAGCAAGACCCATATAAAAACCCTTCGTGCTGGCCATTTCCTTAAGTACCTACTGACAAAGATGCAGCTATATTTTAAATGATATTCATTGTACATTTCACTGCAATGACAAATACTGACTACAAACTTAAATGTCTTTTCAATGGAAGAGGTGTTTTTCAATAAAATTATAATATACCCACAAAAGTCAATATTTTGCATACTCTGGAGTTATGTGATAGATTTATTTGTATTGACATGGACTATTTTGGGAAATAGTTTTAGCAAAACAAAGAAAGGTACAAACTTTCAGTTATAAGATGAATAAGTTCTGGAGACCTAATGTACAGCAAGGTGACTACAGTTAACAATAATATTGTGTATGCTTGAAATTTGCTGAGACATTGAATCTGCTGGCACCTTGGTCATGGATTTCCCAGCCTCCAGAAAAGTGCAGGAGTGGATAAAATGTTATTAATGTAAGCTAAAATATCTTATATATATAGCAGAATATTATTTTTGCTATATTAGTCAATGAGTCCCTCTCCACTATATTTCTCTTTTATTCAATTTAAACTGGACATTGACACCCAAGACCTCAGGGCTGTTGGAATCCAGCAGAAACATAGAAGGTCACTTTTCAACTCCAGAATTTCAAGTGAAATATCTTTCCAGCTGTAGAAATTAAGGGCAGAAGTAACAGCTTGAGAAAAGCATACATCTTATATTTCTGTTCTGTAATGCACACTAAAATGTGTAGTTATTAATCAGATCTATTAACACAGCAACTCATATAATTAAATCTAATATGTAGGTTCCCATCCATTTGCGCTGCTATAGCAAAATACTATGAGCTGCGTGGCTAATGTATCGCACACAGTTGTGGAGGTTGAGAAGTACAAGAACAAAGCACTGGCAGTTTTGGTGTCCGGTAAGGGCTTGTTTTCTGCTTCATAGATGGTGATTTGTTGCTGTAGCCTCATGTGGTAGAAGGTACAAGTAGCTCTTTCAAGCATCTTCCATAAGTATGCTAATCCCATTCATGAGGATAAAGTCGTATGACCTAATCACCTCTCCAAGATGTCACCTCCTAATATCACCACATCGAAGATTAGATTTTGACATACGGATTTTGGGGAGAAACAAACATTCAGATTATAGCAATGACTTAATTGTTTCTTGCTTGTCTCCTTTAATATAAACTTGGTGGGGTCAGGGACCATGCTTTTCTGCTATACTCAGTGATACGATTTAGATATTTACCCCTACCCAAGTCTCATGTTGAATTGTAATCCCCGGTGCTGAAATTGGGGCCTAGCAGGAGGTGACTGGTTCATAGGAGTGGTTTCTAATGGCTTAGCGCTATCCCCATGGTGCTGTTCTGGTGATGAGTTCTCAGGAGATCTGGTTGTTTGAAAGTGTATAGCACCTCCCCTTTTTTTCTCTTCCTCTTGCTCCAGCCATGTGAAGTGCTGGCTCTCCCTTCCCCTTCCACCATGATTGTAAGTTTCCTGAGGCCACCTCAGAAGCAGAAGCCACCATGCTTCCTGTACAGCCTGCAGAACTGTGAACCAATTAAACCTCTTTTTTTTTTTTAATAAATTACCCAGTCTCAGGTATTTCTTTATAGCAATGCCTGAACTGACTAATACACTCAGTGTACTATATTCAACATACTTAGTAATTAACTGTATTCAATACTAGTTAAAGACTAGGAGCGCTAAGTGTAATTTGTAGAGTAAATTAATGAATGGACAGATGACAAATGGCTTTATCCTTTCACAAGAAAGATGGAGAAACAGGCCTAAAAGAATGAATCCAACTTGCCGAAGACCATACCCCTTTCTCAGACACTCAGACTCCTCCATGCATCCATTCAGACATTCTCTTACAGAGTGTCTTAGTCTGTTTTGGTTGTTAACCCAAACCAAAATACTGAGTGGCATAAACACAAGAAATTTATTTATCACAGTTCTGAAGGTTAGAAATCCAAAATCAAGGTGACCGCCAGTTCAGTTACTGGTAAGGGCTCTATTTTTGAATTGCAGACAGTTAGCTACTCACTGTGTCCTTACACGGAAAGAAAGAAAGAGCAAGAGAAGAAGAGAATAAGAGACAGAAAGAGAGAGAGAGAGAGAGATTGAGTCTCTTCTCATAAGGACACTAACGTATCAAATCAGAGCCCCCAGCCTTTTGAACTCATTTAAATTTAATTACCTCCTGATTGGCCCTATCTCCAAGCACAGTCCCATTGAGGGTTAGGAATTCAATGTATGAATTTGGTGGGTGGGTGCTATTCAGCCCACAGCATTAGGAAAAGAGAAGTCATGACGGCAGTTTCCACAAAAAGAATCACCAGCCAAATCACTTCAAACCTTCCTCTTCTCTCTCTGATTGCTTCAGCCAACATTTCAGGACAAGGAAGCCTCAGGACTGTCTCATCAATCACTGCTCCCCATGCTGGTGCCATAAATGTTCCCTAATGGCTGAGCACATAGGAAGCCCCTACAGGCTTAACCTGCACCCAAAGTTGCTTGCCCACCAACTCCCATTCCTGTGCTGGATGCTGGAAGGGGAAAGGAGACAAAAATACAAAGTGAAGTGTCAATTTCACAAATTCTCAATAAACAGAATCAGTGCATCAGGATATGGACAGAGAGCAGCCACATCGATATGTAAAGCCAAACAAGCCTGCGCCAGGTTCTTGTCTCTCCATCTCCAGCCCTGGCCGGCATCACAAGATAGGAGGCAGGTCTGGGGAGAGGAATTCACACATATGCTGCCAGACATTGGATGTGTAATTCACGCTCTAAAAGGCAGGAAGCAACATTTAGAGGAGGCTGCAGGGAACAGACAAATACAAATTTCAACAGAAGCCTTTGGTGGGGATGGCGGGAGACAGATGAAGGACGGAGCTGTCATTGCTGCGTCTTAACTGGAAGATCACAGTTCTGGTAAATGTGCCAAAGAAAACCGTTCAGTGCCCCATTCTTGTAAGGGTTGTGGGGAGGGGAAGCAGGATGCTTTCATAAAATACGAATACCCAAATTCCCACAACTATAGCCATTTTCAATCAAAAGGATTCTTGCTCTTCCTTGATTATATTTCCCCCTTTTCTTGTAACTTTCCTGCCATTCCAGGTTTTTAACTTGGATCGATTGTCATTTTGACAGCTGTCTTTAGAGTTCTCTTTTTATCTTGACCATGTGTCACAGAAAAAGAAAATACATTTTTCTTTCTACTCTGACTCCTTTAAAGTGGTCTGTGAAGTTTTGTGTTGTTTCATCCACTGTGGGCTCAGAAAAAAAAAACAACCAAAAACTAAAATATCCACTCTTGGGCTCTGATGCAACCTATAGAGACATGGTGGGTGGCTGAATCACCAAAACAAGTTGTTGATCCATCAAGTCAGCTAGATAGGACACTTTACTAATGGTGCTGAACTCTATTAGCTTCACTTGCACCCAAGGCCCAATCATGGAGCCCCCCTCTACTCCACTGAAGGTCTCTAAGGGCCATTGGCCCTGAGAGAGAAGGCTGTTGGCTACACTGTTCTTTTCCTCTGGAGAAGTAATCTGAGATTCCTGGTTTGGAATGGCATACTGACCTTACCATTACCACAGTATATAACAAACTAACTAACTAACAAAACCTCTATTAGGATGAGAAAAGTCCAAGCAAGATTTTGGTTTGTTGTGTTTGGTATGTTGTGGTGACATATTTACAGGTGAACCTTACTTTTTACCAGCCCTACTAGCTTGAAGTTTATGATTATTTAAATGGACTTGGAAACTTTTAGCTAGATTTGTATTTGAATCCCACCACTGCTGGGGAGTAGTTCTTTGATCTCTTCACACCTCAGTTTTCCCATGTGTAAAGTGGGGATGACCATATCTAACCTGTTATTAGGAGGATTTAATTAGATAAGAGGTTCTCCAATTTGACTGTACATTGGAATTACTTGACATGACATAAAAGTTGCTGATAACTGGTTCTGCTTTACCTGGTCTTGGCAACAGCCTAGATTTTGGTAGTTTATAATCTCCCCAGGTAATTCTAATGTAAAGCTAAGCTTGAATGCCAGTTGATTATATAATACATGTAAAGCACTGTTTTTCAGCTTTAGATTAGAATCACCTGAAGAGCTTGTTAAACTGAATTGCCAGACCCACCCTCAGAGTTTCTGTTCTACAGGTCTGAATGCGCTTGTATCGAAAACTGTGCCCAGGTGATGGAGATGCTGCTGATCCAGCCATCACACTTTGAGAAGTGTGAAATACGATGAAAATAACTCCTCCAGAAAATATAAAAGGAAGAAACAACAACTTTCAATTCACGTTATGAAGCCTGTAGTACCTTGATGCCAACACTAGGTAAAGATAGTGAAAACAAAAATGAAACTAGACCAATATTAATCACCAATATAGATGCAAAATATTTATTAAAAGACATGACAAAAACCACAATTACTTTTGTACCAACCTAATAATTAAATATTTGCAGATATATTTCAGTAATCTATATGTGATTATACACCTAGAGCAGGTGGGGTTTATTCCACACATGCAAGTCTGGTTCAATATTTGAACATCAATCAATGTGATCCAGTGATAAAGGGAGCCAGGTTTCTGCTAGCTTGAGAAGGGAGCTACAAATAAGAAAATAGAATGACTCCTGCCATGCTGGAGTAGAATTAGAGCTATCAATTTGAATTCATGATTTTATCATAGAGGGGTGATGATATAGAAATGGATCAAGTTGTATGTGTGCATATACATGCACTTGTACATATATGCATGTGTGTATGTACATAAATACCTCTATTTTGCACATATTCTCCCTGAGGAAGTCGAGATTCAATAAGATTCAATATTCCAAACCCAGAAGACAGCATCTGATTGGCTGAGGATAGGTCACACCTTCAGTCCCTAGCCAGTGGAGCATGAGAAACATTGACTTGCAACCCAACCAACATTGTCTATGATCAGAAGTAAGTGTCCAAAAGGAAAATGGTAAACTGCTTCCAAAGGAAGGGGATATGGATGCGGGGTTGGCTGAACCCAACAATATCCTGTTCACGAGACATGTCACATGAGAAGACCTAAGGTATGAGGAAATATTTTGGAGGGATGTCTTCAGAGTAAAAACACCACACTTTTTCTTTTTTAATTTCTTTTGAGATAGAGTCTCACTCTGTCACCCAGGCTAGAGTGCAGTGGCACAATCATAGCTCACTGTAGCCTTGACCTCCTCAGCTCAAGCGATCCTCCCACCCCAGCCTCCCAAGTACCCGGGACTACAGGTGCACACCACCACACAGGCTAATGTTTTTTTGTTTGTTTGTTGTTGTAGAGATGGAGTCTCACTGCACTGCCAAGGCTGATCTGTAACTCCTGGCCTTACATGGTCCTCCCATCTTAGCTTCCCAAAGTGCTGGGATTATAGGCTCGAGCCACTGCACCTGGCCTGTAAAAACCATAGAAATAGACTCCAAAATGTTGATTATACTATATTAATTTACCTTATTGGTCTTAGGAAATTAGACCAAAGGTGAACCACCAGCCCTCTGAGAGACATCCACTGGCCAGCAAGAAGCCAATCAGATGCTTTGCCTCAAGAATTTGAATTGAGAAGTGCAAAGACTGATGTGGAAACACTGTGTCTTTATTAATGACAGAACATTAGTAAGAGACTCCAGGAATTATTTCTTCCCAGGATTTTAGAGCTACTCTCGGCTTTTGTCTGTTGATGCCTAGTTATTCAATAACTTTTGATTTCTTGAGCTAATCCAAAATTTTTAATGAAGTCCACTTTTCTATGTACTAGTATGACTTAGGCTCAATTCTCCAGGATTCACTCAGTTTTACTCATAAAACTGAGTAACAGTTTTATGAAGATTCCCCCATCAACATAAGTAGATGAGAGTAAATTACTCTCATCTTCATTTTAAAAGAAAGAAAATTAAAAGTCCAGAGTACCCACATAATGTTTAAATTTTCCCCCAATGCTCAAAAATTTTCCCCAAAAGGGAAAAAGTAAATTTAGGTGCTAGAAAAAAACTGCGTGTGTGTGTGTGTGTGTGTGTGTGTGTGTGTGTGTGTTTCATTGATAAACCAGGTGAAGGAAAGAGTTACCTACTTCAGTTCAATAATTCTTCTGAATTCTCTCTCATGAAGCAAAAGAGTGGATTGAGTGAGAAAGCAAGAATATGTACCACAAATCAGAATAATTGCATTATTTCACTATCTCTTTGGCTCAGTTTTCTTTTTTTAATTAAGGGATTGTTTTTTGCATTTAAAAACCTTTTATAATACACTCAGCCACCTCTAAAAATAGTAAAATATATATCATTCTAAAAAGAGGGATACGAATTCAAGTTTGATTCAAAACTTCAATGAGAAATATGGAGTTGAGGCCATTACCATATAAATTATCATTTGTGTGGGGTTGAAGAGAGACTGGTTCTGAAAGGCATGGTAGTAAATCATAATTAGAATGGCCTTCTAAGTCTGATTATAAGTGAGCAGGCATCCTCTTCTGAAATATACTCAGCCTTCCACATGGAATAAATTCCTCTCCACCACAACTATAAATTTGGGTGAAGAGGAAGATTAAGTTTTATTATATTCCACACAAATCATTTCCAAATCCTAAAATGATTCAGGTAATTAGGTTGAATTCTCAGACTCTTCCCAATCACCTGGGGCTATGTTTGTGAGAAAATCAAGTTTTCAACATCAGTGGATCTTAGAAGGTATGTGTTTGAGCAGGTATCTAGACCTGTGTATTAGATCCTTAATTTTTACAACTTTTTTCAAACATGCTTTCTTTGTTTTTAAAAACTTTTCTTTTACATTTTTTAACTAAATACGTTCCTATTATAGTTTTTCTTTCTACTCCATTTGTATTACCCATTCTCCAAATCTTAAATGAATTATGGTTGACTTACAAGGATATAGAATATATGACATTTTTACATTGCCAATCTATAAACCAGAGCTAAGTCAATTTATAGGTACTTCATATTCAAGATTTATGAAAGTGATATTGAAAAAAGTTTTAATTAATTACACAAATAAAACCATAATGTTCTGGAGATATTTGACCCAACCAGCTGCTTGGCATGGAAGAAATAATTTCTTCTCACCATCACAAAGAAACGTACAGAGAAAATTAAGATATTTTTCGATCTTTCTTCTTGGTCTGGCATCTATATATAGACAATCAGCAACTTTGACCATGGAAATTGTTAAAATAAAGATAACTAACGTTTATTAATTGCTAACTATGGGTCAAACATTGTGGTGAGTGCTCTGGATACTTACCTCCTCTGATGTACCTTTCTTTTGTACATATGAAAGACAGGCGTGGTGGACATCTTTATAGCATCCCTGTGCAACCCCGCCTGTTTCCGTTTACAGCACTGAGGTAGTTTGCATCACTAACCTCAATTCTTACCTCCTTTGCCATGCGGAGATGTGGATTCATCCCACTAAAAGGCCCCTGTATTTGTCCATTTTCAAATGGCTATAAAGAACTACCCAAGGCTGGGTAATTTATAAAGAAAAGAGGTTTAATTGACTCACAGTTCTGCATGGCTGAGGAGGCCTCAAGAAACTTACAATCATGGCGGAAGGCGAAGGGGAAGCAAGGCTTGTCTTACATGGGGGCAGGAGAGAGAGAGAGCAAAGGAAGTCACACACTTTTAAACCATCATATCTCATGAAAACTCATTCACTATCATGAGAACAGCATGGGGGAAACCGCCCCATGATCCAATTACCTCCAACCAGGTCCCTCTCTCCACACGTGGGGATTACAATTCCAGATGTGATCTGGGTGGGGATTAAAAGCCAAACCATATCAGCCTCTTTGCTTGGTATTCAAGCACATGTCTTGCTTAGGCCAGTAGAAAGAGAGAGATGTGTTGGAGTTCCCCTTTGTACCCATGAGTGTTCTAATTGCTCTCTTGGGCCTCTCCCACCTCCTTGGGAATGTGCTGCTGGGCTGGCCAGCTGGTGCCAGAGGGAGTTGAGGGACACTTAAAGCAGAGCCACCCCTAGCAGGAGCACAGACTACGCCAGTGGGGACCCACAATCACAGACGGTTGTGGAGTAACGCATTAACAATATTAATATATTCTTAATTTGAAATAGTCACAAAATAACCAACAGTAGTAAATATAGTACAAGGAACTTTCCCCCCCTGAACCAAGTGAGAATAAATTGCCAATCTGATGCCCAGTCACCCCAAATTACTTAAGTATTTCCTACAATAAGAACAAAACCTACAAAACTTCCAGACAACCATTACAATCGGGAAATTCACCTTGATATGTTACTGATATATAAAAATCAAACTTCATTCTAATTTCACCAAAATTCTCAATAATGTCCTTTATAGCAAAGGAGCTAACTCGGCATTACAGGCTGTTGATAGAAACCTTTGGGTTGTTCTCTTTCTATTAGGGTTTTTAGGCTGGTGGAATACAAATCCAGTGACGCTGGTCATCATGTCTCTCAACGCATGAGGGAAGCTTGACAAGGAAGAAGCTGGCACACAGAATAGCAGAGCTCAGAGATGGAAAAGAAGAAGCTTCCTAGCTCTGAGCCCATGAGGTAGTAACTTCACCTCTCAGCGCCTCTGTTTACTCAACTGTAAAATGGGTGCACAAAGGACTGAATGGTTGGTCATATGAAGCCCTTAGCAAAATGCCCAATTCAAAATAATGTTCTATGTGTTACAAGTTATTGATCCTTAATGTTCCTCATGTAATCCAAGTAACCCACAAAGCCACGGAGCCCCCATGCACACAGAAGAGGAGAAAATAAAATCCAGTCTCACAATATTCTCATATTTACTGTAAATTAAAATGATTAAACCAGACATTTCTCAAATCCAAAAGCTAAATTTAAACTTTAATTATCTAGAACAGTCTCCTGTGACTTATTCTGTGTTGTTAGATGAGAAAGTTTTCTGATTAAATCAGTTTTCCATTGAAACAAAAATAGTCTGAGACGGAACATTAAGCTTGTCACTTAATACTTTTGATTTACATAACAGAAATAAATAAGTGCAAATGTGTTGGATCATATCCCTTTCAGTAACTCCATTAAAAACATTTATTTCTAAGTTAAATTAATTTAGCTCATTTAATTTTTATTGCATTTTGATGAGTTCATTTATTTAAAATAAAACTTACTTAAGCTTTAGAAATCGGTATATTTCATGAGTTGAAATTTTTTTAAAAGGCTTCCAAGTTTGAATTCATGGCCAGGTCATCTTATAATTCGGCAAATTGTTACTTTCTCAATGCTTCGAGTATTGACTAATATCTCTCTAGGAACCCAAATTAGTGGTGTCCATGCCATGTGTTCCAGCATCACCTTAAATGCTGCTTCAATGTTCCACTACCTTTATTCCTTTCCATTTTCACAAATGATTTATCGGCACTTGATGGCATCAAAGATTTTAGATGTTTATTAACTTCCCCTTATCATGGAAGAGAGAAGATTCATGTTTCCACAAAACCTAGCTCTCCCCTGCCTGTGTCTATCAGCATTTTTTGTTTAATCTGAGCTCTGCAGAGAACAAATGGTTGCATGAACCACTTTGCTGCACATGACTTGGGCAGGAAGCCCTGATGCCACACTACGACCATGTCATGTCTTATCACGTACTGAGCATAACAAGGATTCCATTTTACAGAGCTGACACTGGTCTTTGCCCATGAGATGGCAGTCTCAAAGAGAGATCCAGGCTGGGCATGGTGGCTCACGCTTGTAATCCCAGCACTTTGGGAGGCCAAAGCAGGTGGATCACCTGAGGTCAGGAGTTTGAGACCAGCCTGGCCAACATGGTGAAACCCTGTCTCTACTAAAAACAATAATAATAATAATACAAAAAATTAGCTGGGCATGGTGGTGGATGCCTGTAATCCCAGCTACTTGGAGGCTGAAGCAGGAGAATCGTTTGAACCCAGGAGGCAGAGGTTGTAGTGAGCCGAGATCATGCCACTGCGCTCCATCTTGGGCAACAAGAGCGAAACTCTGTCTCAAAAAAAAAAAATTAAAAATTAAAAGAGAGATCCAAATTATTTTTGAACTAATTCTACAGCTGTGAACATTGAACATGCTGGAAAGAGATAAACATTCTTCCAGCATTTTTTATCCATCCCAGCCATTGACCTGCCCATATATTTCTACCTTAGCCACACAGCAGTGAATAGACTGTGAGAATACTGATTTGTTTAATTATCAAGCATTTATCGAGAACCAACTGTATGCCAAGCATGTATCTAGACACTAATAATGCAGCATTTAGGAAAACAAGACCTCTGAAATCATGGAATTTATTCCCTTTTGGAATGAGACAGACCACAACCAAATTAATGCATGTCATGTCAGGGAAAAATAAATGCAAAGAAGCCAAATGAAGCAGGATGAGGAAACAGGGGTGAAGGCAAGAGTTATTACTTTAATTAGGGTAGCCAGAGAAGACGTTATGGAAAAAGTGCTGTTTAAAGTAGAGAACTGACACTGATGGAGAGGAGGATGAAGACAGTAGCATTGACAACGACCACAGCTGTCCTTTATTGTATTCACCACTTGACATACATAGTCTAATTCTCACACAAGCCTAACAAGTAGATTCTGTTATACTTCCTATTTCAAAGGGAACACAGAAGTAAAATTATTTTTTTCAAGGTCACCTAACTAGTCACTGGCTGATGACACAGGAGACTAGAGCCATCATCCCTGCAGACAGTGGCCACTGCTGCATCCCTCTTGTGTCCCGTGACCCTGGAGAGGTGAGGCTGAATATGGCCTTTTCCACTTGATGGAGAATTAAAGACCTGGACCTTCCCTGAAAGTTCTTACAAAGAGGCACAGGAGGTTCTGTCATTCAAAGGTGCTGTTCTACTGACCACCTTTGTGCACTCTCACATTCTCCTGGGGTCCTGCATAAATGTAACCATGAAGGGGTTCCTGCCCTTGTCATGGTTACCTACTGAGCTGAGCCTACACAGAGAGCTAATAGTTACAAGCAGGTGCATCCAGGCTTTGTAGGGCCTGAAGAGTTTATAATTCAGGAAATCTGTTTTAAGAAAAAGAATACAAAACTATGAACACAAAATAAGGTGTACAAATAAATATTTATAAATCATAAAATAATATCTTTATTAAAATATAAGAAATACCATAAGCATTGTCTATTTTTTTAATGTGCTAATACTTTAGTTATTAACTGTCTGGTCTACCTTAATAATTTTCTTACTTTTGACTGGACACTCTTTGATCTTCTTTCAGATTCAAAACTTGTAATGACATGCATGTTTTTAGAACTGTGGTCGAATTTTGGAATACTTCTAAAAAGTTTCTTTTATAGGTATGCTGCAATGTGAAAAAAAATTTCCATAGACCAGCAATGGCCAGATGAGCCAGTGAAGTGAAACCAATATGGTGGTCATGGTTTTGACAAAGCATTTGTGTGAATCATGGATCAAAACAGAAGGAGCTCATCAACTGGCACTAGGTATTGAAATGATGGCAACCAGACTCTGATGCTTCGTTTTTGACTGTTTTGGAGTGGACTGAGTCAGACTGGATGTTGTTATTGATTGGTACATTTCTAGACACCAGTTAGACCCATCATTGCATAATACTTTCCTTCATAGAGTCAATGCCTTACCAGATGAATGTGTGAAATATACATTAGCTGCATTGTTCTAGTTATCTTTATTAACATCAATCTTATCGGTATTAGGCAGAAGTGTTGAAAATGTTCAACTTAATACTCTGTTGAAAATTCCATGTAAATGACAACATTTAAATTGGATATCTTTTCAAGAGAATTGTTGATATCTGGGAAGGACCCTAGATACAAGAATCTTTAAGAAGGCTGGAGCAGAGATACCATCTCATGCTAGTCAAAATGGTGGTTATTAAAAAGTCAAGAAACAACAGATGCTGGCAAGATTGTGGAGAAATAGGAATGCATTTACACTGTTGGTGGAAGTGTAAATTAGTTCAACCATTGTGAAAGACAGCGTGGTGATTCCTCAAAGATCTAGAACCAGAAATACCATTTGACCCAGCAATCCCATTACTGGGTATATACCCAAAAGAATATAAATCATTATATTATAAAGATACATGCATGTGTATGTTCATTGCAGCACTATTCACAATAGCAAAGACATGGAATCAACTCAAATCCCCATCAATGATGGACTGGATAAAGAAAATGTGGTACATATACACCATGGAATGCTACCTATGCAACCATAAAAAAGAATGAGATCATGCCCTTTGCAGGGACATGAATAAAGTTGGGAACCATTATCTTCAGCAAACCAACCCAGGAACAGAAAACCAAGCACTGTATGTTCTCACTTATAAGTGGGATCTCAACAATGAGAACACATGGACACAGGGAGGAAACAACACACACTGGCGCCTGTTAGTGGGTGAGGTCAGGGGAGGGACAACATTAGGAAGAATAGCTAATGCATCCTGGGCTTAATACCTAGGTGATGGGTTGATAGGTGCAGCAAACCACCATGGCACATGTTTACCTATGTAACAAACCTGCACGTCCTGCACATGTACCCCGGAACTTAAAATGAAAATTAAAACTAAAGAACGCTGAAGCCGCCGAATTTTCGTGTTCCTCTATGTGTTCATAGCCACTGGATGGTAACACTGGGAAATCAACAAGGAAGAGGGGTGTGCTAGACTGGCAATGATGGAAACAAACCCCAGAAATCTGTTGGGGGAGAGGGTCATAGAAACATTAACTAGAATTGGCCTCTGAACAGCATGAGGCTGAACTGTGTGGGTCCACAGATAACGTGGATTTTCTTCTACCTCTGCCACCCCTGAGACAGCAAGACCAACCCCTCCTTTTCCTCAGCCTTCTTAATGTGAAGACGATGAGGATCAAGACCTTTGTGATGATCCACTTCCACTTAATGAATAGCATCATAAATATGTTGTCTTTTCCTTATGATTGTCTTTATAACATTTTCTTTTCTCTGGCTTACTTTATTTTCTTTTATTCTCTAGCTTACAGAATACAGTGTATAATATATAACATTAAAATATGTGTTAATTGACTATGTTAGTGGTAAGGCTTCTAGTCAACAGTAGGCTATTAGTAGTTAAGTTTTTAGGAAGTTAAAAGTTACATGTGGATTTTTTGACTGTGTAGGGGACAGAAAGGTTGGTGCCCCTAACCTCCAAGTTGTTCAGGGGTCAACTGTACATACATTGCATTAATGACAAGATAGTATGAAAGAAAGCTAAGCCTATATAAAAAAAATTAAGTCTAAATCCTGACAACTAGTAAGTGGCACACTTCTGAAGTGGCGAATACAGAAATCATTGAAATTTATAGCTGAAGATACTTTGAGAAATCAGTCAGTTCCCACCTCAGCGAACTCTCTGCCATTCCCTCTGCCTGAAAGGTATTTACTCCAAGGTTTCTACAACTGAACCTTTCTCATTATTTAAATTGTCATTCAAATGGTTTACCATCCTCAGAGAGGTGTTCCTCCCAAAGCCACTCCCCCAACACTATCTGAATTATATTAGTTGATTGTATCTGCATCACCAGTGTATCCCTAGTTTATACTGCTAATTTGTTTATTTATCTATGTGTTTGTTGTCTTTTCCACTGGGATATAAGCTCCTAGAAATTGTCGCTGTTTTCCTAATGCCTAGAATAATGTTTCACACATAGTAGATATTCAGTAACAGGGTGAATCCACTTATTCTGTAGATGAATAAGCTGAAGGAGAGGAATGTTATCTAACTTGTCTAAGGTAATGTGAATACCCCAGGGTCAGAACTAGGCCTCAGAATTAAGAGGCTTCGCTCCTGGTTTAAGAGGCTTCGCTCCTGGTAAATTCAGCTTTCCAGATCCCAGTGAAACAACTCAATATCTGAATGTATAGTGGTGGATATTATTCTGATGTTTTCGAGACATACAAATATGAGAAAAAATATAATTATGTTTGTTTTGCATGTGTAGTCAAGTCTTGTCACCTGGGGAAATTTAGCATTTAGACTTTTCTGAAGCACACACATTTCAACTCCAGAAGAAAAGTTGGAAATGCTTTTCTTACAAAGATGCAATTAGCAATTTAGAAAATGATTTGAAATGTAAAGGCCTTTCACAGTATTGCCAAGAATAGTTTGCAAACCTCATTAATGAGATATACTAACTTGGAAATTACCACCATCTACTCAACAGTAAAACTATTGTAATTAAGTCAGAGCGTGTCTATGTTACTTAGGAAAATAAGTAATTGCACTATGCCCTTGAGAGATATTGCTAATTTGGCTCATTGAGCTAATACTCTTGCAGTCTTATCTGAAGCTAAATTTGATAATCAGATGCCCATGCTTAGGACAACTGACTGCCTCCTATAAAAACATATTATTGCTTCAGCCACACTGCCCAGTGACCTGAAGGCAGCACAGAAAACTAATATCTGACATATGCTCAGGTTGTCTTTAATTACAAAAGCAAAATGCCAATCTCTTGAGGCCAGGAGTTTGAGACCAGCCTGGGCAACATAGTGAGACCCCCAGCTCTCCAAAAAATAAAAAAATTAGCTGGGCTTGGTGGTGCATGCCTGTAGTCTCAGCTACTTGGGAGGGCGAGGCAGAAGAATAGCTTAAGCTCAGGAGTTTAAGGTTGTAGTGAGCTATGATTGTACCAGTGCACTCTAGCCTAGGCTACAGAGCAAGACACCATCTCTTAAAAAGAAAAGAAAGAAAGAAAAAAGAAAAAACAGAGAAAAAACAATGCCATGAAATCAACAAACAGTGACTAAGCAACTCTTACATACCAACTCTGTGAGCAACACTGGGACTCCAGGTTCCTCACTGCAGAGCTTATTAAATATGAGCATCACAAAAAATGAAAATATAGGCTCAGAACCACAGTCATATCACAAAATATGGTATCTGAGAGCATGAAAGAGTAATTTATTTCAATATTTAAACTAGCTATGGCAAGCACAAGGGAAGTCAAATCTAGCATTTTGCCCAGTTAGAGGTTAAAGAGGTAGGTGACCCAGCCAGGGATCTAGATGACGTTTGACTTTCTGGACTGGTCAAAAAAAGAAGTTCAAGACCAACTCTGGTCTTGCTTCTGCCCGAGGCTCTCTGATGTCCTGTGTCCTGGTGAAGATGATCTCTGGTGGTAGAAGCATTTCAGCCAGTTTCTGATAGATATATTTTACCATTAACATTGGAACAACTTCTCAATGAATGGGTATTAAGAGTACTTATCTGGGAGGAAAGAAGAATGATATAAATAGCCCTGAATTCACCACCCCCCTTCTAATTAGGTTTCTCCCGGCAAAGGAAAGCTTAAGGAAGGTCATGACTCAGAATCTCCTTTTCCACAAAGGAGCAGTTGAGATTTCAGTGACCCTGCCTACATGGAAGTAGACTTTCTCAGTTACTAATTTTCCTATGAATGCACAGTTAACGTTTCTCAAGACTAGGCAATCACAATTATGTGCAGAGGAAACTGTTTTCATAAAGAAATATGAAAAGTGCTCAGATAGAAGAAGGGAATATGTATAAACAATCGAGAGTGTCTTTATCTTTAAAAAGTGAGAGGAATGTGATTCTGAAATGCCCATCGTACTGTAAACACATCCCATTACCATCTATTTCTATTATGATAATATTGATGAGGGGATGTAACAGCTCAGAATATATTGTGAGTTCTCTTGTCAGTATCATGAATTTTGGCAGATTATAAATATACATTGAAAATTCATCCACTAACAAAAACCTACTTGTTACCCAAGAGAAATGTGGCAACCATTCTAGGTCCCGAGATGATTGGAAGAGCTATCGGATGGAAGCTGTATTTAGCTCATAACAATAGCTGAGTTACTTTTCATTATTCTTGGTATTTAAAAGCTAAATTCCTACTTTACTATCTTTAAGACAGGTCCAGCATGACACACCTGAGAACAAGGTTTAAAACTGCCGTCTCTATCAGGAGCATTTAGCTTCGCAGAAGAGAACTCAATCCTGCAACACAAATTCTTTTCTTAACCCTAGCTAGTTAGTTCATTAAAGTGGAACTCTGAAACTTGTGCAAGAAGACTTAGATGGCTCCACAAAAGGAATCACCACCATCATTGGAAGCCTGATTCACAGAAGACTGGCTGCTACCAGTGAGATGTTCAAGCCCTTCCTGCAGAGAAGGAAAGCATAATTTTCTCAGTGAAAACCATATTTAGGGAGTTCTCTAGGGTCATCTAGTTTCTTCACATCCTGGAATGGTGCTAAAATTAATATATGCTCATAGCTGTGTCAACGTCCATTCTGAGCTCCATGAATACACAGAGATGATGCTCAGTCTCCCTCGTTTATACATGCTTCATAGGGTGATCCTTGCTCGTACTTCAGTTCTGAGGTGTATCAGCTATTCAGGGAAATTGTTGATATCTTCCCATACTACATCATGTTCTTCTGTTTTACATTCTGGAGTAATCTTTTGTTACACTTCTCAGCCCTTATCATAATTCAATGTTATTTTATTTTATTTTAGTTTAGTTTTTATTTTATTTTATGTTTTTGAGATGGAGTCTCGCTCTGTCCCCCAGGATGGAGTGCAGTGACGTGATCTTGGCTGACTGCAACCTGTCTCCTGAGTTCAAGGGATTCTCCTGCCTCAGTCTCCCGAATAGCTGGAATTGCAGGCACCCACTACCCAGCTAATTTTTGTATTTTTAGCAGAGATGGGGTTTCACCATGTTGGCCAGGCTGGTCATGGACTCCTGATCTCAAGTGATCCGCCCATCTTGGCCTCCCAAAGTGCTAGGATTACAGGTGTGAGCCACTGCACCCAGCCAATGTTTTATTTTAAAATAATTTTATACTTCCAGAAAAGCTGTGAAAAAATAGCACATGTCCATATATCCCTCATCCAGTTCTCCATTAAAGTTAACCTCATACACAACCACGGTACAATGATCAAAACCAGAAAATTACATTGGCACACTACTATAAATTATCAGCCTTAATTGATTATCACCAGTTTTTCTGACTAAAGTCCTTAGCCTGTCCCAGAACTCAATCCAGGGTCCCATACAACATCCAGTGGCTGTGTTTCCTAAATCCTCTCTAATCTGTGACAGTTCCTCATTTTTTTTTTTTGTCTTCCATGACTTCAGCATAACTCAGGAGTACTTTGCAGTGATTTTATAGAACATCTCTTCAGTTTGGTTTAGCTGCTGTTCCACCATGATTAGACTAGAGTTCTGCGTTGTTGGCGGGAAGGTCATCAAGGTGATCCTGTATTCTGTGCAGTGCATTGTGTCAGGAGGTACATGCTTTCAGTACAACTTATTAATGATGGTGCTATTCTTGTTCCTTTGCTTAAGGGTCTATCTTCATGTTCTCTCCACTCCAAAGTCACTATTTTTCCCTTTGCAAATTAATACATGTGTTGGGGGAGATTTGAGACTATGGTAATATATTACAGAATAAATGATTTATCTTTTAAAGAGATTCAAATTTGGCTGGGCGCGGTGGCTCACTCCCATAATCCCAGCATTTTGGGAGGCCAAGGCTGGAGGATCATGAGGTCACGAGTTCAAGACCAGCCTGGCCAATATGGTGAAACCCTGTCTCCACTAAAAATACAAAAATTAGCTGGCATGGGTGGGCACTTGTAATCCCAGCTACTCAGGAGGCTGAGGAAGGAGAATTGCTTGAACCCGGGAGGTGGAGGTTGCAGTGAGCAGAGATCGTGCCGCTATACTCTAGCCTGGGTGACAGAGTAAGACTCCATCTAGAAAATAAATAAATAAATAAAGAGATCCAGATTCATATGTAAAATATATATAATAATTTTTTTTTGAGTGAGACTCTCACTCTGTCGCCCAGGCTGGAGTGCAGTGGCGCGATCTCAGCTCGCTGCAACCTCCGCCTCCCAGGTTCAAGCGATTCTCATCCCTCAGCCTCCAGAATAGCTGGGAATACAGGCACACACCACCATCCCCGCTAATTTTTGTATTTTTTGGTAGAGATGGGGTTCACCATGTTGGCCCGGCTGGTCTTAAACTCCTGACCTCAGGTGATCCACCTGCCTTGGCCTCCCAAAGTGATGGGAATACAGGAGTGAGCCACTGAACCCGACTGAATCTGGATCTTATTACAAAGTTATTATATATATTTTACCTATGAATCTGGATTTTATTACAATATAATTTGTGTGTGTGTGTGTGTGTACATCCACCCTTGGAGTTATCATTTCTGCTTCCCTTCATTTTTTTGTGCAAGTCCATACCACTTTTCTTCTCACTGAAAGATGACCTTTACAATCTCTTGTAGTGCCTTTCTCCTGATGATAAATTTATTCAGGGTTTGTATACCTGAAAAACAGCTTATGTTGTCATAATTATTGAAAGACGTTCACTGGGTAGAATTCTAAGCTGACAGTTTATTTCGTTTGTTTTTAACCCTTTTAACCTTCAGTGCTGTAAGGATAATGCTCCCTGCCTTCTCACATGCAATGTTCCCAATGAGAAATCAGTTGCCTTCCTTGTCTTTGTTTCTCTGTTTATAATGTGTCCTTGTTCTCTGGTTACCTTAGTGATTGTTTTTATCATTGGTTTCAACAACTGGATCATTCATTATGTGTCTTCTAGTGATTTTCTTCACATTTCTTGTGCTTGAAGCTCATCGAGCTTCTTGGATCTGTGAGTTTATAGTTCTTATGAGGTTTGGGAAAATTTTGGCCATTATTCCTTCAATTACCCACACTCTCTTTCATTCTAATTGCATTATTGAAGTTTTTATACAACTCATTTAAGTGCTAATCATATATATCATATATATATATACAATCATATAATCATATGCACATATGTGTGTATATACATACACACAAATAGTATATATGTGTATGTTTATATATATATATTTATATATAATGTTATTTTGGATCATTTCCATTGCTTTGTGTTCAGGTTTACTAATCTTTAATTCTGCAATATCTAAGCTGCCATTAACCTCCAAAAGTATATTTTCATCCCATTGTAATTTTCATTTTTAGACATTTGAATGGAGACTTTTAAAATATCTTCTATGACTTTATTAGCTTTCAAATATTTGGAATACACTTATCACTATTTTAATAGTAATAAGTAATAGTAATAAGTAACAATATAGTAGTAATAGTAATAAGTAACAATACAATCATCGTCTGCTAATTCTAAAGTTCTGTGTCCATTTTGGCTTTGAGTTGATTGGCCACTTTTTCTCAGCATGTCAGGTTGTATTTTCTTGCTTCTTTGCATGCCTGGTAGTTTTCCAATGAATGCCAAACATTGTGTATTTTATCTTGCTGGGTGATAATTTTTTTTTTATTTCTACAAATGTTCCTGGGGATTGTTTTGCAAAAAAGTTGAGTTACTTTGAAATAGTTTTATTATTTTATGTCCGGTTTTTGTATTTATTAGGCAGTTGCTGGCAGTTGGTGTGATGCTCCGTCTAGAACTAATTATTCCCCAGTGCCAGGACAAGACATTTCTGTATCACTATTTGGTCTCCATGACTCCTTAGGTTTTCCATGGTATCTGGTGGGAATAGGGACTATTCTCAGCCACGTGTGAGTGTCACCTCTGTACTCACTAGTCCTTTCCGGTAGTTATTTCTGTATTCCCTGGTGGCTTTCTCACATCTTTGCATTGGTACCCACTGCTGAATAATCAGGGGGTCCTGCTACATATCTCTGGAGATTTCTCCCTATGCTGCTTCTCTCCCATACTCTGCGAACTTTAATCCTTTTCATCTCCCTGGACTCCATCTGTATCTCTTCAATTCAGGGCATCCACTGGCTTTCCCCTATATAAACTGGAATCTTGAAACTCCCTATAGGCAATAATCTGGGACCATCGTAGGACTCATTTGTCTTGTTTCCCTTTCCTTAGGGATTACTATAATATATTAACTGATGTCCAGTGTCTTGGAAATTACTGTTTTTCATATATTTTGTTTCTGTGTGCTTCAGGTGAAGGGTAAATTCTGTCCATATTACTCCATTCTGGCTAGAAGGATGTCTTCTTATCATAATTGTAATTAATTACTTATGTCCTTAAGAACAATATTTTCTGCCAGAATTATAATGTCTTGAATACAAGAACAATACCTGAATTTGCTCAGCAATACACACGATAACTCAGTAGAGGGTGTGGTCACATAGATACTCATTAAACAAACTGAATGAATAATCGACAAGAGAATACGTGATTGCATATCTGTTTAGGAATTTAAGGTTCCTGATTAAACATAGTCATTTATCAAATCGAACCTAGCACTTCTCATTTAGGTGATGATTTAAGTCAATGAACATCTCTTGTTTTAGCCAACCTGGTATCTACTTTCTCTTCTTCTAATAAAAGTGCACGGATTTTCCTGTGGCAAATGACCTCATCTTCATTCTCTGTCCATGGGGGCAGACATTCTCTGAAATGGGGATGATACCACTGCCAGCTCCAGGCATAGACTTGAAACCCAGGACAAGCTAGTCAGTACATCCCATTCCATAATCTCAGTGAAAAGAGAGACAAAGAACTCAACCGGGTCAGTGAAACTAAAGCTTATACTTTCATAGTTATATTTTAAAAGAAGAGCTGTTTTGCTGAGTATATGGAACAAATCAATTGGCATCCTGGAGCTTCTAGAGGCCTGACTTGCTGCAGCAAGGAAGAATAATAAACCCAGATAGCTGGGCATGTAGACATCATAACAATACTATTTCAACCTCTGGAATCATGTGGACTTCTTGTCATGTGAGCTGATACATTTTCCCTGTGCATTAAGAAAATTTTGCTTGGGCTTTTGTCAATTGCCGTCTTAAATAATACACCAAATGAAGCTAGAGAATATTTTGAGATGATATATAAACTGTTTATAAACTATGCTGTACACATAGTGAAGGGTAAGATGATGTAAGAGGAGGTAGAGATTACCATGGACGATGCATTAGTCAGCTACTGCTGAATAACAAATCACCCCAGCATGGAGGGCATCCATACTAAGCACCTATTGTCAGGCTCACTGGCATTCGCACCAGTCAGAGCAGCTTTTTAGGCTGCAGGTCTATGCATCTGTGGGGCAGCTCTATGTTATCTATCTCCTTACTCTGTAACACGCACACTACCTGGAATAGCAAAAGAAAGAGCCAGTCAGACAATATTTCATCCTTCTATCCACCATGTTTGCAAATCCAATTAGCCAATGCAAGTGATATGGCTAAACTCAAAGAAGTATTCTTCACCCATCAGATGATGAAATATAGACAGATGAACAAACCCAACATTAATAGAGTGAGAATATGTCTCCTGGCATACAGATATAATAGAAGAGTAGAAGAAATGCTTGAATATTTCAACATAATCTAACCTGTCAGAAACCTTCTCAAAGGAAGTGAGGCTGCATTTTAGAGAAAGGGTACCATATTCAGATGGGTGAAAAGAGGCAAATGTGAGTGGTGTGTGTGTGTGTGTGTGTGTGTTTGCATGCCCACATGTACGCATTACAGAAAAGGAGCTATGATCTCAAATGCAAAATGTAAAATGAATGAACTGAGAAGTTTAACAAAATCACAACAGAATGCGATGGTTTCTGCCTCTTTTATGTATGTTTTCATAAGATGTAAATAAGCATATTTCTGTCTGACCAAAATATTTTCTCTCCTACATTTAAAGCAAGATGTTTTCTATTAACATTTCTTTACTGAAAATGACTATATGGAACAAAAAAAAAACTTTAAATAATCAACATACCAAGCTTGCTGCTGGCACATGTTTGCTGACACAAAGAGGACCCGTACTTCATGACCTGATCACCAGGGAAAGTTGAGATGATTCAGCAACCACATATTCCTGTCTGTAGTTTCCCCTGCACATCTTTTACTGCTTATTTATACAGTGGCTCACAATGAACCACTGAGGCCAGAAAGAACAGTTGCAGGGACTTCATTGAAATGTTCTTGTTAATTTATTTCAGATGTCAGATCAAAATTACATTTCTTATCACCGTCTCATAATGATTCCTGCACTTTCTGATCTTACAGTCCGCATTCTTAGCACCCACTTGGGGGGTGTTCTGAGCTGGAGCTGAAATGTCCTTGTGACCCAAGAAGATGGACTCACTTAAGAGCTGCACTCAGCTCTCCCCAGCCATGTGCGGTAGGTAAACCCATGAGCAAGAACAGGCAGTGCTTTCTGCTGGGTCTGGCCTGCTCCTGGGATGACCAGTTAAGTGAAGCTACCGCACAAGCACTAACAGGGCAGCGTGAGTGATGAGGACACTGTAACAGTGAGGGTCCCTGCCTACCATGCTGAGCATTCCTGCTTCTCCTGAGGCCTGATGTCAATTACCTCATGAAACAGATAGATTTCCTACTTCAGCATTTGTTGGAGTCTTAAAAATTTACTTTATTTATGTTTCATGGACACATAATAATTGTACACCTTCATGGGGGTAAACAGGGAAATTTTAATACATATGTTTTACAGTGATCAGATCAGGGTGATTTGCATCTCCATCATCTCAAATACTTATTATTTCCTTGTCAATATCCTCCCTATAGCTATTTAAAACTATATATTATTGTTAACTGTAGTCATCCTACAGTGGTATAGAACACTAGAAATTATTCCTCCCGTCTAGCTGTAATTTTGTATTCTTTAACAAATCTCTCCCTATCTCTCCCTTTCTCCAATCCTTCCCAGCCTCTAGGATCTTCTGTTCTACCTTTTACTTCTATGAGATCAGCATTTTTAAGCTTCCACGAATAAGTGAGAACATGAGGCGTTTAACTTCGTGTTCCTGGCTCGTTCTACTGAGCACGGTGTCCTCCAGTTCCAACCATTTTGCCATGAATGACAGGATTTCATTCTTTTTATGGCTGAATAGTATTCCATTGTGTATACACAAATTTTAAAGTGTATGTGTATATACATTTTCAATTCATGTATCTGCATGGATACTTCATCCATTCATGTATTATTGGACACCTGGACTGATTCTATATCTCAGCTGTTAGAACTAGTGCTAGCAGGCTCTTCAATAACCCAAAGTTCCAGGCTCCACCCAAGCGTGCTCCAGGTTCTGTTCACATCATGACAGGGAAAATTTATATCACTCTTTCCATCCACATAAAAAGGTATTATGACAAATACTTTTGAAAGACGCTTATAATTATAATGGTAATTAACATTGGATGAGGACCTATCATATTGCAGCCAGTGTTCCGAGTGCTTTCATCTGTACCAATCCTCTCATGAGCTCTATGAGGTAGGACGTACCATCCTCCATCCTCCTACCCATTTTACAGGTTCAGAAAGTAAAGTGGAGAGAGGCCAGGTGCCCGTGGGGAGGGAGTTGCCTAGGCAATGACTGGGCCAGGGCACAAGCCCAGAGACTCACAGCCATGTCTGTCTGCTCAACACAGCACTGCAGTACTAAAGACAGGGAGAGACAATTCCTCCACGAGAAACAGAAGACGGCCAGGGACTCACAGTCATGTCTGTCTGCTCAACACAGAACTGCACTTCTAAACACAGGAAGGGACAATTCCTCCATGAGAAACAGAAGACATCCAGGGACTCACAGTCATGTCCATATGCTCAACACAACACTGCACTTCTAAACACAGGAAGGGACGATTCGTCCATGAGAAAGAGAAGATTTGAAAAATTATTCAGTCTCCAAGGAGAGAAGAGTAAACTTGGTCATATATCATTTTCAATTTGTAAAATTAGAAAACAAAACAATAACAAGAAAAATAGAAAACGAATACACAGAAAAACTGCTCTGCTGGAGTTCACAAGGAGAGAGGTCATTCCGCAACCCCTTCCCCGCTGCGGATAAGTGCAATGCAAGCTTCAGAGAAAGCCCCGTCATTGTTCCTACTCACAGGCCTGGACATCTGAGCCAGCCACTTTCTCTGCACCACAGGTGACCTGGAGTTCAGCCATGATGAATGTGACCTGAGCTTCGTCTTCCTGAAAAAAAAAAAAAAAAAAAAAAAACCTTTGTTTACTGAATTCTTCTGTCCTTATCCTTTTGCTGATAGGAAAAAAAAAAGGCTTAATAATGTCTGTGTTTTCTCATGGCTCCCATAAAACTCACAGGTGACTCTTTTTTTTTTTTTTGAGACAGTCTCGCTCTGTCACCCAGGCTGGAGTGCAGTGGTGCGATCTCAGCTCACTGAAAGCTCCGCCTCCCAGATTCACGCCATTCTTCTGCCTCAGCCTCCTAAGTAGCTGGGACTACAGGTGCTCGCCACCACTCCTGGCTAATTTTAATTTTTTGTATTTTTAGTAGAGCCGGGGTTTCACCGCGTTAGCCAGGATGGTCTCAATTTCCTGACCTCGTGATCCGCCCGCCTTGGCCTTCCAAAGTGCTGGGATTACAGGTGTGAGCCACCACACCAGGCCACGGTGACGGTGACTCTTTTATTTGCCTGTGACAGGGCCAAACACAAACCATCCAACGTCTCTCTCATTTCCTGAGTGATTGGCTGAGACCAGAATTGTTTCCCTGAAACTCTAAAACTAGGTAGACACCAAGGTAAACATTGCCTCTTCAGCTAAGTGCCTGAGACTTGCCATGATTGGAAAATATTCTCAGCTGTTAGTCACTCTCTTTGTAGCTTATCTCCTTTTCCCTACAAAAGGCTAAGGCAAAACCAACCTGCTAAGGGCTCTGATCTTTGGACGAGGGATGCTGTCTCTAGTGCACTTCCCCATATAAAATCAATTTCCTTGCATGTTTGCTTTTTTTCTTTGATAAGTCTTTTTTAACAGTAAAGTAATCCTTCACCCTACATCTTCTTCTTCTGTTATTTATGGTTAAATCAAACGGTAACTGCTGCAAGCTGCTTTATGTCCTCTGTTGAAGTTGGAGTGCTATTGGATTGGTCCACTCACATTTTGCCATCACGTTCCTCCCCGCCCTCAACTCTAGTTTGTACTCTAGCATGTTGTGCGAGGTGCGGCAGGATGGAGACCCTATGTTTGCGGATTAATCATATACAGATATTCTTTGTCTCCATGCACACACACAAAAGTGTTCTCTCATTTTATAAATGCATGTCTCTTTTGGTCTCCCTTTTGAAGTTACATTAAAAAAATATGACTATAATAGTTAGCACTTAGAGATCCCTTACTCTGTGCCAGGCATAATAAGAAGTCATGGATACTTCTCTCACTGGCACACAAAGCGTCACAGGACACTGAAAAGGACACAGACTCCTCTTACAGAGAGAGGGAGCAAACAGTCTGGAACTGTAATAAAGTCTACCACACAGCCCAACCTCTGCTGTTGATCAATGCTGCCCAGCAGTGATATACTCACTCCCATTTCTATCCTGGGCCTCTTTACTTCTCCAAGCTACCATGGATTCCTAGCCACAGACTGAACAAATGTATGTACCATCACAGGCCACCTGTAACACCACGACATAATTTAAAAAAAAAAAACAAAACCAGCAAGTCTGCATGACTCAATAGGTTGAAACATTCACTGCACATATAATATGTTGGTAATAAGCTTGCTAAGCATGTATTTCAGGCATTAGTGGAGAGGGCCCCCATCATCACCTGGGGGGGGAGGGAGGGAGGGAGGGAGGGAAGGAAGGAAGGAAGGAAGGAAGGAAGGAAGGAAGGAGGAAAGGAAAGGAAGGAAAGGAAGGAAGGAAGGGAGGGAAGGAAGGAAAGGAAGGAAGGAAGGGAGGGAAGGAAGGGAGAGTGGCAGGGAGGAAGGGAAGGATATGAAGGAGGAGAGAGAAGAAAAGGAGAGAAAAGTTAGAGGAAAGAAAGGAAACAGGAAAAAAGGGGAAAAGTCAAAATTTAATTTTTCAATCTTCAATATAAAATATATATTATGAGGGGAAAATCAGAATTTATTTGACTCTGAGGCTCATGTTAGAGTTCTGATTGTTTTTTTGTTTTGAATTACATGTAAGAGTGGAGCTGTGGGGAAATGCTATACTTTTGTTTTTCTCCTGCTTAGCTGTTCATGTCATCCAAATGGAGACAATATATCCATTCTACTCTCAATACTTATTTATTTTTTCCCAAATTATTCACAGGCCAGGAGAAGCCTCAGTAGCAGTTACTGGTTCCAAAAGAAACAGCGAAGTGGGGACGAATGACCCCAACAGAAAAGGTGGTGGCTACCTTGGCAGAAACACCTGTAATGGCCATCTTGTCCCCGCCAAGTCCTTCTCCCATAAAGGGGAGAAGTGTCATTTCAGATGTCAGCTCCAGTACAGTATTGGACAGAAACACTGGATAAAGATAGAAAGGTTGGAATAACACTAGTGTGTCACTGAATTAAAACAAAACAAAACGAAACAAGACCCAGAGCCCATCACCTCTAAAATGCTTGTTACGCAATACGATAAGCTCCTACAATCTCAGCCATGTTTACATCATATTCTCTGCATGGGCAGGAGGGGACTCTGGAAGCTGAGAAGACCCTTGAGCTGTTATCCCCCCGCTCCCTGGAAATCCCATCACTTCCCTTCCCATAACCTTCTCTTGGCTGAGTTGTGCCAATCAGACTTCCCAGAAATTAAACTTTGCCAGTGAGTGGGTTGGGATTCACACGGTGACATAATGAATAATAAAATGAAGCAGATTAGGTTGAGTTAAAATAAAAATCATGCAGATATCATTAACCCAAAAGTTTAGAACATTCTGCAGGGATAGATGACCTTTTGCCTAGGTAAGTTAAAAGAATGCAGTTTAGCTTCTTCGTCATCACCCATTTCAATCAATGTCATCACCTTATACAGAGACACGTAAGTGGGAATTGGAGAAATATTCACCATCACTCATTTCGTGACTAACATGCAGGATATGGGCCGAAGATCTCAGCGTTCTGGGTTCCCCTCTGCAGATGCACTCTCATATCTTGCTTAGAGTCTCCTGCGGGACCCATCTGTCCAGCAGGTCCCACAAGTCAAGGCTCTCCTATATTTGGGTGGGTCACAGTCATGTGAAGAATGGGGAATGGCTTTCTTTTCAATGTGTTATTCACAGAAAACACAAAATGGCTAGTAAACGTCTAAGACAATGCCCAACTTCACCAGTAGTCAGATAAACACAAATTTAAATGAGATTCCATTCCATGCCTATCAGATTGTTCAAAATAACCAAGGCTGAAATCAGGAAGTGAGGATAAGAGTATAACTGCTGAAAGTTTGGCCAGGTGAGGTGACTCACACCTGTAATCCAGGCTTTGGGAGGCGGAAGTGGGCGGATCACTTGAGGTCAGGAGTGTGAGAACAGCCTGGCCAACATGGTGAAACCCTGTCTCTACTAAAAATACAAAAATTGACCAGGTGTGGTGGTGTGTGCCTGTAGTCCAGCTACTCGGGAGGCTGACACAGGAGACTCCAGGAGCTGGAAGTTGCAGTGAGCCGAGATGGCACTACTGCACTCCAGCCTGGGCAACAGAGAGAAACTCTGTCTCAAAAAAAAAAGGAACCGAAAATTCTCCACTTTGCCACTTGGCTCAATCACTTATAAGAAGCACTTGGCAATGTTTAATCATGCTGAAGACCCACGTACACGTTGACCCAGTAATTTTATTCCTAGGTATATTTAAGTGCACATAAGAAAACATGTCTGACAATGTCCACTTAGGAAAGAGCCTCAGTGCTGACCTATGTGGGTGTACCCAGTTCCCATGCAAGGAGTCTCTCAGCTAACTTCTGTTTCCTGTGGCTTGGCATTAGCTGTACAGACACTTCCAAGCTTGCTTATTTTCCACTGTCTTCTTTCCTTCTTATAATCACATGATTCTCACCTTCAGTCCTCACAATGAGCGTTCACTAAAATATTTTACATTCAGACCTTCTCTGCCTTTCTCATCCAGTGCATTGGGTCTTTGCATGCATCAGCTTTTAAAATTCTTATCACAATATTTCAGGCCTTTTGTACATTATATTCTAGTAAAACGATTCCACCCAAGGTTGTCACAATTCAGAGATTACAGCTCCGTGCAACGTTTTGTTAGAAATATATTCATATATTCACTTTGTTAGCTGTCAAACACACCCCATGAGCCTGCATTTAACATCTCATTTGATAGCATAATTCAACAAAAAGGATAAAAAGAAACGCTATGTACTTATATTATGGAATGGATTTTTACAGGCGTATTAGATAGGCACACACTGCCATGCCAAGGCAAAGCTTTCTGCACGTCTAACACCATAATCAAGGTCAAATAGGAAAAGGGAAGGAATAGAGGCGAGGAGAAAGAGGCAGTGGAATATGAGAACTCCTAATTATGTAATCCTGATTATATATTTATTTTTTATTTTTATTTTTTTTGAGATGGAGTCTTGCTCTGCCACCCAGGCTGGAGTGCAGTGGCATGATCTTGGCTCACTGCAACCTCAGCCTCCCGGGTTTAAGCAATTCTCCTGCCTCAGCCTCCCAAATAGCTAGCTGGGAGTACAGGCGCACACCGCCGTGCTCTGCTAATTTTTTGTATTTTAGTAGAGACAGGGTTTCACCGTGTTGCCCACGCTGGTCTTGACCTCCTGAGCTCAGGCAATCTGCCCGCCTCAGCCTCCCCAAGTGCTGGGATTATAGGTGTAAGCCACCGCACGTGGCCCATAATTACTTTTTCTTAAGCAATCTCTCTTATACATTCTAAAAATAATGCGGAAGTTATTCTCACAAAACAAAGGTGATAACCATCATCTGTGTTGGTTTGTCAACTTGAAAACAGCAACTCTTGACCAGATAGTTTAAGAAAATGTGTGCCCCATGCCAAATCCACAGATATTACGGTGATGTACCCAGACAGTGATTTCTGAGGGCGGGGAGCTGGAAAATCTCATTCGGACTCCTATGGCACGACAGCAGGACCCATGAGACTGTGGTAACCGGATTGGTGCCCTCTCCAGTTCCTGTCCCCATCAGCATTTGCTGCCCACCTAGAACCTCTCTCCCACTATCTACCGAAGCCATTCAGGCGGCGCTGGTCTGAACCCTGGTTCTGGGTCTAGCTACAGTGATTGGTTCAGAGTGGATGTATAATCTAAGTTATGCCACACAAAGGCAGTGATCACCCACCCTGGGACTTGTGCTGGGCCTGTCTGGGGAGAGCAGCTTTCTCCCTGCAGTGGCCAAGTCAGTAGATGGATGCCGGGAGCTGCTAGCAGGGCTATCTTGCCTCCAGGAAGGAAAGGCAGGCCTGAGAAAGAGCCAGGACAGGGAGACAGGATGTTAAAAACACTGCCTGAGCACCTGACCCCAGATTCCTAGTACCGGGCCACCCCCGAACTTCTCCACGTGCATGAGGAACTTCATTAGTGTGGCACCTAATTACATCAATTGGAGGAAGCCACCTGATAAGCCCAGAAACCAAGAGGAAGTCTCCCACTGGGGGTGCAAACTCACAGGGCCCCACACAATGCAGAGAATCCAACAGATGCCACCTGGAAAGAGAAGGCCTGACTCATGGCTGCCTACCAATCAGTCATTCTCTCACGCCTCTTCCTTAACCGCAGGACCTGCTCCCATCTATGCAGCTTAATAATGTCAAATATGCACATCCCCAGAGTCTCTCAATCTAGGACCCACTGTGTACCAGTGGGATCTAAAGAGAAGACTGGTGACAGGATTTGTGGAAAGGTTTTGTTCTTTGGTAAAATGACATAAATGAGGACATACATGCCTCTTCTTGCCTTTGGATATAAATGGGTGAGTCTGTGATGTCTGGAAGAGCTGCAGCTGTATTGTGACTATGAGGACACAAGCTGAACTATGACAGCCAATGCACTGGGCATAATGGAAGGGAAAGATAGAAACACTGGAGTAATGCTGGTGTGCGTCACTGAATTAGAAAGAACCTGGAGATGACCACTTTTGAAATGTCTGTTATGCAATACAATAAATTCCTATAATCTCAGCCACTTTTACATAATATTCTACTAACTGCAATTGAAATCATTCTAAATAACACACAAATCTCACATCCTCTCCACGTATTTGCAATTGAGATTTACAGGATGCTTAGCAAGTGTATGCAGATTTCCAAAAGCTCTGTGGGGATAAAAAGTCACCTCAAGAAGTCCTTTCTGGTAGCTGTAATGGAGTGTAACCAAGAGATTGAGATTGGATTTATCTAGTTTCGTACCTTCATCAATTGCTATCTGCCTAGAAGGCTTTGACCATTCAACCACAGTAACGTTATACTCATTGGAAGAGATCTTCAAAAGCGGGCAAAAAACAATTCCAGACAAGATTTTCTGGGGTCACCAAAAATGTGGCCCTCCCTGTCCAATTCCATTGCAAAAGGAAGTTCCAACCTAACCTACCTGCTCTCACTCACTCACTTATACTTTCATTAGAAAAAGCCTTTGTGCCTAACACTGTAAAGCTCAACTTTTTAAAGAAGTAAAGAAGAAAAAGAGAACGGGTGATAAAAACACAAGATGATCAGTACTAGTCCCCGAAGGGCCTCAGAAGGAGAGCTAAGTTTGGGTCTCACCGACAGCTATAAGGTGTCAATCTAAATAACAAACAAAGAGAGGCACTGAAGATTTTGAGTTTAATCAGGAATAGCAGGGCCTTGCAATGCAAAACATGCCTGGCAAGGCAACCATGGGTGCATTCAGGAAGACAAAGGATGACAAGGGATTTTAAAAGTAAAATGAGGATGATTACATAAGTTGTTTAAAAATAATCATCCTTGGCTACAAGAATTAATCACAAGGGTGGCGACAGCCCGAGGCAGCTGGGCAGATGCCCCTGCAGGAGCACGTTGTGTCTAAGGTTGCAGTGGCCTTGGTGCAGGGCTGTGGTTTCTGGCGGTCTCCTGAGATGGTTCTCATTATCAGGCAAATATGCATAAGGGGCTCCTCTCATGGTTTTCCCTGGCTTCATTTTGTCAGGGTTTGACAGAGTGAGTATTTTAAATCTGACAGCTTTCCCAAAAGCAAAGGAGGGACGCGTCTGGAGTTGTGCATTATACAGACCCCTTAAACAGCCCCATGCAAGACGCATGCCACTCAAAGGAAAGGTGGCAGGGGGTAAGAAGAGGGAAGAGAAGCAGAGACGGTCTAGATCAGGCTGTTACCATAGGAATGAGGGTTCCTTCTGCAAGTTGCATGTCTTCACGGAAGACTACTCAAAATGAACCCTCTCCACTTCCCACGGAAGTTCAACCCCCAAAATTCTAAGTGGCTTCTAAACTGGAGAGACGCAGACTGCTTGCCAGACATACAAAGCTCATCGGGCTTAATACTGTGAGATATGAGATGTGTTCCACCTTATCCATAGTCTATACCTCAGCTGTGGTATTTGCAAAACAATTGCAAGCAAGTGCTAAGGGGCCGTAACTCAATAGCTACCCAGGCCCTGGTTTGACACATTAAAAAGTGCATTCACCTAGGAATGGCTGAGCAGGGCTGGCACAGGAAAAGAACAGATGAGCCTGAAGACTTTTGGGGGAATGAAAAAGCAGGGAAAGACTAAAAAATGATGGAGATTTGTCAATAGGACACGAAAGCCAGCTTGAAGGTACGGCCACTGGGCAAATGCAGAACCAGTTACGCATAAAATAATGATAATCAAGGAATACAACCTGCTGAATACCGTAAGAATCCATGAGCCCATCCTGATATCGATGGATTGACTAATGATGTCTTAGTCAGTCCGGACTGCTATAGACTGAGTTGTTGAACAACAAACCTTTATTTCTCATGGTTCTGGAGATGGGATGTCCTAGATTAAGGGGCAGCTGATCACTTTCAGGTGAAGCCCTACTTCCTGTCCTGCAGAAGGCCAGCTTCTCACCACGCCCTCACAAGGCAGAGAGAATGAGCAATCTTTCTGGTGTTTCTTCTTATAAGGACATTGATCCCCTCACGAGGGCTCTGTCCTCAGGACCTCCTCTAAACCCGACAGCCTTTTAAAGGCCCCAACTCCAAATACCATTGCACTGGGCTTGAGGCCTTCAACACACAAATTTGGGGGGAACAGAAACATTCAGTCCATTACAGAGAGATAAACGGTCAATAAATACATGGAGAGAAGGGAAAGATTTTCCCTGTTGCAGAAATCAAGTAACATTATTCTGATGAATGCTGAAGCAATGGTGGAGTTAGAAGTTCACCATGTATCAAGCATTAAATTTCAGTCCAAAAGATTCATCTATGGATTTGAAAATGATTTAATTTTCAAATTCACTCTTGTGACTCTTCACAGGATATTTATTTATTTTTTGTTTGGGAACAGGGTCTCATTCTGTGTCACCCAGGCTGGAGTGCAGTGGTGTGACCATGGCTCACTCCAGTTTCAACCTCCTGGGCTCCAGTGATCCTCTCACCTCAGCCACTCAAGTAGCTGGGGCCACAGGTATGTGCCTCTCATTGGATAATTTGTAAATTTTTGTAGAGATAGGATCTCACCATGTTGCCCAACCTGGTCTCAAACTCCTGGGATCAAGCAGTCCTCCCATCTTGGCATCCCAAAGTGCTAGGATTACAGGTATGAGCCATTATGCCTGGCCGTGGATGTTTAAATGGTCTGAAAGCATCTCCTCAAAAGATACATATTGATGACAAAGAATACATGCTAACCTGATAGTGGATAAACCTGGCACTCACTGCCTTAACCAAATGACCAAGGTGAACATCTCTGGAGACAGGACTGTTTACAGCATTCACAAATGGAAAAATACTATAAGCATTGTTTTATACTTCACTTTTTTTTTTGAGACAGGGTTTCACTCTGTCACCCAGGCTGGAGTGCAGTGGCGCAATCATAGCTCATTGCAGCCGTGATCTCCCGGGCTCAAGTGATCCTCCCACCTCAGCCTCCCAAGTAGCTGGGATTACAGGTGCACACCACCATAGCAGTGATCCTCCGGCCTTGGCCTGGAGTAGAGATGGGGTCTCCCTGTGTTGCCCATTCTGGCCTCAAACTCCTGGGCTCCAGTGATCCTCCCACCTTGGCCTCCCAAAGTGCTGGGATTGCAGGCATGAGCCACAGTGCCCAGCCTTGCTTCACTTTTTTAACTTGGCCATACATCTTAATTATTCTTAGATAATTGTTCCTTGGAGATTGTTGTATCTCAGCAAATGCAGAGCTACTTCATTCTTTCTAGTGGCTGTATACTACCTCCTAGTATGGATGGTACACAATTTTTGTTTGATTTTTTAAATTACATTTATTTAACTTGAACAATGTAATGTTTACACACACACACGTTGTGAAATAATTACTCCACTCAAGTTAAGTGACATATTGACATATTCATTGCCTTATGAAGTTACCATTTTTTCTTTGTTATGAGAACACTTAAGATGTACTCTTTTAGCAAATTTCAAGTTTGCAAATAGAGTATAACTACCTATACATAGTTGCCATACTGAACATACTAGAATGTATTCATCATACAGACTTGAAATTTTTCATCCTTTAACCAAATCAACCCAGTTCTTCCCTGCACTTGACCTAGTAGCAATCATTCTACTCTTACTATGAGTTAGACTTTCATAGGCGCCACCTATAAGTGAGCTCCTTCAGTGTCTTTCTGTTTCTGACTTATCTCACTTAGCAAAATGTCCTGCAGCTTCCATGTTTTATAAATGGCAGGATTTTCTTCTTTTTAAAGGCGGAATAATATTCTGTGTGTGTGTTGAGGGTGGTGGTGGTTGTGTGCGGGTAACAGAGAGAGAGAAGGGGGGAGTTGATTGTAATAAAAGAGTTACATTTGTGGAATATGGGTGAAGAGAAACTGAGAATTCTTTGTACTATTCTGATAACATTTGTAGGTCTCTAATTGTATCAATAAGTTGTATATAATATATAATATCTTTGTAAACAGATATTATATTTAATCTATAAATATATAACATCTATGTAAATATATATTATATATAAAACCTGTATATTAATGATATATATCTATGTAATTAGATATTACATATAACTGAGATATATATATATACATATATATGAGACTTTCTCCTGCCTTTTACAGCATTTCTATCTTTCCCCATGTTAACTCTTAGCTGTTTCCTGTGGAAAATAAAAAGCAATATAATGACATAATAATGCTGGTGGTGCATAGGAAGAAGCTGTGTGGCTGAAGCTTGCCCAAGAGCAGAGGGCCTGCATCTCCTATTACACCGGAAGCACCGATTTCCCAGAACAGACACCTGGTGTTGACAGGGATCTTGCATCCTACACCCACTCCCAGCACCTGAGGCTCTTCCTGCTCACCTGCTTGGTGTCTGGGGGATGGTCCCCAGAGGTGAGGGTGGCGCTTGTCCCATGCCACCTTTATCTCTTTCCTGCTGGACTGACCACTGGTCTTGGGTGCTGATTCTCAGGATCATTACCTTCTTACTTGCTGCTGCCATAATTCTGTTGGATGGAAAAACACACACGTATGTCTATATGTACGTGTGCATGTATATATATACAGACACACCTCTGAGTTTACTTTCATTTTTATTTTGTTCCTTCTACTCTCAAAATATAATAGCATCATATATAAAAATGTATATATACACACACATACCATACACACATACATATGAGGCCACATGAACATACATGCATACAAGTAGGTAATACAATTATTTTTATATTTCTTTGTATGTGCATGCATATGTGTATGTATATATGTATGTGTACACACACGCACACACACACACACACACACACACACACATATATATATATGAATATATATGAAATGAGATAGAGAGAGTGTATGCACCGTTGGGCCAGTCCCCAAGGAAAAAGATACGAACCTCTACCTTTCCCTTTGGGGAGTTGTGGTAAGGATTTTTGTCAGTGCTTTTCCTTTAAAAAGCATCTTGTAGCCCCATCATTTTTCCAAGGTCATGAATTTTCTATTTACAAATATTGATTGGGAAGAAGGTCACTTTCTGCTTCAGGGGCTCCGGTGTGACATAAAACTCAAACTCAACCCATCCAGGATGCGTTGGTGTGATCTGAGCCCTAGGGGGAGTCCCTGGGTGCTGCAAGGCAGAGCTGGGGACGCCGCACATCCTTTGTCAGTTCAGGGGCTATGACAGTCAGAGGAAGCGGGCACATGCTGAGCACACAGGTAAGGAAGATGAGGGTGACCACACACTTGAAAGAAACACAAACAGTGTTGTGGGATAATGTGGACGGTTGATGCTTGGGTATAAAGTGTGCAGACCTCCCTCCTGTGAGGAAGAGCCAAGAAGGCAGGTCCTTCTGCCATAAAGAAGTGACACCGCCAGAGCTCAAAGTCCGTGCATGTGGCACTTAGTACCTGATCCTAAAAATATGGCCCCTGGGTTATGACAGAGGCCTCCTGGTTACTGCAGGGATTCCACGGGCAGCCTGAGGACCTGCCCCAATGCTGTGGATGTGTCTGGAGAACCATCAGGATGATGGCAGGGCTGTGGAATACCCACGGCTTGCTGTGCCTTAATTATATGGAAGTCATACCCCAATGACATGCCTGGACTTTCAGAGGCATAAATCAAAACCGCAGAGGTCGGCATGGTTTTGGCTGCAAAGGAGATCAATTCCCTTCTGCTTCCCAGAGGCCTGTGTACCAGTGAGAAATGTCCTGTGAGGCTCTGGGCACCTCTGCGTTTATTTTAATTATTATTTTGTTCCTCTTACTACCAAAATATAATAGCATCATTCTCTGTGTACTTGCAGACAGAGTCCACTGAAGGCAGGTGGCGATGCCTCCCTACAAGCTGCCCTTCTGGCTGTATTTTTCAAATCCACACAGAGAGCACTGAGGTGGGTGAAATGTTCTTTGGAGCTTGCAAAGGCAGAATGTTTCTGCCTAAGGATGGTTTTCAAAGTATTTAACAAATGGCGTGGCGGGCACAGAGCTGAGAGCTGGTTCTAGATCCACCTGCTGTGCTAGCCACTGACACTTCTGCTGATGGCCTTGCAGAGTTGGGTGCAGGTATCCCAGAAGTGGAGCCCCACAAGGAGACGGAGATGATTGGATGACACGGCAGGGCACCTGGGGCAGCAGCTGCCACCCATCGTCCACGTGCCATAAAGAAGTGAAACTGCCAGAACTCAAAGTCTGTGCACATGGCACTTAGTACCTGATTCTAAAAATATGGCCCCTGGGTTATGACAGAGGCGTCTGGTTACTGCGGGGATTCCACGGGCAGCCTGAGGACCCGCCCCAGTGCTGTGGATGTGTCTGGAGAACCATCAGATCGTCCACGTGCACTTCCGGGGTGTGTCACCTGAGGGAGGTTATTGCATTTGAGTAGAGGTGGGGGACAGCCCAGGATGATTTCTAGGTGTTGGCAGGGTTGTT
The DNA here is from genome assembly GCF_000001405.40 of Homo sapiens. Lineage (NCBI taxonomy): Eukaryota > Metazoa > Chordata > Mammalia > Primates > Hominidae > Homo > Homo sapiens. The sequence goes on along the minus strand of NC_000012.12, from coordinate 127,495,145 downwards.
GTCTACATGATGCCAAATATGCCTTCCAGCTATCTGCTGCTCAAGTCTCAATTCTGCACCTGCCTCTTTATTCTTTCTAGATCCCAAATAAAAGTGCATCCCAGTAGCCACGCAGGGGCTTGCCTTCCTGGGGCATCTTGGTTTTCTCTCCTGAAACTTTACTGGCTCATGTTCTCCATCCCGACCTTTAACATCCACCCCTCAACATATACCCTAGCACTTTACTTAGGTCTAAAAGCTCAAGCACAACTGCTCTTTCCTTCCATCTTCACAACAACATTTCTGCTTCTTATGCTTTCCTAGAGAACAGTCACCCCTCCCTGCCCCAGGAAACTCCAAGGCAAAAGACAGATGAATCTCAGGAAGAAAAATTGGCTGCCGTAGCGACTTGGAACATATGGAATTCTGACACTTTGGCTGGGCAAATTTTCCAGGAAAGAGGGACACTCCAGAAATCACACCCTCTTTCCTAGTGGCTGGTTGCATCTAGAATTCCAAGGATAAATTCCTCCCAAAGAGTGATGCTCAGACAGGAACATCATTTGGAAAGAGCGCAGCGCGGACAGACCTTCGTGTGTACCAAGGAGCCCACGTCTATGTGGGAGAGTCATTCATCAGCTACCGCAGCACTGACCCACTTTTGGATTTTTTGAAAAATAACTTTTCTATGTTTTCTTCTTATTATTAATCCATTCCAGCAAGTCTCAACATCAAGTTATTTTTAATAAAATGCAGCATTATTTCATCACTCACCATTCAATAGTACAAAAATCAGACACATATCCATTAGAATGGCAGAAAAGAAACTAAAAAAGCAGAAAATATTGAGTGCTGGCAAAGATCTGAGAGAAATCACAAATATTGTCATTGGGAGGTTAATTGGTACATTCACCAAAACGTCTACTAAAGTTGAATTGAGGTTTATCCCATGTGACAGATAGAATACTGGCCCTCCAATGATGTTCACATTGTACCCGAAGCCTGGGAGTATGTCATCTTCCAGGGTACAAGGTCTCTGCAAAAGTGACTAGCTAAGGACCTTGAGATGGCAGATGATCCTAGATTATCTTATTGAGCTCAATGTCATAACAAGCGTCCTTGTAAAAGGGAAGCAGGAGGACCTAAGTCAGAATAAGGGGAGGTGATGACAAAAGAGATGAGAACAATGCACTTTGATGGTGGAGGAAGGGGCCAGGAGCCAAGGAATGTGGACATCGCTAGAAGCTGGAAATGACAAGGAAACACAGTCCCTTAGTACCAAAAGGAAGCAGCCCCCACTGAACTTTGTTTTTCACCCTGTAAAGCTGAAGTTCTGGCCTCCAGAACTGTAAGGTAATACATTTGTGTTATTTTAAGTTACAAAGTATGTAGTAATTTGTTACAGTAGCAATAAGAAAGTAATATGCCCTCTGACTCAGAAGTTCAAACTCCTAAATCTGAAACAAACAAAACAAAACAAAACAAAAAACCCCAAAACTATATCCAAGAGAAATGCATGCAGGTGTTCACCCAAAGACAGCCACAAGCATGTTTGCAGCAGGACTGCCATAATAGCCCAAACAGGAAATGACTCCAGATGCCTGTAAACAATACAACAAATAAATTCAATATGGTACAGTCATATAATTGCATATGTTTAGGAATAAGAATGGCCAAACCTACAGCTATGCACAATAGCACAGATGATACTCCTAACATCTTGTTGCAAGAGGGAAGTGATAAGTTTTTGCTGTGTCCCCACCAAAATCTCATCTTGAATTGTAGTTCCCCCAGGTGTGGTAGAAAGAACCCGGTAGGAGGTAACTGAATCATGGGGGCGGTTACCCTCATGCTGTTCTCGTGATAGTGAGTGAGTTCTCACGAGAGCTGATGATTTTATAAGGGGCTCTTCCCTGGCTTCACTCTGCACTTCTTGCTACCACCATGTGAAGAATGACGTGTTTGCTTCCCCTTCCACTATGATTATAAGTTTCCTGAGGCCTCCCAGCCATGCTGAACTGAGTCAATTAAACCTCTTCCCTTCCTACATTTTTCAGTCTTGGTTATGTCTTTATTAGCAGCGTGAGAACAGACTAATACAGGAAGTCAGACACAGACGAGAACAAAGTAACCTCTAAAGCCAGCAGAGCTATGCCATGGTGTTGGAGTCGGTACCATGTTACCCTAAGAGGGAGGGTCATAAATAGACATAGTCATGAGGAATGAGTCTGGTGTTCTAGTAATATTCAATTTCTTGCTCTGAGTGTATCAGTTTGTGAAAATTCATCACACTGTACACATATGTGCACTTTTCTCTATGTTATAATATAAATTCACTTTTTGCATATATTTCAGGATTCGGTAAAAAGTTTACAAAAACAGACACCATATTTTAATACAGATTCAAGTCAAAGACGCAGGTCACTGTGGCTGCATCTCTATGCAGGCTCAGTGGGAAGCCTGGTGGTCAGGTGCAATGACACTATTTGAATCCCTGAAGGGTCTCTTCCCTTCACATCCCATTATCCCTTATGTCTAAAGCTACACTGTTGAATTTTGGGTTTCAGGGTATCCTGGAAACATTGAACTTGTCTATGATGGAGGAGGGGGCTGCTTAGCAGAGCCTCAGAACCCAGGTGGGCATCCCTGTTTTGGAACCAAATATGGGCATCCTGTTGGCTGTCAATGAGAGGTGGGTCTCCCCAGAGAATAAGGAGAAGGACATCAGCCAAACCACAGTCTTCCCAGCTCCCTGACAATGGTGATAAGAGAGTGAGGGGCTCAGAGACTCAGAGAGTCTGCACTGCATAATCCCCTCCTCTTATTCCAAGACAACAACACTTTTATTTAGCTTGGTGGCAAGCAAAGAAACAAAACCAACAACTCACTTTGTGAGGATGCATCTGAATTTTTCTGCCCGATCTTTGGACCACGAGTGCTTGAAGTGCCTTCAGCCTTTGTTGTGTGTTTTGCACTCAATGAGTAAGTCCAGTCTTTGTTTGCCTTGGGAAGAGAAGGGAGGAAGAAGACCACCAGTTAGAACCTTGAAAGAAGCAATGTGAAAGGGCTTTCCACTCATTCCCAACATTTAAAGAGTTCCCTGAGTGTCCAGTGTTGTACATGTGGCACTTGGGAATATGCAGAGGAACAGGCTCTCTCTAGACCAGTGGGTCTCAGATTGATCTTGCCACAGGCCATGAGCATGGATCACCTTCCCTAAGTTCCTGCTTTGCAGGAGAAAAAGAGCTTCCTAACAAAAGTCCACTGAGCAACTCCTACATGGTAAGTACCAGTCTAAGCACCACACATTTATTGGTTGATTTAATCTTTACAACACACCTTAACTTCTCTGAATCTCAATTTCCTTGCATTTAAATGGGAATGATGACAATGTCAACTCCAAAAAGTTTTTGTAATGAGACAAAAATAAAGTACAGAAAGTGCCTAGAAGAGGGATTGGTACATTTTAGGTTCTCAGGAAATTATAGCTAATATTTTTATTGCTCTAAAAACTAAATGCTGTATATAATCCAGAGACGATACACGCAGTCTCAGCCTTCTTCTCTCTGTGAGTGTCCTTTGGAGCTGCTCCGACTCCAGCAGGATCACAGCCACCTCTTCCCTCTGGAGCTGATGAATCCGATGCGACTCTTCAGTTCTGGAAGAAAAGTCCTTTAACTTCAGGAAGAGCACATTCTCTATTGGCTGAAGTAAATTATTTTAAATCCTTTTTCCCCCCATAAAGACTTCTGTAGAATGGCTTCCGTAGAATTGCCTTAGATGTTTTGTTTGTTTATTTGTTTTTGAGTCATTCTTGTAGCATTTATGTTTCTTGGTGTGACTGGACTTTTCTTGCCAGACATCTCTCTACAATCACTTCTGTATGGGTTGAAAAGAATACTTGATTTCCCTCTTAAGCATGCATTTGATTGGTTTAAGTCACTGGTTCTCAACTGGAGGCAACTTGGCATGCCCCAGGCATTTAGCAATGTCTGGAGACAATTTTGATTGTTACAACTGGGGGGCTGCAACAGGCATCGAGTGAGTAGAGGCCGGGAGTGCTGATAAACAAACTACAATACACAGGTCAGCCCCTGCGCAAAGATCTATTTGTCCTCAAGTATCAATGTCATGAGGTGGAGAACTGCTCGAGTGAACAACCTACTCTTAACCCTTTAAGTGAACAGTACATTACCATCTACTAGACACATTTTCTCAGAACCTATTTGGAATATTTTCTGTACAGCCTCTTGCCAACTGCATTGTGTTTTCATCTACCTGGAACCCCCACCCACCCTGTCTATACTGGCATGATTCATTCACTCGTCTCCTCCAGATCGTTGGGCAAGTGGTGCTTTCTCCATGAGGCCGCTCCTCCCCACTCTCCATCATTTCTGTCCTCCGTTCATGGTCTAGTTCTCTCTTCAGTGCTCTGCAATAACATTCAGCACAATTTTACTCTCCTTTTTTCTTATCTCTGGTGCGTAGGTCCCCCCCGGTGCTGAGAAATGTGCCTGGCTCAAGAAGAACTTAATACATATTGTTTTAATGATGATCTAGGAGATGGCAGTGCTCTCTGGACACCTTGCGAGTCTGCAGCTAGAGTGACAAACTGTACCGGGTTTCAGAGGACTAAGGAGTTTCTTCATATGCAGGATTTTCAAGTCTAAAATACGACAGTACCAGGCAAACCACATGAGTAAGTCACTCTAAGGACTCTAAGTGTTAAGGCTCAGCAAGAGACTACTAACAACCACCAAGACTGGGGCAGGGAAGGCACGAAAATGCTGCCTACCAGAGGCCATCACACCTTCAAGCATAGCAGAATAATTTGGCAAGCTGGTTGTATTAGTCAGGTTCTCTAGAGGGACAGAATTTATATATATATAATATTATATTATAATATTATACATATAATATATATTATATGTATATTATAATATTATATATATAATATATATGTATAATGTGTATACATATATATACACATATATATGTATCTCCTAGCCTCCCAGCCTACATCTTTCTCCTGTGCTGGATGCTTTCTGCCCTCAAACATTGGACTCCAAGTTCTTCAGTTTTGGGACTCAGACTGGCTCTCCTTGCTCCTCAACTTGCAGACAGCCTATTGTGGGACCCTGTGACTGTACAAGTTAATACTTAACAAAAGTGCCTATATATATTGCTTGCATTATATATATTATATATATATATATACACAATAATATATATGTTATATCCTATGTTATATATAATTATATATTATATATAACATATAAGGAGAGTAAAATTGTGCTGAATGTTATTGCTGAGCACTAAAGAAATAGACCATGAATTACATATTATATATTTACAATATATAATTATATATTATAATATATATTCATATATAATAGATTATATATGAATATATATTATAATATATAATTATATATTATAATATATAAATATATAAATATATATAAATATAATATATAAATATAAAATATATAAATATATATATAAATATAATATATAAATATAAAATATATAAATATATTATATAATATAAAATATATATAATATAATATATAATATATAAATATATTATATAATAGGATATAACATATATATATTATTGTAGCAGGACGAGCCACAGACAAAACCCCTCAGACACTGGGTTAAAGAAGGAAGAGGCTTTATTCAGCCAGGAGTATCAGCGACTTGTTTCTCAAGAATGGAGCTCCCTGAAGGAAGAGTTCCTGACCCTTTTAAAGGCTCACAACCCTAAGGGGTCCAGGTGACAGGGTCGTAATAGATTGAGCAAGCATGGGGTACGAGACTACGTCCACATATGTTAGTATTAGCGGTGGGGATAAGCAATGCAAGTATGTCTCCATACCATTGTCTGTGATCTATAGATAGCACAAGCGATTAGGGTGGGGGTTAATCTTTAACCTACAGGCCTGGCCAGTGGCACCGATCAGTCTGTTGTTTTTCAGCTTTTACTTCCTCCTTCTCTTTGGAGACAGGGGACAGTAGGAGAAATAGCCTCTCTCCTCATTCTCCCCTTTGAGACCCTCACTCAGTAGTGGGAGTTCTCACTCTCATCCTCACTATCTAGATCTTCCTGTGAGACAGATCGATAGTGATTCATGTAATACACTTGTGCTGAGGTCTTTTGATGAACTAAGGTAGTAACAAAACCTTTTAGTAACTGGACAAATATGGGTTACATACAGAGGAGTAACATGCAGGTTCCTAACACTATTATTATTACCATTATAAGAGTTTTAAATCCTCCTAGAGCTGGAAATCATTTTCCAATCAGGGATCCAGGATCAAACCCATGTGAAACCTGCATGGGCACATGTGACAGCTTTGTCATGTCTCTAACTATATTTTTGACTACTTGTCTTTGATCATCTATTTGCTGACAGCAATTGGTCAAATTGAATTTTTCATACTCCTCCTTCAGCTGCCAGCAAACAGTCTAAGGCCAATCTATTCTGATAGATGGCATTTCTCATTTGGGTTTCCTGCCAGGCTAAAAAAGAGTCAAAGCTCTGCCAGTTTCACTAGTGATTATTTTTAAGATGGCCTGTAACCGTATGATCCAGTTGAGCATGTAGAAGGGGGTTTGGCATCCCCACAAGCTGTCTTGTGCCCATGTGACAGTCCTGTAGTACTGTATGATTCTTTTGGGGGGCCACTCATCATCTTTCCAATTTCCTATAGCTATGCTCCTCTTTTCTCAGGAGGCATGCACAGGGAAACCTAGGAGCTCACCTTTTTTTACAGGCAGTAGGAAAAAGATGGCTTAATGGTGCCAATGACACAAATACCTGCCCATTGGTCAGGTAACTTGGTGTAGACTCTATGTCCACATATCCAGTATAGTCCAGCGGGAGCCGTCCAGTCTCAATGAGATTCTGGATGGGCCCGAACAGTCTGTAACTTGAGAAATTTACTGAATGGACTCTTTTCAGTGCAATTGAGACCCCACCAGGTGACTGTCCCTGCCGTGCTGTTATATAGCTTTTGTCCTAGGCAATTGAGCCTTCCCACAGGGATGGTGAAGTCCTTCCCCTCTCTACCTATGCAGTATTCTCCAATAATCGAGGTTTTCAAGACCCAGAAGTTGCTAGTTTGGGCCTTTGGGACTGGAATTGTGTCAGGAACTGGATCAGTAAGTGCCAATTCTCAGGCTTCCCAAGGCCATTGGTCTCCGGTAGTGGTTCCCTGACATACATAACAGGAAGTAACATTGAGGGAATGAACTACATTTTCTGCTAGCTGGAGAAACAAGTTCTTTGTCTCTTTTTTCCTTTTTTGGAAGCTCTGGTGCTGGCAGATTCAGCTCCTCATAAAAGGTCTGAAACACTGGTTTGGGAGACCGCCTGTGGACCTCCCCTTGGACTAAAATATTTACTCAGGGATCCTGTCCAGTTCCATCTATTCCTAGAGTTACATACTCTCCTGTTTTCTAACGGGGATCAAGGAGATTGGTAATTACTAGTTCTAATGGATTACAGTGACCACTAGTGCAGGAAGAGTTACTCTTTCCTTTTTGAAGGCAGACAGGGTCCTTCTCATCCTTTTTTCAGGTGGCCTAAATGACACAGGACCAGTAACTACATTCATCATTACACAGTCCTAATTCATGACAAACATACTTATTTTCTACTGTATGGCTCCTTTCCCAATCTAGAGAGCCGCATCTTATTCTATTTCTATACAGGTTACTGTTGATTGCTGCACAGGTGTCAACTTTTAAGATAATTTGTTTGGGGACTCCCTTTTCTTCTGTTCTAGTTATTATTTTACTCTTATTGGCTTTTCTCCAGTTGCCAGTCCTCAACCTTATTTCAAACACTGTGGTCATGGGGTGTTCAGATGGATCATAACGAATACTAGGTTGTCCATCTTCTGGACTGCATACCTTATACTGGGTGTCATTATATAAACAAGTTCCTTTTAGAGTTCCTGTGTATTCATAATAACTATAAAACAGAAAGACTGTTTTAACCTTTTGCCCTACCTCAGTAACTTGATGCATACACTGGGAACAGTCCTCAGTCTGAAGAAGGTCAGTTGAAGTCCTTACTGTACAAATCCAGAATTTAAGGAAAATGAGTTCCAGGATGAGTTTCCTCATGCTTTGGCCATGCGTGGACCAGTTAGCTTCTGGGTGTGACTGGAACAGGGCTTGTCGTCTTCTTCAAAGTTACTTTTTTGCAGGCGTTGTACGGGCTTGGTCTCGCCTCCCAGGTCTCAGGTGCTGCAGGTTTTACGTGGCTGTGGTGGATCCAGGCTGGGATTCCCTCTACCTTTATGGCTGTGGGAGTGGTCAAGACGACGGTCTGGGGTCCTTTCCACCGTGGCTGCAAGGGGGCTACGTTCGAATCCTTGATCCACACCCGATCACCTGGGGAGAAAGGGTGAACTGGGGAGAGTAAGCTGATGGGGCACCTCTCACTTACCCAGGCTGAAATTTTTTGTTGTTATCTTCCCTAAAGCCTGTAGCTATCACTGTAACTCAATTTCACCTAGCTCTTGCGGAGTGCCTGGGAGTCCCTGTAGTGTGGGAGGGGGCTATGATATAATATTTCATAAGGGGAATATCCTGTTCTTTTAGAAAGGGTACATCTAATCTTAAACAATACCACAGGGAGAGCTTGTACCCACTTTAATCCTGTTTCTTGACACACTTTCCCTAAACTATTTTTGATAGTCCGATTCATCCGGTCCACCTTTCCAGAACTTTGTGGTCGATAGGTGGTATGTAGTTTCCATGTGATCCCCTATACCATTGCTGTCTTCTGTACCAAGTCAGCCACAAATGCCGGCCCGTTGTCTGAGCCAATTGGTAAGGGCAGTCCAAACCTAGGAATGAGATCACAGAGAAGCACATGGGTTACTTCATGAGCTTTCTCAGTTCGTGTTGGATAGGCCTCCACCCACCCAGAGTATGTACACGCTAGAACTAGCAAATACTTGTTACCTCCACATTTGGGCGTCTTGGTGAAGTCTACTTGGAGATCTTCAAAGGGGGCTGCTCCACAAGCCTGTATGCTGGGCAGGACTTTTGGACCTTGCCTAGCATTGTGCTGCCAGCAGGTGACACACTGCTGCGCCACTGTTTTGGCAAGGGCTGACAGATGTGAGATGTAGAAGTACCAGCCTAACAACTTTTCAAATGACTCTTCGCCTAGGTGGGTGGTCTTATGCAAGCCAGTACAATTGCAGCCCCTAGCAGCTGTGACACAGCTATTCTTCCATCCAATAACTGGATCCATCCCTCTTTTATAACCTGTCCTCCCTCTGCCTGGAGAAAGTCCTTCTCTTCTTTAGAATAAGTAGGCACAAGGTCAGGTGACTGAAGGAGCAGGGGGGCTGTGACTAACACCCAGTACGGGGTGGATGCTGCCTTTCGAGCCTCTGAGTCAGCTTGGGAGTTCCCCAAGGCAATCGAGGTGGAAGCTCACTGGTGTCCTCTGCAGTGCATGACTGCCACCCTTTGGGGCTCCCATACTGCCTCTAATAATTGCAAGATCTCTTGCTGATACTTTATGTCTTTTCCCCCAGAGTTCAACAGGCCTTTTTCCTTGTATAATGCCCCATGCATTTGGAGGGTTAAAAAGGCATACCGAGAGTTAGTGTAAATGTTTACAGTCTTACCTTCACTTAGCTCTAAGGCCTGAATTAAAGCAATGAGTTCGGCCTTCTGGGCTGAAGTGCCCTGGGGTAACGATTTGGCTTCAGTGACAGTGTCTAGGGTTACCGCTGCATATGCCACACACCTCTCTCCTTATGGGTTGACGAAGCTGCTCCTGTCCATGTACAGCTCCCAGTCTACTTATGTCCAAGGATGGTCTCGGATGTCAGGCCTGCTAGAATAAACTAAGTCCATCACCTCTACACAGTTATGTTCAACTGGGCTCTCTGATACCGGGAGCAAGGTGGCAGGGTTCAGGGTGTTGCAAACTTCAATGGTTATGTGGGGATTCTCACAGAGCAAGCTTTGGTATCTAGTTGGTCTAGCATTCGTTAGCCATTGATGTCCTTTGGTATTCATTAAAGTCACCACAGCATGGGGGGCCTTTATAGTTAGGTTTTGCCCAAGAGTTAGCTTATCCGCTTCTTGTGCTAGCTGGGTTGTTGCTGCCAAGGTCCTTAAAGATGCAGGCCAATGCTTAGAAACCCCGTCTAGTTGTTTGGAGTGGTAGGCCACTGGCCTCGACCAGGGCCCCACAGTCTGGGTCAAAACTCCAAACACCATTTTTTCTCTCTTTGACACATACAGTGTAAAAGGTTTCGTCAGGTCAGGTAGCCGCAGGGCTGGGACCAACATGAGATTTTCTTTTAACTCATGAAAAGCTCACTGCTGTCAGGACCCCCATTTGAAAGGTTCCTTGTCTCCCCGCTTTGTGACTCCGTATAGGCCCTTAGCCAATACTGCAAAGTTTGGGATCCACAACCTGCAGAACCCTACAGCTCCTAAGAATTCTTTCACCTGCCTTCTGGTCTTAGGCTCCAGCAGGTTGCAAATGACTTGCTTTCTTTCTGATCCCAGGCTGCACTCTCCCTGTCAGATAGTAAATCCCAGGTAACATACTTGCTGTTTGCAGATCTGAGCTTTCTTCTTGGACACCTTATACCCACAGTCCTCCAGGTGCCAGAGCAGGGTATCTGTTCCCTTGGCACACCCGAATGCCGTGGGGTGTCCCAGCAGGGGGTCATCGATGTACTGGAGCAGCACGCAGCCTAGGTCTCTGCTGGGAAACTTCTGGAGGTCTTGAGCCAGTGCCTCCCCAAAGATGGTGAGGGAGTTCTTGAACCCTTGGCGGAGTCAGGTCCAAGTGTACTGAGTGGTGACACCTGACCCCGGATCCTCCCACTGAAAGGCAAACAGTTTTTGGCTCTCAGGGGCTAGTCTGATGCTAAAGAAAGCATCTTTCAAGTCCAAGCAGGTGGACCGGCTGTCTTCGGCTGGCAGCAAACCCAACAACATGTACGGGTTAGGTACTGTTGGGTGCAAAGTCACTGTAGCTTGGTTGACCATGCAGAAACCCTGTACCAGCCTGTAGTCCTTGGTCCCTGGCTTGGGAACAGGTAGGAGGGGAGCGTTCCATGGAGACTGACAAGGGACTATAATTCCAAAGGCCCTCAGGCCCTTGAGATGGACCTGGACGCCTTCAAGGGCTTCTCTGGGAACTGGGTACTGCTTTTGCCTGACTGGCTGGGACCCAGGCTTAACTTCTATGAGTACTGGGGCCTGGTTGACAGCCAGCCCTAGAGGGTTGTCTTCCGCCCACACCTTTGGCCACTACTTAGCCAGGGCTGGTCCTATCTATTGGCCTGGCTCAGTTAAGAAGAGTCTCCATTCCTCTTCCAGAGGAACCATAAGGGCCATGATGACTCCCGTTCCAGGTAAATTTAGCTGTAAAGAGCCATGCTTTGTAAAATAGATAGTGGCTCTCAGCTTGCTAAGTAGGTCCCTTCCAGTAAAGACAAGGGGCACTCAGGCATGTACAGGAACTCGTAAATTACCTCATGCCCCGCTACAGTGCAGGTCCAGGGCAAACAGAAAGCTTGCTTTGCCAAAACCCCTGTGGCTCCGATTATATCAATAGTCTTTTTGGATAAGGGTGTGAGTGGGGTGGTTACTACTGAATGTTCAGCACCAGTATCAACAAGAAACTCAATGTCCTTGCCCCCCGACTGTCATCCTGACCATGGGCTCTTTGGGGCACATGAGTCTGATCCCCCTCAGTCCAGTAACCCTTCTGCCAGATTGAACAAGGCCCCTTCATCCTTGTCTGAGGCCTCCTGCTCAGAGTCACCCTGTTTCCCTTTCAGCTGGGGGCACTTGCCTTCCAATGTCCTATTTCCTTACAGTAAGCACACTGGTTACTCTGCAAGCATGGACGGCCAGACTGGTATTTTTCCCGGGCCCCCCCTTCTCTCGCCCTTCGGGGGCACCCCTTTAATAGCTGCGGCTAGCAGTTCGGCGTTTCACCGGACTTAGCGTTCACTCTCGCTGCGGTTCTGTGGCTTACTGCATCTCTTTTCACAAACACCTGGTTGGCTATCTCCAATAACTATGAAGTATTCATGCCTGCAAACTCAGCCTGTTTCTGTAGTTTTCTTCTAAGGTCTTCTGCACTTTGACTAACTAAAGCCATGTTAATCATGTGCTGATTTTCAGGGCTTTCAGGGTCAAAGCAGGTATACATAAGATAGGCCTCACATAGTCTCTAATAGAATTGTGCCGGGCTCTCACCTTTCCCTTGAATGACCTCAGAGACCTTGTTAATGTTTGTGGCCTTCTGAGATCCCCTCTTTAACCCTTCCAGGAGGGATTCCCTGTACCGGTTTAGCCTTTGCATAACCTGTCTTTCATTTGGGTCCCACTGGAGGTCTGTTCCTCGTAATTGGATCCTCACATACTCTTGGGGGTTTTGGTAATCAGCTGGAACATGTTCCTCTAGCCACTGAGTTGCTGCTTGGAGAACCCTTCACCTTTCATCCATGTTAAAGAGAGGTACGTGAGCAACTGGTGGCAATAGCCCAAGTAGGGTTGTGGGTCTGGATAATAGTTGGGAGCAAATCAATCATAGCTTGAGGCTTTTTGGTATAGGATGGGGTATTGTTTTTCCAATTGAGGAGATCGGCAGAGGTGAAGGGTTGATGGGATGGGGTATTGTTTTTCCAGTTGAAGAGATCGGCAGAGGTGAAGGGTTGATACACGAAGGCACCACCATATGCCCGTCCTCGTCTACCCCAGTATACCATTGCTCTCTCAGGGGCATTTGTATGCCAGTTCTAGGCCTCAAACAGGCTGCCAAGGGAAGGGTTTCTCCCAAGGTCTCACATCCTTTCTTTTCTACTCTGGGTGGCCTAGGGGTATGTAGGCCTTGTGGAAGCTTGGGCGCAGTGGGCTCAGGAGTGGGAGGCCTTCCTTCTTGGTAACAGTGCGGGCCACTGGTGCTGTTTCTTGCCATTAATCCTCTGATGTTGGGTCGGACAGGACTTTAAGAGCCAACTCCTCTCGGTGGGTGGAGCGGGAGTCTTCCTTGACTGTCTGTCCCTTTGCCGCTAGTACTACTGCCTGTCCTCTTAACCACTGTCAGGGGTCTAAAACCAGCTGTAACCAAGTGTCTATGTATGGAAACTTGGTCTGGGTGTCCTTTACCAGTTACCTTATGCCATACCTTTGAAACAAGGGACCTGACTAAGCTTCCTTCTGACGGCCAACCCACTTCTAATGCTGGCCAATCTATCTCACACAAGGTCCTAAGTTTTCCTGGAGTCATAGTAACCCCATAATCTCCATTAAAACCTTTTTTGAAATTCTTTAACATAGTTCCTAATGGAGTGGGCTTACTCTGTGTTTTACCCATCTCCTTCCCAAGACAAGAAAAGAAAGAAAAGAACACTCACGCCACAAGAGGAGATTTGTGTCAATCACAAGTATTCACTCACTTTCACTCTCCTTTCTTCAAACAAGCCAAGCCAAATCAAAATCAAAACTGAGACCAAAGTGTCAATAAGGGCACACCGTGGGTGATCAGGCCATGCTTCCACTCAAATGGAGGGGGCAAGTTCCCAGGACCGGTCCTACCATATTCCAGATGTCCAGACTCCAAACACTGGTTCCTTCCTGGTGTTCAGCCACTGTGTTGATCCTCGCAGGGTCTGCCATGCACCGCTCTGACGAGGCATTCCACCAGGGCAGATGGCTACCCGGGAGCACTCTTAGGATCTGCGTCACTCAAGCTAGCCAGAGTCCTCCGCAGGGATGCTCTGCAGGGCAGGCTTAAGCCACCTAAGGGGCTACCTCGACCGTCCATCAACCACCTCACTTCTCAGTCAGGAAACCAAGAAATGTAACAGGATGAGCTGCAGACAAAACCCCTCAGACACCAGGTTAAAGAAGGAAGAGGCTTTATTCAGCCGGGAGGTTGGCAGACTTGCATCTCAAGAACTGAGCTCCCTGAAGAAAGAATTCCTGGCCCTTTTAAAAGCTTACAACCCTGAGGGGTCCACGTGAAAGGGTTGTGATAGAGTGAGCATGCATGGGGTACATGACTATGTCCACATACATTAGCGGTGGGGATAAGCAATGCAAGTACTTCTCCATACCATAGTCTGTGATCTATAGGTAGCACAAGCTATTAGGGTGGGGGTTAATCTTTAACCTACAGGCCTGACCAGCGGTGTCGATCAGTCTGTTGTTTTTCAGCTTTTACTTCCTCCTTCTCTTTGGAGACAGGGGATAGTAAGAGAAATGGCCTCTGTCCTCATTATCATTATCATATATAATATATATGATATATTATCATATATAATATATATGATATATTATCATATATAATATATATGATATATTATCATATATAATATATCTTATATATTATCATATATAATATATCTTATATATTATCATATATAATATATCTTATATATTATCATATATAATATATCTTATATATTATCATATATAAGATATATTATCATATATAATATATAATTATGCTCATTATCATATATAATATATAATTATATCCTATTATATATCCTATTATATATTATATAATATATATTTTATATATATTATTTTATAAAAATATATATAATATATATATTTATTATATATATAAAATATATATAAAAACATAAATTTATATATATTATATAAATTTATATATATTTTATATATTATGTATATATAAAATATATATAAATATATATTATATAATATATATAAATATATATATTATATATAAAAATATATAAATTTATATATTATATATAAAATATATAAATTTATATATATATATAATATATATTATATATAATTTATATATATATTTATTATATATATATAAATTTATATATATTATATATAAATATATATAAATTGATATATATCACATATATAAATATACATAAATTTATATATATTATGTATTATTATATATATTTATAAAATATATATAACATATATTTTTATATATATATATAATGCAAGTGATATATATACGCACATTTATTAAGTATTAACTTGTACAGTCCCAGGGTCCCACAATAGGCTGTTTGCAAGCCGAGGAGCAAGGAGAGCCAGTCTGGGTGCCAAAACTGAAGAACTTGGAGTCCGATGTTTGAGGGTGGGAGGCATACAGCACAGGCTGGGAGGCCAGGCCAGTCTAGCCTTTTCACATTTTTCTGGCTGTTTTATATTCTAGCCATGCTGGCAGCTGATTGAATGGTGGCCACCCAGATTGAGGGTGTGTTTTCCTTTCCCAGGCGACTGACTCTAATGTTAACCCTGTTTGGCAATACCCTCACAGACACATCCAGGATCAATACTTTGCATCCTTCAATCCAATCAAGTTGACACTCAGTATTAACCATCACACTGGTCAATCGTACAGATTTCTGGACTCAATTTCCCCAAGATTCTGATTCAGATTTTCTGGAACAGGGCCCCAGAATTGGTATTAATATATAAATCAACAGCTCCTCAGTGGGTAGTCTGAACAGGCCTTCAGACTACTCCTAAAGAAATTCTACTTGGGACCAAACCCTTCACCAGACACAGTCCATAAAATCGCATTTTGCCAAGGAGACTAAGACAAAGTAGCATCTGAAATTCAGCAGGCATTATGAGACAGCCCCAGCCCCGGGAACTGACGCACTTTCAGGATGTGATTAATGACACCAGGAGAGACACTTTTAATTTGGATTCTTCAGCAAACCACATTCTCTGTGATAAATTAATCACAAGGAGAAAGAGAGAGGCATGCAACTCCCCCCAGGGAGCCAAGAGGCTGGCAAGGCATTCTTCACAGAAAGCTTATTCCAGAACAAGACGCACAGCGTGGGGGGAAGTTTCCAGAGAGCCACCCAGAGGACAGGAGGCCCACGGTGCTGGACTCACCTGCACGCCTGCAGAGCAAAGGGGATGTCTCCACATCCCACACTGTCAAGGTAGCTCTCTTTTCTAATTACACAAGCATCTGGCTCTTGGAGATGCCTAATTTTGGTTTCTGAAGGATGACATGAACTAGAATCATCTTAAAAAAAGTTAATGCTAGAAAAGCATATCCACTAGGAAGACGTGTGATAAAGTACTCATTTTAATTTTGAATATTCAACCTGTGAAAGAGAAACTCTGTGTACCTGTGAACTTTTCCAAATGAACGCACGGTGACATCTCTGAGATTTCTTGCCCTTTCCTTGTTCATTCACTTGCCTTTTTTTTCTTCTAAGAAAGTTGAACTCTAAGCAAATTTGTACCTTGAGATATATATATATATGTATATATATGTATATATATAAATTTTTAGATGTAATATAAAATATAATAAATACATAATGTTAATTTATATGGTTTTTCCATCAAAGGTATATATATGTGTGAGTGTGTATGTATATATATGTGTGTATATATACATACATACATATCAATTTAATATTATTGATGTCTGTATGTATATATGTCTATATATACATACATACATATCAATTTAATATTACTGTATGAAATAATTATTTCAGTTTTTCTACTAGTAGAGCTGCCACGGAGTTTCTATTGCTGTTGTCGTTTAATATATATCCTTTTTTTAGAGGCAGGGTCTTGCTGTGTCACCCAGGTTGAAGTGTAGTGGAATGACCTTGACTCACTGCAACCTCTGCCTCCCAGGTTCAAGTGATCCTCCCACCTCAGCCTCCTGAGTAACTGGGACTACAAGTGTTAACCACCGTGCCCGGCTAATTTTTGTATTTTTGTAGAGACAGGGTTTCCCCATGTTGCCCAGGCTGGTCTCAAACTTGTGAGCTCAAGCGATCATCCCACATCGGCCTCCCAATGTGCTGGGATTACAGAAGTGAGTCACCACGCCCGGCCAGATCTCTGCCATTTTTTCATTTGGTTGTTTCTTGTTGAGTTGTAAGAGTTTCTTTCTGTATGTTTGCATACAAATCCTTTACCAGATGTGTTTTGCAAATATTTTCTCCCAGTATTTGACTTTTAAAAAATTCTATTAACTTTCTGAAAGCAGAAGTTTTGATTTTAATAAAGTCAAACTTATCTTTTTTTATGAATCATGCTTTTGAAATGTTATCTAAAAACTCATCATCACAGGCAAGTTTGTTTAGACTTTTTCCCATGTTATCTTTTAGAAGTTTTATGGTACTCTATTTTGTATTAGATCTAAGATCCACTGTACATTATTTTTTGTGACAGTGGTAAGTACTGTGTGTGTCTGAATTCTTTTCTCTGGCCCCCACACCACTTTCTTTTGTGCATAGAATTGTTCCAGTACCAGTTGTTGAAATGACTCTTCTCCTGCATTTGTTCCTCTATCAAAAGTCAGTTGATTCTATTTGTGAGAGTCTATTGCTGAGGCCCTCTTCTGTTCCATCCACCCATTTGTCTTTTCTTTCTCCAATAGCACACAGTCTAGATGACTGGGCCTTCACAACGCCAGCAGCATCGGTCACCTCACTTTGTTCTTCCTGGGCATTGTGTGGCTACTCTTGCTTCCTGGCTTCATGGCTCTAGATGCTTCTGCCCCATGTAGTCACATTGGACATTAATTGTGATTATCTATATTTCCCTGTCTCTCCAGGTTTGGGGGTAACTGTGCTGTGACCTACAGTTTCTGATGTGCATAATAAAAGTCGTGGGTTTTCAGTTTGTTGAGCTCCTTTCTTGTTTTATGAATGGGAGTGGTGACTTTAAAATGATTCACATGTTGGAGGTGAAACCAGCAGTCTTGGATGTTGCATTCATAACTGAGCAAGCTCACTGGGATTGGAAAGCAGATTCTGAAGATGAAACCTAGTTGTTGGCCTTTTTAAAAAGCAATGTTAGGCTAGATTAATCATTTGCAAATGGTATTCTGCCATTTTATCTTAGTTCATACTATATTTTATGTTTTTTGTTGGCAATAACATTTCTGAAATAATTTTTATAATATGTAAAATTTATATACAGAAGAGAAATAAATGAAATCTTCTCTTGGTGGTTTTTAGGGTCAGAAAATTCTATTAGGTCTTGTATTAATCTGTTCCATGAGAGAAATGTCTCTTCTGCTACCCTGAATTTTAAACCATGCTACATAATGTAATTTAACCCCTGGTTTTTTTCTGAAACATGAAGCCATCGTAAAATAAGATTCTTCCATTGGAAAACATTAAACATAACAACTCATTTTCATTCATAATTTCAGATACATTTCTTTCTTCTTTTATTGCTATCTTTAGCAGCCCATAATTAAAATAAATTATTGAGCACCAAAAAATTACAGATTGATTAGCACAATTTCACGTACTTGGCAAGCAGGGAAAAATCCGGGCTGAAATGAAAGGGCAGGGGGCACAAGACTGCTGAGAACTGGAACCATCAATTGAACCTGTTTTAGTAAATTATTCTGACCTTTTGAAATCTTCCAATTGGTGATCAAATATCTCTATATCTATCTATCTATTTATCTATCTATCTATCTATCTATCTATCTATCTATGTATCCACACACATAAATGTCATAAAAAGAAGGATGGGGATGAGGGATTCTGACCTTAGAATTAACAAGAAACTTCTAAACGAAGAGATACAAGTTGTAATGGTCATCTGTTGCTTCACAAAAAGTTACCAAACAATGAATGCCTCAAAGCAACACACACTTTAACATCTCAGCGTTTCTGTTGGTCAGGAGTCTGGGTCTGGATTAACTGGATCCTCAGCTCAGGATCTTGCTGGATTGCAGTCAAAGTTGCAGGACTGCATTTTCATTTGAGGCTCAAGGTGACCCTCCATGCTCATATGGCTGTAGGCAGAACTTTGTTCCCGTGATCGCAGGACTGAGGCTCTCAGCTCCTAGAGGATGCCGACAGTTCCCCATCACGTGGCTTCCTCTATAGGCAGTTCACAATACAGCAAACATAGCAGCATGCTTCCTCAAGACCAGCAGGGAGTGGATCTGCTTATGTATATACGTGTGTGTGTGTATGATCATATAAATTTACATATGTAATATATAATGACATGCTCATATGCATTATAGAGATGGATAGATATAAATATAGATTTCTCTGTACATAAGTGACATATGTGTGTGTGTGATATCATAAAAGTAGTAACCCATCATCTTTGCCATATTATATTAGTTAGAGCAATTAATAACTCCCAAGCCCCACACCCACTCAGGGATAATATTATGTATAGGCATGAAAAGGAGGCAGGAGTCACTGGTGGTCACCCCCCTAGGCTTATGCCATCACATGTATTAAAATAGCATTTTATCGCTTCCTAAACACGGTATCAGCCTATACCCTTGATCCATGAATTAACTGTTGGATCTAGCCTCTAAAGGCAAGATCATTCGACAACACCACAGGCACTGTCCTGGGTGCTAAAAATCCAGGGGTGCCTTCTCTGGCCTGTTCTTTGTTCTCATGATGCTGATAGTCTAACGGGGACCTCAGCTAATAGATGCATAAGTAAATTAAAAAAATAAACACAACTGAGATTATTTCAGATGGACAA
Source organism: Homo sapiens (assembly GCF_000001405.40). Lineage (NCBI taxonomy): Eukaryota > Metazoa > Chordata > Mammalia > Primates > Hominidae > Homo > Homo sapiens. The sequence continues at coordinate 127,475,629 of NC_000012.12, read as the reverse complement.
TAGTTCTGTGAAGACGATAACGATGGATAATGACTCAGAAAGGAGCTGAGGTGGGATGTTCTCAGAATGATGAGGGAAATGGTCCCAGGAAAGGAAGTGCTTAAGTTGAGACCCGAGAAAAAAGGAGAAGCTGCAGGGTGTGGTGGCTCACGCCTGTAATCCCAACACTTTGGGAGGCCGAGGTGGGTGGAAGGCTTGGGCTCAGGAGTTTGAGACCAGATTGGGCAATATGGCGAAACCCCATCTCTATAAAAAAAAAAAAAATAGAAAAATCAGCTGTACCTGGTGGTGCACACCTCTAGTCCCAGATACTCGGGAGGTTGAGGTGGGAGGATCACCTGAGCCAAGGAGGGGGAGGTTGCAGTGAGCTGAGATCACGCCACTGCACTCCAGCCTGGGCAACAGAGTGGGACCCTGTCTCAAAAAAGAAAAATAAAAAAGAAAGAAAAATAAAATTAAGCGATGAGAAGAGGCCAGCCATGAAATATTGGAAGAAAGAGGCTTAAAGCCTGATAGCACAAAGAAAACAGTGGTGATGTGGAAGTAAGTCCGGTTTTTCAAGAAGCCAACAGAAGTCCCTTGTGACTGTAAAACAGTGAGAAAGGATAAAGGCCTAGGAGGAGAGAGGAAGAGGAGGCGATGGTTTTGAAGAAATTCTTGTCGTTGGGAGTATTCAGCTTGACATTTTACTCATAGAAAGAGCAGGTCCTTTAATACACAGGCAAAATTCCTGCAAATTTTCAGAGAAAAGTAGTGCCTTTCTATATTTTCACTCAATGAAAGCTATAAATAGCATCTATAAATCATCACCAATTTCCAAACCCAGGAAATCTAAAATGACCAGTTTCACTGGCTGATTGTTTAACTTTTCGCCTCTGGAGAAAGTGCTTCTAATATTGATCCTGACATTCAAACCTCAGGGCAGGAAGGAAGCTCCTTTGTCAAAACCCAATAAAGCACAATTACTGTGTAAAGGTGTGATTTTCTATTTGGATAAAACACTCAAATACACTTATTAAGTAGCACATGCAACAGCATTGCCACGGGGGAGCAAAAGTCATAGCTAGAGACTCTGGAGGTGGCTGGCAAATTTTCTTATACTGTGTTACAAACTTACTTCAAGTCAATAGACACTTAATGAGTGCTTACAAGCTGACAGTCCTGTGCTAGGTGCTGTGGACACAGACAGTCCCAAGTCAGCATCCTGTCTGCAGAGAGCTCCCCATGGGAGACAGGGGCATGCATGGGTGAGGTGTAATATACTGGCTTAAGAGCTAGCCTAGAAGTTTACATAAAATAAGAACAAAAAAAGAAAAGTTATTAATTCTCTGCAAAGAGAATCGTGGATTTAGAAAACTGAGATAGAATCCCAATTTTGTATAATTAAAAAAGAAAGTATACCTAGGTTTGCAATTTTAGAGTGTACAAATGACACCATTCCGTAACTCATTATCTTCCTGCTTCTTGTTTAGGAAGTTTTAAAATCTTTCATTTATAATAAATGACAGCGATAGTCATTTTAAAACACAGTAGAGGCAGAACCTTTTTTTCCTAATAGACCTTACGTGGAAATACATGGCATGTTCCACGTTCGGAATAGATTTGATGAAATAGTCTTAGATCAATGCCCTCCAGACACGAAAGTAATATGACAATGTGTCCCCTGCCTCTCTGTTTAGCCCCGTCTCTTTGAATTTCCTGAAAACCACTTATAACACAACTCATTATAAAGCAATTACAAAATATTAAAGAGGCAAATTGAGCCAGTTCCCCATAATCCACTGGCACACAGCAGATATATTTTACACACTATCACACATACACACACACAGCTATAAAACCCACACAAAGTGATGAGAAAAGGAGGCGGCTATTCAAGGGTTTCTTGGAAATCCACGAAGTACAAAGAGGAATTCTTTCAGACTCATAAGGAAGAGCCTTACGTTTGCCACCTTCGTCACCTAAAACTCTCTCCTGAGTTTCCCAGAGCCATTGCCTCACTCCTGGGTCAAATCAAACACCTCATCCTCAGTCTTCTAGCGGCCACTCTGGGATCTGCCAGTCAACTTATCACTTTCTAAAACTAAAGACTGGTGTCCTTGATGTAACTTTCCATTGCTATTAGGGCAAAGGTCAAACTATTTAACACGGCCTCTGAGGCCTCAGCTCCCTCAGCCACTCCCACCCTTCCAATCTCCTGCAACACTCCCCTTTGTTCTCTGCATCCAGCCATACTTTCCCCCTTTTTTCCACCCCCACCCACCTGTCACCCTTTCACTGGTTGCCTCTGTCCAGTCCTTCTGCTCTTAGCTCATGTGTCACCTCCCTGAAGAAACCTTCTACACCTTTCAGACAAGGCTACTGTATTAGTCAGGGTTCTCTACAGGGACAGAACTAATAGGATACAGGGAACTAATAGGATGAAGGGAAGTTTATTAAGTATTAATTCACATGATCACAAGGTCCCACAATAGGCTGTCTTCAAGCTGAGGAGCAAGGAGAGCCAGTCCCAGTCCCAAAACTGGAGAACCTGGAGTCTGATGTTCAAGGGCAGGATGCATCCAGCATGGGAGAAAGATGCAGGCTGGGAGGCTAGGCCAGTCTAGTCTTTTCACGTTTTTCTGTCTGCTTTACGTTCTAGCCATGCTGGAAGCTGATTAGATGGTCCCTTCCCAGATTAAGGGTGGGTCTGCCTTTCCCAGCCCACTGACTCAAACATTAACCTCCTTTGGCAACACCCTCACAGACACACCAATATTTTGCATCAGGATCAATACTTTGCATCCTTCAATCCAATCAAGTTGACACTCAGTATTAACCATCACAGTTACTATGGCCTTCTTGAATACTCCCTGTCTTAGAAACATGAAGCCCATTCAAATTTTTGTGTTATATGCCTGTCTTAATGAACAGAAGTGACTTCCATAAGGACAGAGACTACAGCTGACTCACTCCATTCATACCATCTGACAATGCCTGGCATGGCCAGGCACAGTGGCTCACGCCTGTAATCCCAGCACTTTGGGAGGCTGAGGTGGGCAGATCACGAAGTCAGGAGATCGAGACCATCCTGGCTAACACAGTGAAACCCCATCTCTACTAACAAAAAAAAAATACAAAAAATTAGCCAGGCATGGTGGTGGGCACCTGTAGTCCCAGCTACTTGGTGGTCTGAGGCAGGAGAATGGCGTGAACCCCGGAGGCGGAGCTTGCAGTGAGCCAAGATTGCACCACTGCACTCCAGCTTGGGTGACAGAGCGAGACTCTGTCTCAAAAAACAAAACAAAACAAAAACCAAACAAACAAAAAAATACCATGCCTGGCACATGGTAAGTGCTTCATCAAACTTAGGCTGGAGAAATGAAAGACAGTAGAGGGGAAGATGCAGACAAGACTGAAAATGGTAACGAGATCTCCGGACAGAGATGTAAATTTAGTATCTTATGTATACAATGTCTATAACTAGGAATTACCCTATACAATATATAAAGAATTTCTGCTAATCATTGAGTGAAAGAAGGAACACTTAAAACATCCAGCGAATATGAGTAAGCAATTGCAGAAGAGGAAACATATAAAGCTAACACCCACATGACAAGGTTTTCAAACTCATCAGTATTTATAAAGTGCAAATTATAAAAAAACAACATATTATATGACAATTTTTGTTTGTTTTTTGTTTTTTTTAATTATACTTTAAGTTTTAGGGTACATGTGCACAATGTGCAGGTTCGTTACATATGTATACATGTGCCATGTTGCTGTGCTGCACTCATTAACTCTTCATTTAACATTAGGTATATCTCCTAATGCTATCCCTCCCCCCTCCCCCCTCCCCACAACAGGCAAGACACATGCACACATATGTTTATTGCTGCACTATTCACAATAGCAAAGACTTGGAAACAACCCAAATGTCCAACAATGATAGACTGGATTAAGAAAGTGGCACATATACACCATGGAATACTATGCAGCCATAAAAAATGATGAGTTCACGTCCTTTGTAGGGACATGGATGAAGCTGGAAGCCATCATTCTCAGCAAACTATCGCAAGGACAAAAAACCAAACACCGCATGTTCTCACTCAGAGGTGGGAATTAAACAATGAGAACACATGGACACAGGAAGGGGAACATCACACACCGGGACCTGTTATATGACAATTTTTAATTAGGACAACTTACGAAGATGAATAATGCCAAATATTTCCAGGGATGGGTGGATTTCAGCACCCACATTTGTTGCTGACTTGAACATGAACTGGCTCAGCCATCTGGAGAGAAGTCAGATAGTTCTTACTCTATTGAGTGCACAAAAGGCCTATTAAATAGAAGCCCCCACACAATAATATGTACCAAAGCAACCCTCCAAGTGAAGCGCCTTTCCCAAGAGCATGGAGCTGGTGAGTAACAAAGCTTGGGTTTGACTCCAGCCACCTGGCTCTAGAGTCCATGTTCTTAGCCACTATGCTATGCAGACAGGGAAAAGGTTAGCAAAAATCAACATCTAATACTCTAAGCAAAGCCTGAAGAACACCGAGTTCGCCTCTGAAATGTTCAGCTCTCAAATCACAATATGATATGAGACTGGTACTTTCTATAAGACGAATGACAATAGTTTTTCATGGCTACAGGGACTAAGAGAAATTATGCTAATGGGTGTCTCGGAAGAAAATCTTTAGAGACACAAAGGCATTTACACACACAGACAAGATGAACTTTATCCAGATGCTTCCTATCCAACTTTTAAAACAAAGGGAGGGGGGTACACCACAAAAGGGCATTCCAATAAAAGAGATTCCACAGGGAACAAAGTAGTGTAGTTCCAGAGAAGCCAATTGCTGCTGGATGGTAAGACTTCACAGAGAGAGAACCTAGAACATGACCATAGAGAATAGCTTGTACAGTTGGCCCGTCATATCCTTGGGTTCTGCATCCATGGATTCAACCAACTGCAGGTGGAAAATACAGTATTACTGAAATGCAGAACTCACAAATGTGCAAGGTTGACTCTAATTCTTACCCTTAAGAACATTATTTTGTTGTAAAACCTCTTCCTAAGAGCAGCTGAATTCTTAATAAGAGTTAAGAAGCATAGTTTGAGATTATATATTTCTGACGAGCTTCTATGCACATGCGTATTCTATAGTGAAGGCAAAAGCATGAAACTTAAGACACAGTAGGAAGTACTAATCATTTCTTTCATGATTTCTACAATGGCATTTATGATGAGAAAATCCTTCCCCTAGGCAAGATGGTGAGGTTTAATTTTATGTGTCAATCTGGGCCACAGGGTGCCCAGATATTTGGCCAGATGTTATATTGTGTGTATCTTCAAGGGCATTTCTGGATGAATGAACATTTGAGTGGCTGAACTTTGAGAAAAGCAGATTGCCCTCTCCAATGTGAGTGGACATCCTCCAATCAGTTGAAGAGCTGAAAAGAATAAAAATGTTGAATAAGAAGCAACTCTCTTGGCCTGACTGATTGAGATGAGATATTGGCCTTTTCTGTGCTTCAGTTTTGGACTGAAACCTCAGCTCTTCTTAGTTTTCAGGGCTGCCAACATTCAGACTGAAATTTATACTATCAACTCTCCTATTTATCAGGCCTTTGAACTTGGACTGAAAGTACACATCCACTCTCCTGGGTCTCCAGTTTGTTGACTGTAGATCTTGGGACTTCTCAGTCTTCATAACCATATGAGCCAATGTCTTTCTCATATATATATATATATGTATATATGAATATATATTTTTATATATGAATATATATTTATTCATGAAAATACATATATATGTATTTTATGTACGGGTGTATATATATACACACATAAAATTGCATAACATTGTATATATTATATATAAAATAAGGAGATAACTCAAATTATTGGCTCTGTTTCTCTGGATAATTCTAATAAAGATCAGATATTCATATTCACATATATGAAAAATGTATACATATATATATAATATATTCTTCTAGTGCTATCTCTGTGTGTATGTCTAGCTAGCTGCAGATTTTAAATTTAGCTCTGGAATTCCTTTAAAATTTATTTTGGCATATGATGTGAAATGGGAACATGATCATAAATCACAGACTGACATCTGCTGAATTTTTTCTAAATTCAACAAGCAGAGGAATGATTCCTTCCTGTAAAAATTTTCAAAATTAAATTGAAATATTCAGTTTTTGGCAGAGCAGTTGCACTCTAATTAACATGCATCTCTCAATCTCCATTTTAAACTCAGATTTCACTCAATTATCATACTGGCCGAAGTAGTGACCCTAACAGTGTTTTCCCAAATTGCCAGTTATTTTCTCCATACCATGTTCAAATAACTTGTTGCTTTCTCCTTAATTCATACTAGATTTTATAAATACTAGTGTCTGCTTTTGAGTGGTGTATTATATTGCATTGATTTGCGCCTCTAAGTGCTAGTACCAAGACAGTTTGATTCATGTAGTCTTACAATATATTTTATTATATGGGAGTATTATTGTCTTCTCAACAACCTTCTATATCACCATTTTATTGATGATAAAATTCCTTCTTCTTAAAAATTAACTGTAGAACTTTTGGTTAAGCTCCTTCTGCCAACAATAAATTTAGATTTTGATCACGGATATGGGTGTGAACAGTATGATGATGACTGTCTTTGGTTATATTTTAATGCATTTACAAACACAAAAGTTACATAATATGTGACTTAAAATATTGGATGTTCTCTTTTCTGAAGAATCCATGGCCATGAATCCATGCATTCAGCTCACATGTCCACAGATACCCCACTAAATACCACTGAAGTATCAAAACAAATACTTTCCAGCAAACAGTGTAAGATGCAAACCATCAGCAAGAGAAAGTGTTTATCTAAAACAGTGGAAGATGGAGAGTGGACAAAAACTGTTAAAGTGTAAGATGGAACAGAAACAAAAGACACCACAGTCTGGAGAACAGTGAAGATGCCAAGAGGGTCCTCTTTGGAATCCCACAGGGGCCCCTGATTCCACATTGGCAAATATAGTGGTAGATGGGAGAGAAAAGTGAGGTTGAATGCAAGAAAACTGATTAACATTTTGTGTATGGAATATTCATCTCCATTTCCCTACCTCCCCCCACTGAGTAGAAGTTAGAATGCTTTGTATTTACCTCAGTGGAAAACAAAGCAAAGGAATCTTCTCTAAATAAATTTAGCTAACCTCCAAATGCCAAGCTTTCCAGTGTCGTTGCTGATGCTGGCATCTTGAGAAGAAACTGAGGTGGAGCAGGAATTCTGCAATCACTGTGACCCGACGTTATACATTCAGCATGGTGGTGTACAAAGCCAGAAAGGACCTAGATCCTTGATAACTCTCTTGAATAGCCCTGGAGCACTTACCTCTGGATTCTTCATTATGTTGAGAATTAAACAAATCTCTATGTAGCTAAGCAACCGTAGAGAAGTTTTCTGTTACTTGCAGCTCAAGACAATTCTCAATGATATACTGGAAAGTAAGAGGCAGAAAAAGTATGCTAAATCCTTAGCTTCTATAAATATATTTAAGGAAGACATAGATGTGTTAACATTATTTAGTGTTACAGAAGTAATTACAAAAAGAAATAAAAGTAGGAGATGTTAGATGTGCCTGCCTCTGGACAGGGAGCAAACTGTAGAGAGGGACTGATGGTCATCTGAATTTATTTATTTTGTAATTGACAGATAACAATTAAATATATTTATTGTGTACAGAATAATGTTGTAACTATATATATATATATATATATATATATATATATATATATATATACACATATCTTATGGAATGGCCAAATAGAGCCCATTAACCTATGCATCACCTCACATTTCATTTTTTGTAGTGAGAAGACTTAAAATCAACTCTCAGCAATTTTTGAGAACACATCATTATTAACTATAGTCACTATGTTGTACAACAGTTCTCTTGAACTTATTCTTCCTGCTCTATTTTTACTGTATATGTGTATTACTTTAACAACAGTAGAAAAAATACTTTTTGTTACATACAAACTTGTATTCTATATCTATATTTTAAGCAATCAATATATTTGAATTATGGAAAGTGAAGAGGCTAGCCAAGATGCTCACCTTAAGAACACCTTCAGCCTCTGCACAATGACAAAAGTCACAAGCCCCTGCAGAGAGGTCCAAGATTTCCCTTAGAAAGCAGTTCTTAAATGAGATTGAAATGCAATGTGATTAAGCGCTATAATAAAATAATTCCAAGTGTTATGAAAGCAACCAGCTGGATCAACTAATGACCTAGAGAATTTTTAGGGACCACTTCATGGAAGAGATAACATTTGCACTGAATCTTGAGGATTAAGGAGGAGTTTGCCAGTCAGAGCAAGGACAGGCAGAAGACGTTGCAGAAAACTTGGGCCAGTCTGACAAAAGCACACAAATGTAAAAGGCCATCGGGCACTGCAGAAAAGACATTGAGTATCCGAAAGGAAATTTGCAGGAGGTGGCATCAGCTATAAACTCAGGTAGGAAATAGGTTGAGGCCAGCTTATAAATAATAATAACAAATCCGCCTGTAAGCCACCAGCACTCTCTTCTCTTGCTCTCTCCTCAGTTGGTGTCCACGCTCTGATATTTGTTTCAGATGTACAGTTACCCCCAGTACCTGCCCAGTATGTCATCAAGTGCATCTTCCTTCTGTCTTAGAACTCCTCCAGAAACACAAATAAAGCAAGGACAATGAACCTGGCTTTCTCTTTTGGGTTCAGACAAAAGTCCCGACACTAGAGGGATCTCATTTAGGCTTGTTATTCCAGACATCAAACATTGAAAGCCAATAATTTGTTTCTAATTTATATCTCAGAAGAAGAGGAGACTTCCTTAAACTGAGTAGAGTTCAGCTCCATAAATATAAAAAGTAGCCACGCAGGTAAATTTATCGCTGAACAGCCGGTTGCAATTAGAAACGTGGTGAAATGGCAGAGAGAGGCATTGTTTTTGTGGCAGAAAGAGTTTGCTGTATACTCAATTACCATGTATGTTTCTGCAAATTATTAAGAGGGGCAGTTAGGGCTACGGTCTATAGGGACTGTTTCACAGCCTCCCTAGCTTTGCTTCCAGATGTGGTACTAGTTGTAACCAATGGGATGTGAGCAAAAGAAATGAGTATCACTTCCAAGTTAGATGGTTTAGATGTGTCTACACATCTCTCTCTTTCCCTCCATCAGCTGGAGAAGATAATTTAAAGGCCCTAGGCCATGGCAGAAATTAAGACAGGGAAGTAAACCACGTGCCAACCATCATCAGTGATGTTAGATCATTGTGGGTGTAAGAAATACAACTTTGAACACGGAAAGCCACTGAAATGCGGAGGTTCATTTGTTACAGCAGCAAGAATTACTTACTCAACACAGTTTTTAATTGGTACAACTATGACCCTTTAACCTGATAAAAAGTTGAAATAAATCACATGGCTCTTTCTTAATCAACATTGCAGTTTCATGGGCTAAGTGGAGATGAAAAGGCATAACGTGAAACCAGAGTGAAGGGATTTGAAGTCGATGTGTTAGATGCCCACAAGGATCCAGATGTGAAACTAGCATGCATTACTACAAATATTAAGTAGAAAAATTAGACCTTAATCTAATAGGAATTTTAATCATTTATAGGCAATATCAGCTGTTGAGCAGTAGAAAATTGTGTACACCTTGTTCCAATTTACATTTATATTTATTCCAAATTGGACATTTCAGAGACTGTTTAGATAGTATCAGAAATGTGCTAATAATTCAGAAAACTCTGTTATTAACTGATTAGGGGCAGCTGAGGCTTATAACAGAGGCCAAAAAAAAAATCCATGTTGGAAATCTAAGTCTGTCATCAACTCATATTATCTAGTGAGACAAATCACTTAATCTCTCTGAAATTCAATTTCGCCCCCGTCACATGGGATCTACTTCCTAATATCCACCAAGAACACCATGAAGTAACTCAATTGTTTGCCCCATAAACATAAGAGTCAGCTCAGATAAATGTCATAGTCGAGTTCATTTACTTAGGGATTCGAATTCAAACTGGCCTTCATTCACTCGCTCTTTCCATCCATCTACAAGGATTCTTCCCATTGTGATGAAACAAAAAGTTCAATTCAAATGAGCTTAAACAAAAGTTAATGACAGTCATAAATGGAATGTCTAGAGATAGAGTGACTTCCAATCACAGCTGAAAATCAAAGTTCAGAAAACTTCATTTAGACATTTTTACTCAACTCATAACTGATTTCAACGGTGTCAGATCCTTATTCAATCTCCTTTTCATGGGAAGAAAAATATCATGTTTGATTTCCTTCAAGTTCAGCAAGAACTACTAAAAACTGATTTCCAAGAAGTACCCAAAGAAGAATTTTGCGAATCTCCTTGTATCATCAGATGTGTTATGTGCCCATCTTTAAACCAATCACTTGAATTAGGAGAATAGAATTTGCTGATGAGCCCAGCCATGGTCATGTGACCCACCCTGGGCACCTGAAGTATATCAGTTTTCCCTGATCCACAGGCTACGCGAGAAGTGCATCCCCCAAAGTACTCATCAGAGTATTTTTGTGACAAGACAGCAAGCGATATTAGGTAGAGATGATCAAAACCAACATAAATGCCTACTCAACGCATTGCTCAAAGCAACAAAATGCATCTAAAAATATAATTATTCAATGGCAAGCCTATTTACAACCTGATAAAACTGTTGATGCTGGAAAAGAAACACCAAGAGTATGCCCCTGATGGTACAGACACAAAGGTAATTGCCTCAGAGAAAAAACTTGCAGTTGGGATTCAACAGGATATTTTCGAATCATAAGATGGAGAGCATGAGCTCAGTACCCACAATAAATCAATGCCCAATTGCAATCGAGTACCCCTATTTTCCTAATAGTTTAATTATTTTTAAATTATTTTCTCTTCTTTTTCTCCTTTCCCCTTTCCCACTTGCTGCTTCCCACTTAGTCCTTCAGAGACGAAAATACAGCCTTTTACCTCTTCCTTCACCAGATACTTCTTAGAGGACAAGATCATCTAATTCCTGAAGAGCTAACAATCGATTTACAGACCCAATCATGCCCGCTGTGGAATATTCACTTCCAGGGGTTGCCTCAGAACTTCCAGCCTCTGGGAGGGTATATCAAAAGTATGCCTGCTTAACCATTTTTACATCTTACTTCTGCCCAGGAAGGTGCCAACTCAACCGTCAGGTAGATAAGGCACCGAGCTAGCAGGAGGAACCCGTCCCTTGCTCACTGACCCTCACTGCCTTATGGAAGTGTTTGCTTTCTGCTCCAAAAGGGAAATGGCACATTTATTAACTCATTTCATCCTTAAAGATGCTTTGTGCCCCTTCCCCCAAGCTAGCTTCAGAATAAATTTACTTTTGTTATACCAGACCTCACTCTGGCTAACTGGACTCTGCATGTGACAAGCAACTGACCTGCTTTTTGGTTACACATTGAATGTCCAATATGCTTACTTTAGATACTGAGTCTTCATCGATGATGTCAGTAAGACAGAGATACTGTAAGAAGTATCCATAAGTTACCCAACCAGGAATATGGCCCTGCCCCTGCCCCAGCTCCCTCCACTTAGCTGGCATGCATGTCCACCCAGACATGCAGCTGGATCTGCGTGGTTACTGTTATCTTTGGTGGGTGCCTACATTCTAAGGTTCCCCACAGTTCCCACCATTCCCTGTTGTCCACCTCCTCCCCTGGCCCAGCCCCCTTCCCTCATCTGTATCCTGTTCTAGCCCTCTCATTATACTGAGGAGTCTGCCTTACATGTGACCAACACTGAAAAAAGTGGGGCTGGGAAATAGATGTGGGTTCCTCACAGCTCACTTGAGCAGAACCAGGGTCAGTTTATAGCCCCAGACCTGACCTTTCTTTGTAAATAATAACACACTTGTAATCCTAACTAGCTTGAGGGGGTCAACATCATGTATGGAATATTGTGCATCCTTTTCCCAATGCAGACCATTGTTTTCAAGCACATGAAGGAAGATGAAACACATGGTGCCTGGTGATGTGACATATTCCTAGAGAACATGTTTTAATGATTCATTGAAAGTATGTTATCATGGCCATATCAATGGTATGCATGCGAATGGGTATTTCTCAAATGCCCACACAGCATAATTTCAAGTACCATCAACATCCCTTCAGCATTTATGCTTACATGACTAAATTGCTTGGTCAATGCTTTTCTTCAATGTACAAACATAGCTTTCTTACAAAGCACAAACTTAAGTGTAGGTCTCTATGTGAATTAACTTATCAAGGCAATCAAAAGTCAAGGTTGGGAAAGAACAACAACAACAAAAAAAAGTGAAAGACAAACAGCCATGGCCTTGAGGGACTTATGATTTAGAAAAAGAAAAAGTTATTGTTGGAAATATATATAGATAGAGAGACAGATGAAATATAAACTAACAATAAAAGAAAATCCAAATTAAACTGTTTGATTAAAGTTTTACACATTGCCAGAGCTCAGAGAAAAGAAGAGATCAATATTGTCTGGAGATTATCATGAATGTATCATCAGCAGAATCCAATAAGTGAAATGTCATTGCAATAACTAAGAATTATTTATTACATGCTAGGTGTTGTGGAAACACTTTGCATTTATTAATTCAATTCATCCTTAAAGAATCCTGCAAAGTAGATACTATTTTACAGAAAAGGAGACTGAGGTAAAAAGAGTTAAGTCACTTGTTTAAAATACAAGGCTAGTAAGTGATGGGGACACAATTTCAACCACCTGGTTCTAAACAAAGTCCATTCAATGAACTAACACTCTACTGCCTCCTTTTACCTGTGAGAGATCCTATCCACTATCCTGTTTGCCCTGACATCCTGAAGTCATTGATTTACCTTTCTTCCTTTATGACCTTATTTACAGCAGCTGGTTCTGGATTTTACCCAAATCTGGATGCAGTAACTGCTTTCTATAAAAAGTGAGAAGCAGAAAATCTCTATAGATTTATACATAATTACAGGGGTCTATATACGGGACATTGTCACAGGGGATGTGACAACCAAAGTGAAGAGAGATGTGAAGATGTGAGGCTGCTGGCTTTAAAGAGACCATGAGTAAAGCAATTAAAAAGGAAAAGTCAACTCTAGAAGCTGGACAAGGCAAGAAAAGGAAACATCCCCTAAAGCCTTCAAAAGGAACCAGTCTTGCCAACATCTTGGTTTTAACCTTGTGAGACGCATTTCACACTTCTGACCTCCAGAATTGTAAAGAATAAACTTACATTGTTTTAAAGCAGGAAGTGTGTAGTTATGTGTTACAGCAGCAGTGGGAAACTAATACGTTATGTTGCTTTCATCTTTCTTTTTTTTGGTTCAGTTGCTGGCCAACCCTTTTCTATTAGTAAAGAATTTAGAGGCCGGGTGCGGTGGCTCATGCCTGTAATCCCAGCACTTTGGGAGGCCGAGGCGGGCAGATCACAAGGTCAGGAGATCAAGACCATCCTGGCTAACACGTTGAAACCCCGTCTCTACTAAAAATACAAAAAATTAGCTGGGTGTGGTGGCAGGCGCCTGTAGTCCCAGCTACTCAGGAGGCTGAGACAGGAGAATGGCGAGAACCCGGGAGGCAGAGCTTGCAGTGAGCCAAGATCACACCACTGCACTCCAACCTGGGCGACAGAGCAAGACTCTGTCTCAAAAAAAAAAAAAAAAAAAAAAAAAAAAGAATTTAGAGGGATTGGCTTGTGTATATGTGCATCCACATGACTGTCCCCCTGCAGTTGGAAATGCTTTGTCTCTTCTTAAATACACATCTTCAAAACACCAAGCAGGGTCTCACCCACGTCATGCTCTCATACCAGTAGTTGACTATGCAAGTAAGCAACTCAGGATGAAGAAAAAATGATAGAACTGCAGGTGAGGTCACATCAACATGACAATACCTCCTGGTTTGACTGGCTGGGAAGGCTGCCAGATGACAACACTACATCCAACCAGAATTCACTGAGCTAAGAATTTTCATGAGCCCATTAAAAGCCAATGGTACCCTATTCATCCAGCCTGTCCTCTACTTTCTCATTCTCTTGCCAAATAGCATAATAGAGCCCCTCGTGGGTCCCTTCTGCTGGGTCCATTGACTTTCCTCCCAGCAATCCCATCAGAAAATGAACTATCTGAACAGAAGCTCCAGTTCGTTTGTTATTGTTGTTGTTTTTGAGTCAGAGTCTCACTCTGTCACCCAGGCTGGAGTGCAGTGGCAGGATCTTGGCTCACTGCAACCTCTGTGGATTCAAGTAGTTGGGATGACAGGCACATGCCATCATGCCCGGCTAATTTCTGTATTTTTAGTAGAGACAGGGTTTTGCCATGTTGCCCAGGCTGGTCTCGAACTCCTGACCTCAAGTGATCCTCTCGCCTGGGCTTCCCAAAGCGCTGAGATTACAGGTGTGAGCCACCAAGACCTGCCCACAAGCTCCAGTTCTGAGGCACACAGGGCAAGATCCCCTGAGGCCAGCAGCTGCTTTCTCACCTCTCAGGGGTCGCTAAGAGCATGGTGATTTTCTTCCATGGTGCTGTCATAGTTCCTTCCATAAGGCAAAATAAAACTGCTCAGGTAGATTTTCTCACCTGGAAAATGTAGGCTTTTAGCTTCCATTTACAAGTAAACTTAATGGTTTGTCCGAAATATTTTGAGGTTGAAATATTTTGAGGTTGCCGTAAGTCCAGAGGCACAACATTTTCCATAATGAAGGTCTGTAGTTAACATGTAATATTGAAAACCACTTAGCTTTGTATGTAAAAAAATGATTTAGCTCCTGATGGTTTCCTTATGCAAAAAGGGGGTTTCTGAATTTCTCATACAACAGATCCCAGGTAGGTAAGGTATTGGTGAGAAGAGTCTATGCTGATGGTGAGCCCTTGGGGCTCCAATGCTAAAGTAAAAGGAAAGAAAAAGACAAAGGCAGAATTACTAACAGGACTCTTGGGAACTGAGTTAGGCCACAAGCAGTTTACGAATGAGCAGCAGAAATTTTGAACTCCATTTGGTTTGAAATGTCATCTTCCTTCTGGGAACTGCCCGTAAATGACGCTACAAGATCCATTGATGATTATCTGTATCTAATGACAATTTGCCAAGTTAAGCATGAGTTGAAGGTGTTGTCTGTCTGAATGATGGAACGTGTAGTGTATTTAAATGGACTTTTACTTCCTCCTCTCTCATTCAGGGTTTGCTTTCTGTGCACAGCCCTGAACCAAGACCCACACTTCTCTCATTTAAATTCTCATGTTCCCTTCCCCATCCTTGAGTAAACCAGCCAAGGAACCCGAATCTCTGCCCGACTCAGGCCTTGCATCCCTTTAGCTGTGGACCCAGGATCCACCAAAACCCAAATACAGAAAGGCTTTGGGCAAGGTTAGCCACATCCCCCAAAAGTATGATTCCCCAGACGTCCGGATGAGGGTGCAAGGAGTGATACCTTTTGCTAAGGTGGAACCACTATGCTAACGCAACAAGGTGAGGAGATCAAGGACCAAGAGCTGCCTGAGTTGTCCATACAGGGCCACCATCCACCAGAAGCAGACCAGCTCCAGCTCAGAGCCAAGCCTGCTCACAAGCCCTGGGGTTGAGACGAGAATTCCCCCAGGCATAAAGTTTCCTGGGCCACCATCTTGGAGAGTGGAAACTCAGCCCAGTTTATGGGAATTCCCGGAAGTCCCGCCCAGGAATTTCCGCTGGCCTCTCATTGGCCAGACCTTGTCAGCTGGCTGCACTGCTGGGAAATACAGCGTTTTGTGTTTGCCGGTTTGTTTTATTTTCTTTTTAGCTGGGCACATTAGCAGCAGGGTTCTGCAAGTAAAGGACAGAATTGTTTAAACTGGCAATACAAAGATTTGGTGAGAGTGAAGAGCAACTGGGAATCATAGGTTGATGCAAAAGTAATTGCGGTTTTTGCCATTCCTTTTATGGCAAAAACACACACACACAATTACTTTTGCACCAACCTAATACATCAGTTGGAGAAAAGGTTGACAGTTTCTTACATGCTTAAATTTACACTTACAATATTGCCCAATTATTCTGCTCTTAGCATTTGTCAGAGACAAATTAAAGCATATGACCACATAAAGATTTGTCCATGAATGTTTGTAGTAGTTTTGTTCATAACAGCAATGCCTAGAAACAATGCAATGTTCATGAACACATGAGAAGGTAAACAAATGGTGGTAAATAAACTCCCAGCAACAAACACTACTCTGCACTAAAAATGAAGTGAGTCACCGATTCACATAACAACAGGATGAATCTCATAAACGTTTGTGAAGTGAAAGAAGCTAGAAACAATATGCTGTATGAATCTACTTACATGATAGTCCAGAAAAGGCAGATCTAATGTATAGTGGCAGAAAGCAAATTGGTGTTTGCTGGGTCTGGAGTCTGTGGGAGTATTGACTGTGAAAGGGAATGAGGAAACTTTCAGGATGAATGGAGTATTCTGTGTGTTGATTGTGATGGTGTTTGAACAGATGTATGTAGTTGCCAAAATGTATTAACTGTGCACTGAAAATGGGTGTGTTTTAATGCATATAAATGATATCCCCAGATTAAAAAAAATACATTTGATAAAACAAAAATACACAGTACATAAATCCACTCCAAATACGACCACTTATCACCACCCACCGCACTTCCACCATAGTCTAATTCAACCATCACCTTCTACCTGGATAACTGCAAGAGCCCCAACCAATTGACCTACTTCTACTCTTGGGCCTTGGTGCCTGATCTCTCCTAGAAGCCAGAGTGAGCCTTTAGTGAGCACGTTACGTCCCTCCCTGGCATAAAATTCTCCAAATATTTCCTTGGGATTAGAATAAAATTTAAAGTTCTTACCTCAGTATATCAAACAGGATTAGACTGAGCTGTGAGTCACAGAAGGTTCCAAAAATGCAGGGTCTTAAACAAGAGAGGAGTTTCATTTCTCTCTCATGCCACTGTAGCCTAGAGGCAATCAGCCCAAGTCTAGTTCCAGAGACCCAGATCCCCTTCTCTTGTTGCTTCACTGTGCCAAACTTCCATTCCTAAGCTCATTGTGTGGCCCCAAATAAATGCTGGTAATCCAGTCATGACACCCACATTCTAGCCACCAGGATGTAGGAGGGGCATGTTTCCTTCCATTAAGAACATTTCAAAACAAATGCTGCACGGTCTCACTTCTAAGTGGGAGCTAAACATTGGGTGCACATGGACTTAAAGACGGGAACAACAGACACTGGTGACTACGAGACGGGGAGGGTGGGAAGTGAACAAGGGTCCAAAAACTATCTATTGGCTGCTGTGCTCATTACCGGGGCGATGGGCCAGTCATACCCTAAACCTCAGCATCACACGACACACCCATATTACAAACCTGCATGTGTCCCTCCTGAATCTAAAAAGTTAAAAAAAAAAAATCAAGGAAATTACAGGCACCACTCTCAGCCATATCAAGTGTTAATCACAGGGATACCTGCCTTATGAGGAGTAAAAAAAAAAGCTGGAAAATATAGTCATTATTCTGTCAAGCTAAAAACGAAGATTTCTATGCTGACGAAGGGAGGGGAGAATGGATACTGAGGTGGGGTAATTTCAGCATCAGCCACACATGTCCTGCCAGGGCCCACGTGGGTCTGCCCCGATCACTTCCAACTTCTCTCCCTCTGCTTCAGCCACCTGGCCATCTTGTTGTTTCTCCCACACACAAAGCTTATTCCAGTTTCACTTGCCGTCTCCTGCCTGGACAGCTTCTCCTAACTGTTCACATCTCTCCTTCCTCTCTTCATTCAAGCCTCTGCTCCAAAGTCAGCCTTCTCAAGGAAACCTTCAGAGAAACTCACTCAAAATAGCTCCAGGTCACTCACTATTCACTCACCAAGCTTTAGTCTGAACCTTGCTCCTAAAGATGCATTTTACCTTTTTAAAAATTACAGAAAAGAGGCCGGGCACAGTGGTTCAGGCCTGTCATTCCAGCACTTTGAGAGGCCAAGGTGGGCGGATCTCTTGAGGTCAGGAGTTTGAGACCAGCCAGGCCAACATGGTGAAACCCCATCTCTACCAAAAATACAAAAATTAGCCAGGCATAATGGTGGGAGCCTGTAATCCCAGCTACTCAGGAGGCTGAGGCAGAGAATTGCTTGAACCTGGGAGGTGGATGTTGCAGTGAGCCAAGATCCTGCCACTGCACTATAGTCTGGACAGCAGAACAAGACTCCATCTCTCTCTCTCTCTATACACACACACACACACACACACACACACACACACACACACGGGAAAGAGGCCGGGTTTGGTGGCTCAGGCCCGTAATCCGAACACTTTGGGAGCCCGAGGCAGGCGGATCACTTAAGGTCAGGAGTTTGAAACCAGCCTGGCCAACTTGTTGAAACCCCATCTCTACTAAAAATACAAAAAAAAAAAAAAAAATTGCCAGGCATGGTGGCACGTGCCTGTATTCCCAGCTACTCAGCAGGCTGAGATGGAAGAATCGCTTGAACCCTAGAGTCAAAGGTTGCACTGAGCCAAGATCTCGCCACTGAGATCTGGCACTCCAGCCTGGGTGACAGAGCCAGACTCAGTCACAAAAAAAAAAAAAAAAAAAAAATTACAGGAAAGGGAAATTATCCTGACCCTTATCAATTCCCCCCTCTCAAATCATGTTTGTATACTTGGAGCTCCAGGGAGAAATAGGACACTCTTTCTAAACCATAGAGGGCATGTTTGTGAAAATCTGGGTCTAGTTGGGAGCCATCAGCTTCAAAGGCCATGGGTTTCCAGGGAACTAGAGGCTGTGCGTGAGGCATCTAGGAAAGCAAAAGCAACTTTTCCGTTTCTCTCAGCAATGTTCAGTCGCACGTGTTCATGGCTCGGCTTGAAGAGCTCTCAGGTGGAAAGGGTTCCAGGAAAACAGGATGTGATTCCCCACTCTGAGACCCTGACAGGCACCTGTGTCTGGTGGGGAATGGCTATAGGGATGCTACGCAAAGGTTACTGCCATTTTCTATTCGCACAGGTGATCTGAGCTGAGGCAGGGAGGTACTCAACGGTTGGAGCCAAAATGAACCAGACACCGGGCTGTCCCTCGTTCTAGTACCACAGTTTGGCTGACATAGGGATAGGAAGTGGGACACCGTGGATCCTCAGAACCTTTCTCTTACCCACACCCTCTTATCCGCTCTCAGACAACACCTTGGAGAGGCTGGAGCCCCCAGCTGGCCCCAAAGGCGCCGCCACTCCCAGCGGGACCCGCCCATCGGAGCGGAGGAGCCCTGCACCGGCGCTCCAGGTGCACCTGCGCCCCCTCTAGATCTCCAAACTCCAGGGTCAGCTCCCTCCGCCTGGACCCCCAGAGACCGCGGTGGGGGGCGGAGTGGGGGAGCTTCCCAAAAGCCGAGCGCCAGCACCGCAGACGCCGCTCCTGCCTCACCTTGGCTGGGTAGCGCGCCCAGCACCCGGCGCGGCCCCGGACCGCACGTCCGGAGAGAGTCCTGAGACCTGCCCACCGCTCACCCGCGGTCCCTGCCGGCCGCCCACACCCTGGGGCGGCCCCGAGCAGTCGAGTCGGCAGGATCCGGCCGCTCCGCATCCCTGCGAGGTCCACCCGGAGCCGCTGCTCGAGCTGGGGCCGGGACGACGTTTCGCCGACCGCGTCTGCAGCGGGTGCCGCTGATCCGCCCGCCGCACCTGCAGACCCTGCCCCAGCCCAGCCCCTCGGCATCTCCCCCGCGCCCCGCAGCCGCCCCAGCCCCAGCCCCGCCTCGCCTTTCCGGCCCCGGCTTCTCCCGCTCCTGGTCCCCTCTGCCTCCAGCGATGCCAACCGCCGGCTCCACCACCTCCTGCCCCGCACAGTCCCCCCGAACCCGCCCCTTTCCCTGCAGTCCCCCCTCTTCCCCTCTGGCGCCCCCGCCCGGGCAGGTGGAGAAAGCCCCCAGCCCGGAGCAGAGACTGAGCGGGGACTGAGCAGAGGGTGCAGGATCCTTCCAGGACCCGTGTGGCAGTGCTGGAAGAAGAGGCGCGGGGAGAAGGCGGCGTCTCCAGACGAATCCGCTCCTCCCGTTGAGAAACTTCGATGTGGCCACCCGCTTTCTTGGCGCTGGGCGGCGGGCCCTGCAGCCCTGTGGAATTCCGGCCAGATTCCCAGGGAGCAGAGACCCAGTCGGCCCCTTCACCCTCCCGAGGCCCTGCGGGGCGGGGGGGGGGCAGCACTCTCCAACCCCCAGCCTATGTGGGACACACCCTGCTCTGGTCTTGATTGCTGGGAACACCTGAGGTAAAGAGGCCCATGCAGCTTAGTATAGAAAGATCTATTTGCACATGGGGCTGAGGTGGGGGGCGCCGTCCCCAGATGCAAAAAAGTGGGGAGAGATACGTGGGAGGTTAAGGGGCCCATGTGGCTTAGCACAGAAAGATCTATAGTGACATTTGTACATGGGGTGGGGGTGGGGCGCGGTAACAAGATGCACAAAAAGCGGGGAGAGATACATATGCCACACCAGAAACTTAACAGTGATGACCTCGGGAAAGGGAAAGGAATGGCACATAGGGATAGAGGAACATTTTATTTTTCAATCCATGCTTTTCCTGCGCTGTTTGATTTCTTTCCTCAATGCACTTGTGTGCAAGTCTAGGGGGACTCAGGAAATCAAACACGGGTGCCCCAGACTTATCCCTGCCCTTGTAGTCCTTTCTGTGCAGAAGCAGGCAGAGGGGTCCTGGACTCCTCTGCCCCGCCCCCTCGTCCTTTCCCACTGATTTTTAAAGCTCTGTCTTCTCTTCTGTCCTTCCAGTGGCACCTGTTCAGGTTACTGATGCAGGGGTCTCTTGGGCCCTAGGGGGGTCTGGGCCTCCTGAGGGCGGGATTCTGATCCTCTTTCCAGAATGCCGCAGATCAAAAGCCAACTCTTGGGAAATCAGAAACCTCACAAGGAAAGTCTCAGAGTCCAGCTGCAACCCCTTCTCCAAGCCAGCAGTGCCTGGCAGTGCCCCCACCTCTTCCCATCCTGCCCACATGGCCCAGGCAGGTCCTGCTCCCACCCTCACTGTCTCTGGCCAACATCAGAAAGGAAGCCTGACTTTCCTATTTGTCACCAACATTCCTCCTTACCAGAGAACTCCAGAGGACGACCTGAGCCCCGGTGCATTAAAACACACACAAAAAAAGATCAAACAAAAAGAAACAATAGAGAACGATCCAGAAAAAATTATAAATCCATCATTCACCCCCACCCCCCAACCCCCCACAAGCCTGGAGACACTAGAGAAACATGAACCGAGCCTAAGGGGGTTGGAAGTCAATCTGAAGAGCTCTCCCCAGCTAGAGAGAGCTCCCAGCTCCCTGGGGCTGGAGATTCAGGCTCTGCCGGCAGCCCACTGGTTTTCTCAGCCAGCTTCAATTACCACAGTGGGGAAACACCCCTGGGAAAACTGGCCAAGCTAAAAAATAACAGAATTGTTGGTTCTGATAGGCCGGACTGCAGCAACTTCATAGAATTATTTTGTCTCTGGAAATGAACTATATTCATAATTGCCCAGTTCTTCATTTCATTTGGCTAGTGTAAACCTGGCTTTAAGAAACAGTCATAAAATAAACTCTCACTGGGTTGTAGCCTCCTAAAGTGACAGGGGTGTTTTCTTCTATTTTGTGAAGCCCCAATGTGACCAGAGAATAAATGCACTTTAACTGTGTTTGATTTCTGAGTTGACTGAGAATGGTAACATGTCTTATTATTTCTGGCTGATGAACCAGAGACTGCTTCACCCTCCACTCCTCTAATCAGGGAATACAAATAAAAATTTTCCCCCAAAATGTGTCCTCCAACTTTTGCTCTCTGTCCTCTTTAAAAGCTCATAAATTCCAACTCTCACTCCACTTCCCTGTCATTCCTCTTAGCTGAGAAGAGTGCGCTCTCAGCTGCAGAGGCAAATGAAGGCCCTGGACTAGAATTTCATCGACTGATAAACAAAGCTATAGCAGCCTGGCTGATATTAGGAGTGAGGGAGTGGGTGGGACAAGCACCATTCCCTTCTGCCTTCCCTCCTCACACCTCCCCATTCTATACCACTACTGAGTAATTATTAAACACACATCGATGTCTTTTTTTTCTTTTTCACATGTTGAAGATAGTGGCTGCTCCATCACTATGTCCCTGAGTGACGTTGTGGAGCAGAGGCCCTCTGTATGCCAACAATGAACATAAGGCAGTAAAAGGAAAAAAAACAAAATGAAAACACTTTTTTCATTTGCTTTAACCCACTGCAATTTGGGGAGAGAATATTTGTTATTATAATATAATGCACCAGGGATTTGGTGTATCTATAATATATAAACTGATACACTTCAGGACTCAGATTTCATTATACTCACTTACCTACTTGGCTTCCTGAAGATTGTCTAGGATTTCTGGTAAGTTGATTACTAAATATCAGAGTAATATACTTCTCATTTCAATGGAGTAGTCATACTTGAATAAGTAGTTTCTGGGTGATTATTATAAGTAAGCACTGGGTGAGGTACATGTAATAAAGGAGGTCAGGGACCTGCACACATACCTGGGATACATTTCAGACAAGGGCACAGACTGGAAGCTGTCAGAGTCTAGAGAAGAGAAGGGTGGCCATATCTCCTCCCACCTAGTGCTCTTTATTGACTCTGGTTATATTTCCATTCCTTAAACAAGCCAAGCTCAATTCTGTCTCATGGCCTTTGCACTTGTTGTTCTGTGTTTCAGGAATGCTGTTCTTATCATCTTCCCTTTAGTTCAGATGTGACCGTCACAGTGAGGTCTCCCCTGACCATCCTACGCAATGAAGGGCAAGGACATTATCTTGCTTACTGTTACATCCCCAGAATCTGGCACGTTCATGGCACATATCAGACACATAATAAATACTATTGAAATGATGAAAAAAAGATTATTTTTGAAAGTAATTTTTCATTCAAAGCTTCAGTGATGGGAAGGTTTTAATGGTGGAAACGAGGAAGATAAGAAAATGGTGATGCTTAGCAAATTTATGGAAAATGGAAAAAAAAACCTGAGAGATCACAGAAGTAAAAATTGTTGCACCCAGTCCAACAATGAACCATCAGGCAAAGAAATAATCAGATTTCCCAAATATCAAAACCTTTGCCATTGGTCTGCAAGCATACAGAAGAGATAACACTCAGCTTTCTAAAGTCTAGTGCTGTTGAGCTCATTAGAAATTGAATTTTGAATTTATGATAAGAATTAATGCAATTCAAATGCATGTCATGTGAAGTATGACACAGCTCTTAATTTTTAATATTATTCTGCCTTTTAGATGTCTCTCCTGGAGGAACAGACAGGCATTTAAGACATGGCATTATTTATGAATATTTAACTACATGGCTAGTTACAGAAGAAGGAAAGACACCGATGATTTTTGCATGTTGTATTAGACATAATAAAGAACCCCAAAGATGTCCACATTCTAATCACTAGAACCAGGGAACATGTTAACCAGCATGGCAAAGGGGACTTTGCCATTGTGATTAAGTAAAGAATCTTGAGCTGTGGAGATGATTCTGAATTATCTGAGTGGATCAAATGTAATCACAAATGTCATTATAAGAAGGAGGCAGAAGGATCAAAGCCAGTGAAGATGCCAACACAGAAGCAGAGGTAAGAGAGATGCAAGTGATGGCTTTAAAGATGGAAGGGGGACATGAGTCAAGAAGTAGGGGCGGCCTCCAGAAGCTGGAAGAAGTAAGAATGGAACGTCCCCTATGGCCTCCAGAAGGGCACAGTTCTTCTGATACTTTGATTTTAGTCTGGTGAGCTGCATTTTGCACTTCTGACACTCAGAACTGTACAATCATGAATCTGCATTGTTTTAAGCCACAAAGTTTATAATTATTTGTTACAGCAGCAAGAGGAAACTAACACACTTGTGAGTAGTCATTTCCCCTGATATCATTTGGCTCTCTGTTCCCCTACCCCCAGATCTCATGTTGAATTATAATCCCCAACGTTGGAGGAAGGAACTGGTGGGAGGTAATTGGATCATGGAGGTAGACTTCCTCCTTGCTGTTCTCATGATAGTGAGTGAGTTCTCATGAGATCTGGTTGTTTAAAAGTGTGCAGCACTTCCCCCTTCTCTCTCTCTTCCTCCTGCTCCCGACATGCAGGACGTGCCTGGTTCCCCTTCACCTTTGGCTATGATTATAAGTTGCCTGAGGCCTCCCCAGTCATGCTTCCTTTACAGCCTACAGAACCATGAGCCAATTAAACCTCTTTAATTTATAAATTACCCAGTCTCAGATAGTTCTTTACGCAATGCAACAACAGACGAATATCCCCTCCACCCCTCATCTCAGGCTCAGGTAGCTAAAGAACCTACACAGCTAGACCCACGGTTTCCTGCACCTCCTTAATACTTGGTGATGGTTGATTTTTTTAAAAAATGAGATACAAAAAAAGTCTGCCAAAATTGTATTATTTTTGCACTTGGAATGATGCAATGACTTTTTTTGTAATTTATATGTTGAATAGCTTTCCCCTGTAATTGAATCACAGTGGGAACATGAGTTCTCTGTTAATAAACAGTGCCTCTGGTGTCGTGGATTGGCATTTACTTCTGAAAATGAAGAGAAAGAAAGAATGGCTCAGATTTCCTCATCTGAAGATGAGTTTCTAAGCCAAAGTTGCATGCAAATTGAAGTGACTGGTACTGAATTCAGCAATTATTAAGATTTTGTTCCTTAGGAAGAAATATTTGATTATTTTTTGTCTCTGCCACTGACTTAAATGGATTAAAAGCTATGATACTCCTGGGGTGGCCCTCCTTCAATATACTGTCAATAAACAGTGGTTCACTTTACAGTAATTCTTAAAGAGGCCCAGGAGGATGTGCTTTGGTCTTTGTGAAGAAGATCACTTCCCAGTACAGTTCAAAACAATAGGCCAGGCAAGGTGGCTTACGCCTGTAATCCCAGCACTTTGGGAGGTTGAGGCAGGCAGATCACCTGAGGTCAGGAGTTCGAGACCAGCCTTGCCAACATGATGAAACCCCTGTCTGTACTAAAAATACAAAAATTAGCAGGGCGTGATGGCGGGAGCCTGTAATCCCAGCTACTTGGGAGGCTGAGGCACAAGAATTGCTGGAACCTGGGAGGCGGAAGTTGCAGCAAGCCGAGATTGCGCCACTGCACTCTAGTCTGGGTGACAAAGTGAGTCTCCATCTCAAAAAAAAAACAAAAAACAAAAACAAAAACAATAAAGCACAGGCAACTGGATTAAGAACATGGTTGATGAGTGGATGCATTGGTATTCTTTGTCCACCTTCCCTGTACAAAATGCATTGAAGTTACATAACTTATTAGATGGAAGGTAATACCATTGTATCAGTTAAATTGAATCAGCAGAGCAGCTATGAATATTATAGAATAAAATAATTATTATAAGTATAAGTCTTTTACAATGGTGAGTGAAGCAAAAAAATAAGGGAATGGAATAGGTCATTGGAAGATCAGAGAAAGTTCACTAACGAGGCCTCTGGAATGATTGGGCTGTGAACTGGGACAAAGGAACTTCCAGGTGGATGTGTTGGAGGCTGGTGGGCATCCAGGAAGCCACACACACCCAGCTGCAGGAGTGAGACAAGGAAGGGGAGGTGGTGGAAACACCTGAAGAATGGCCACTTTTCTGCAGTGACTGCTTCTGCAGGTGTGCAGCTCAGCTGCCAGTGCTGAGTCTGGGGCTGTTTGTCAGTGGGGCTGGCCCTGGGGTGGAGATCTAAGTATGCATTTCATGGTGAGGTCAGGCTGGAACCCACTGCCACTTCTCTGTGTGTCTGTCACGTCTTCTAGCACTAATGAACTTTAGAGACCAGTAGGCTGATCCTTCCTTTCTGTTTCACTCATCATGCCTGGATTCCTCTTCTGGCCAATTCCAACCTGGGAATTACAGGGAAAGGAGTTCCAGGAAAGATGATCCCAAAATTAATCAAGTTGACAATGTACAAATAGCCACTGTCATCATATAATCAAAGTTTAGAAACATGACATTTCAGTAAAATGTGAAACCCCTCCAGTGGAATATGTGGAGGGAGATGCTGCCTTTTAAATGAAATAAGGTAAACATGTAATGGATTTTTTTTTTTTGGGTGAGGATGAAATTATGGCATCGTATGGAGCTATAATTTAGCTGAATTCCCAGGATGCTCTTGAAGAGTAAGATGGAGTTTAGAGACACCTGATCAATTTCAGGAGCACAATATCAAGAAAACAGCAAGTACACCAAGCAGGCTGCACAAATAATCACAATGAGTGAAGGATGTGCTTAGGTGCCGCACATTAGCTAAAGACCTTGCTTTCCATCAGGAGCTATCTCAGATAAACGCAGAAAACTGTCCCCAGATGCCTTGCTCCTGGAGCTCTCTATCTTTGTGAGACAGCTGGCATTGCAAGAATGTGAATCTCAGGGGGAAAAAATAAAAAATAATAAGAAATGTTTGATTTTGTTGCCAACTGCCAAGAATTCAGACTCAGGGAAGAAAACAATAGAAATTTTATGTGTGCACTGACACGAGGAAAAGGCCATGGCCTTCTGACAGATGGGCCATTTTAGCTTGTAAATAAGCACCAGGGTTTTTCTGTGTTTTAAAATACCATCAAGAGCTGTAACATGGGGTCGCGTGTGAGATTTCATGGGTCAGATGATATGGAAAATCATTAAAGAGGTCAGAAGTGGTCAGACTCCTTGGTTCAAAAAGAACTGGGGGTGATTGCAGAAAAATAACAATAATGAAAAGCCAGGAGATAGCCGAATACAACACTCACAGTTGTTGCTGAAAGTTCAAAAGGCAATAATTGAGTTCGGGATAAAATAGGCTTCATTTTGTTGTAATAATGTTAAAAAACAACCACAGGAAGGATTTGCTCTTACTTCTATGTTTTTATTAGCTGTAGAACATGGGGAGAGATACCTAAACTGTTGTTTTTGTTTTTTTTTTTTTTTGAGACAGAGTCTTGCTCTGTCGCCCAGGCTGGAGTGCAGTGGCGAGATCTCGGCTCACTGCAACCTCCGCTTCCCGAGTTCAAGCGATTCTCCTGCCTCAGCCTCCCAAGTACCTGGCATTACAGGTGCCCACCACCACACCTAGCTAATGTTTATATTTTTAGTAGAGATGGGGTTTCACCATGTTGGCCAGGCTGGTCTGGAACTCCTGGCCTCAAGTGATCCCGCCCACCTCGGCCTCCCAAAGTGGCAGAATTACAGGCATGAACCATGAGATACCTAAAATCTTTAAGCCTCATTTACTTCAGCTCTAAGACAGGATTACTACTATTACTATTTCATAAGGTAGACGTGAGCATGAAAGGAAATGATGATGCAAAGTGCCTAAAAGAGTATGTGGCACAGAGTAAATGCTTATTAAATCTTGGAAAATACTATTATTATTTGAGCATTGTTCAGACAAATTCATGATGATTTGAGTATAAACTCCATAGCAACATTATCATTTTACTTAGATGTCAGAGTGAGTCTTTCATGTTTTATACAAGGTGTATTAATTTAACTTCTCCCTAGAAGTGGCAGCCAGGAAGGGATATGAACCACTAGAGATCTACTGGGAGAAACACCTATGAAGGATAATGGAAGGGACCCGAGAAAGTGGAGAGACTCTTCAGAATGTGATGCAGGGCTGACTCCTATGAAAGGTGGGGAGGCAGGACAGGGGACTGGACAGAAAGTAACTCAGCAAAAAGGACAGGGAATCCTCAAGCCAAAGTCCCTGCAAAAGGAGTCTGTAGCTTGCAGAAAGGGGCCTGCCTCAGCACCGGGGCCATTGTCAGTCATGATCTAGGAGCAGGTCCAGGAAGCATGGTCTCTGCAGCTATGAGGGGGTGGCCTTCAATCAAGGAGGTGCTCACGGCCACAGAGCTGAGCAGAGCATTTTCAGGCCTTCATGGCTCACCGCCTGTGCCACATGGGTCCACCTCTCCATGCACGCCCAGGAAGCAGCTCCGCCATGGATTCATAGGACTCTCCTACAGAGGGGAGTGGGACAACCACATCCCGCGTTCCTGCAGTTGGCCTCAGGATCAGATCAGTTCTCATCCTCTCACCCCCCACCAGGTATGCTAACTGCCCCTCACCCTTAGTGCTCTTCCCAGGTCTCAGCAGCCCACCTGGTGGCAGGACTTGAACTTTCCTTCCGGAAGCGTCAGAGTTACTGCACATTTTCATTCCCAGTTAAAGTGGGATGAAGGAGAAGTAAGAGGCAACTCAGATGCACCACTGGGTCCCACACAGACTTCTCCCTATGCTTGTCTGGAAAAGCAGCCTCACCTCTTTCTGCCAATCAGGGTCAATGATGCTACTGGGATGGCAAACGTTCTTAACTCCAGGTCCCTGGACACAAAGGACCCAACGTGCTCTGATGGCATCTTCCCTTGTAGTCCCTGACACTCTCCCTGTGTTTCCTGGGGGAACAATGCATAGGAACAAGCTGCAGGTGAGGCACTGACACAAACATGCTGGCTCCACAAGGGCTGAGTACACATGCCGCGATCACCCATCAGTGCCCTCAGATCTGCTCAAGCTGAGACCCAGATGTACCTTTTACTCCTTACGAAGGACAGAGGCTGGGCCCTTCAGAGCTGAACACTAGTTCTGACAGAACCCAACCAACCACCATGAACATTTCCGGACACATGGCCACTTGTTTCTGGTGGTCAGGGGTTCTGTCTACTGGGGCCCCACACAAGCTGCTTCTTTAAAAATGGACAGGATGCTGCTTGGGTGGTGGGGACTTGCTCCAGAACCCCAGGGGCCTGTGTTGTGACTCTCCTGTGGGAACTTCCCCCACGAGCACCTCCAACACTACAGAGTCCTCCTGGTGGTTTGGCTCAAGCATTAGGGCTGATGGCACCAACCCCTGTGCTAACTGCGGTGTTCTTTCCTGTTGTCTGCACCCGTCAAAGCTGGCAGCTGTGCACATCACATGGTATGTGGGCTGCTGCAGTATTGGATGTAAAACCTGAAGAAGCCCACCAGACACTTCGCTTCCTTCCTTGTGGTATTGGATGCAGCAAGTTGTTGTTCAAGTCAGAGAGGACGTCCTGCAGGCCTGTGACCACTAGGCCCTGAGTCCTTGCACTCTCTGGTGCACAGGGGCCTTCCCTAAGGTCTTCAGTACACTCATCCTGTGTTACTCAATTTGTTCAACCAGAACGATGTCATCAGTGCAAGGAATTCATGTGATATTCAATGGGAGGCACAGGAAGGCAAGAGGTCTGTGGACTCTGGGGAGTGTGAGCCTAGCCCCAAGACAAGAATGTAAGTGGGCATTGTTGTCCATCCCACATAGATGCAAAGATTGTGTGTGTGTGTGTTCTGAGAGCCATGCCAAATCTACTGAATCGTGTAAGTTGAAGTTGAAATGGGAAGCCAAAGCTTCAGAGCGTGTCCCTGGCAGTGGACTCCCCGCATCTGTGGGCATTTGTATCTTCAACTTCCTGTGTTGTCAAATTGCTCCCCGAAGTGCTTGTACCATTTGGCAAATTGCACTCAAGGTTAGAAGGTTTTTCAACGTTCTGAAATGGGAGGATTTTCCAGCAGCTTGTCCTTGTATATCTTAGTGTAGGGTGACATACTGCTGGCTTGGTTTTGTAGATCTGCAGTTCATGTTTTGTTTTTCAGAGAAACACTCATCTTTATGGCTCACCATTTAATTTCCCTGCTGTCAAGAGGCAGAATTAAGTTATTCCTCTTTTTAAAAGAATGATATAAGTAGGGAATAATGAATGCAAAATGCTGTAGTTAAACATCAGCAGATAGGCTGATGGATAGGCTGTCACTTAGATGATGCTATAAATGGAAAGAAAGTGATATTTAATCATTTGCAAAAAATAAAAACAGTGATGATGGATTTGGTGTACTTTGAGTGACTCACTACGGCAAATTGTTATGTTCCAGTTAATAAAGAAAATAAAAAGGGCAAAGCAGAGAAAGTCTTTGCTTTCCAGAGCAGGCCAGGTCTCCTGTGCTGTTTAAACACATAAATAGTTGCTGATTCACTGTTATGGGCCAAATTGTGTCTTCCTAAAATTCCTAAGCTGAAGTCCTAACACCAAGTACCTCGGCATGGGACTATATTTGCAAACAGGGCCTATAATCAGGTAATTGAGGTAAAACTAGTATAGGATTAGTCTACTTATAAGAAGAGGAGAGTAGGGTGCAGACTCACACAGACAGAGGGACAGTCAGGCAATGACATAGGGAGAAGACAGCATCTGCAAGCTGCAGAACAATCAATCCCGCTGACACCTCAATTTTGGAACTGTAGCCTCAAAAACTGGAAAAAACAACTTTCCGTTGTATCAGCCAGTTGGTCTGTGGAACTTTGTTACCGCAGCTGGAGCAGGACAATACATTAGCATTAGTCAGACTGGAGCCTCTTTTATCCGGGTTGCAAATTGGTAACTCATGAACCTATTTTGATAGACCTGCCCAGTGTTGTTATTGCTGTTGTTTTGTTTTGTTTTAAATTTGGACTAACATTACAAAATCAGAGGTGGGTGTGGTGGTTCATGCCTGTAATCCCAGTGCTTTGGGAGGCTGGGATAGGAGGATCACTTGTGGTTAGGAATTCAAGACCAGCCTGGACAACACAGCAAGACCCTGTCTCTACAAAAAAAAAAAAAAATAGCCAGGTTTGTGGTGGTGTGCACCTGTAGTCCTAGCTGCAGGTGTGCACCTGTAGTCCTGGGGAGGCTGAGATGGGAAGATCACTTGAGCTAAGGAGGTTGAGGCTGCAGTGAGCTATGATTGCACCACTGCACTCTAGCTTGAGTCACAGAGAGAGACGGAGAGACCCTGTCTCAAAAAAAAAAAAAAATCAGGAGATTTGAAATAAAAGATAAAAGTACAGATTTCAGGCTACACTTGAAAAATGAGAAGATCTGTCATATGGGGCAAGGCTTTGTGAATGGCCACAACTCCTGAAGTTGACATGTACCACTGTCTCCCTGACAACGGAGTTGGGTGTTAGTTGGCATGTATCACTGAGTATGCAGTGGCTTTATTTTTTATTTATTATTATTATTATTATTATTATTTTTAGATGGAGTCTCGCTTTGTTACCAGGCTGGAGTGCAGTGGCAAGGTCTCGGCTCACTGCAACCTCCGACTCCCTGGTTCAAGCCATTCTCCTGCCTCAGCCTCCCGAATAGCTGAGATTACAGTCATGCGCCAGCACGCCCAGCTAATTTTTGTAGTTTTTTTAGTAGAGGCGTTGTTTCACCGTGTTGGCCAGGGTAGTCTCAATCTCCTGACCTCATGATCCACCTGCCTCGGCCTCCCAAAATGCTGGGATTACAGGCTTGAGCCACCGCGCCCAGCTGGCTTTTTAAATTTACAGGATAGGTGTGTTTTTTATCTCACCAATTATTAGCTATGTGTCCTTAAATGAATTACTTAAACTCCTTGGCCTCAAAGTTTTTCATCTTTGAAACAGGAAAAATATTGTACAAATGTGTACCATTCTTTTGTGGCTGCCAAAACAACCTGCCCCAAACTTGGTGGCTTAAAACAAGAGTAGTTCCCCGTGGACTACTATGCAGCCATAAAAAGAATGAGATCATGTCTTTTGCAGGGATATGGGTGGAGCTGAAGGCCATTATACTTAGCAAACTAACACAGGAACAGAAAACCAAATACTGCATGTTTTCACATATAAGTGGGAGCTAAATGATGAGAACACATGGACCCACGTAGAGGGGAACAACACACATTGGGGCCTATTGAAAGGTGGAGGGTGGGAGGGGAGAGGGGATCAGGAAAAATAGCTAATGGATACTAGGCTTAATACCTGGAAGATGAAATAGTCTGTATAACAAAGCCTTGTGACACTAGTTTACCTATACCTATATAACGAACCTGCCCATGAGTCCCTGAACTTAACATAAAGTTTTAAAAACAGACACACACACACACACACACACACACACACACACACACACACACAAACCTGACAGTAATCCTTTCTCTCACAGTTCTGGAGTCCAGAAGTTCAACCTCAGCTTCACTGCACCAAAATCAGGGTGTAGCCAGGACCATGCTCCCTCCGAAGGCTCTAGGGGAGAATTTGTTCTTCCTTCCTCCCTCTGCCAGGGTGTGGGCATTCCTTGGCTTGTGGCCACATCACTCCAATCTGCCTCAGAGGCTGCATGGCCTCCCCCTCTTCTACACATCAATCTCCCTCTGTCCCTTTCTTGTAAGCAGGCACGTGATGTCTCCTAGGGCCTGTGTTAGTTTCCTGAGGCTGCCGTACAAATTACCACATACTTGGTGCTTAAGACAAACTAAATCTATTTTCAGAAGTCTAGAGCTCAGAAGTCCAAACTCAAAATGTCCACAGGGCCACGTTTCTGCCGGAGGCTCTAGGGAAGTGTCCTTCCTTGCCTTTTCTGGTTTCTGTCAAAATTCTTTGCGGCTGCACCTCTCCAATCTCTGTCTCCACCTTCTCAGGGCCTTCTCCTCTTATGATAAGGACACTTACTGAATTTAGCATCCACCTAAGTAATCCCCAGATCAGCGCATCTCGAGATCCTTCACTTAATTACATCTGCAAAGACCCAATTTCCAAAGAAGGGCACATGCACAGGGTCCTGGGATTAGGATATGCAGATGGCTCCTTTAAAGCCATTATCAGCCTATTGCATTACCTGGTAGGGTTGGGTAGATTACACTATTTCACATATGCACACAAGATTACACTATTATACTATTTCATATATGTACAGTGCACACAACAGTGTCTGACACAGTGTGGCTCATAAGTATTGACTGAATATATATTGTTATCATGCACATCTGTCCCAAAAGTGGAGAGAAAATAGACAGAGTGATATTGTTTTAAGGTAAACGAGAAAGCACATTTTTCTGTAACACAGGATAATACTTTTATAAGATTAATATGCAAACAAAAGTTTTCATGTTGAAAGAAACAATTTAAAACACTTTTTGGAAATGAAACTTAGGGCTGGGTGCAGTGGCTCATGCCTGTAATCTCAGCACAGTGGGAGGCCTAGGTGGGCAAATCACCTGAGGTCAGGAGTTCAAGACCAGCCTGGCCAAAGTGGCAAAACCTCATCTCTACTAAAAATACAAAAATTAGCTGGGTGTGGTGGTGCATGCCTGTAATCGCAGCTACTCAGGAGGCTGAGGCATGAGAATCACTTAAACCCGGGAAGCAGAGGTTGGAATGAGCCGAGCTAATACCACTGCACTCTAGCCTGGGTGACAGAGCAAGACTCCATCTCCAAAAGAAACAAGAAAAAAGAAATGAACCTTAGTACCACCGTGACACACAGAAAAAATATGTGCTGAAAAATGTAATCAACAGATAAAAGCACTTAGATTTTAACAGAGTTTCTCTCTAACTGCAAATAGGCTGAGTCTTTCTTCTGTGGAAATGGACTTGTGTGTTGCACTGTGAATCTGTCTCTCTCTGTGAGGGTATCTGCTGGTCCTTTGAGGTGTCTGAGTCGCTTGCAACCCCCACCTGCCACTGGGCAGTGTCAGAAGCAGCCCAATGTGATCTGAGAAGAACTGACTCAGATCCAGGGAAAAAGGGCTGTTTCAGAGGGAGATGTAGCCAGGGATTGGAAGGCAGAAAGCTGGAGTCGGTGGTGGCTCTTCCATCTCGCATCAGTTGTATGAATTTACTCAGATAAAAGACTGATATCTCCTCTGTGGAAGAGATTCAAAAAATAGAGATTTTGTTGCAGGTTCAACAAGATTAAATGAAATAAAAAATAAAAAGCAACCCAGCCTCTGTAAACTTTGTTCTTTTTTTAAAAAAATTACTGCATATTGACAAATCATTATTGTATGTATTTATGGGACACAAAGCGATGTTATTATTTAATTATTTGAGGTGGAGTCTCGCTCTGTCACCCAGCCTGGAATGCAGTGTCATGATCTCGGCTCACTGTGACCTCTGTCTCCCAGGTTCAAGGCTGAGCTCTTGCCTCAGCCTCCTCAGTAGCTGGGATTACAGGTAAGCACCACGATGCCTGGCTAAATTTTGTATTTTTTAGTAGAGATGGGGTTTCACCATCTCTACTAAACTCGAACTCCTGACCTCAAGGGATCTTGAACTCCTGACCTCAAGGGATCCACCTGCCTTGGCCTCCCAAAGTGCTGGGATTACAGGCGTGAGCCACCGCACCTGGCCGGATGTTGTAATATATGTATATAATATGGAATGATGGAATGGAGCTAATTAACATATTCATCAGCTCAAATACTTATCTTTAATTCTGAAGATTCTGTCTAACTGAAACTTTATGCCCTTTGACTCTCTCCCTAGTCTGTCCCCCACTCCCTGCCAGCCTTTTGGCTACATTCCATTTTCCTTCTAGGAGTTCAGCTGTAGCCAAATTATAGAATCAACTTATATGTCCATCAGCAGATGAATGTTTAAGAAACAGTGGTATGTATGCACGATGTAATACTATTCAGCCTTTCAAAAGAGGGCAATTCTGTCATTTGTGACATGGGTGAACCTGGAGGACATTATACTAAGTGAAATAAACCAGGGACAGGCAAACAAATACCGCGGGTTCTCATTTATCTGTGAAATCTAAAATAAGCGTTGTTCTTCTTAATGGTTTCTTCCCTCAGCAGAAATCGACCCTAAAGACTTGGAAGATACTTGAATCCAAATGCAGAATGTTGCTTTTGGTTTTAATTTCTTCCTCATTTATGAAGGCAAAACTGATGTTTTAAAACTGAAAACACCCAATTAGGTAAATGAATATAGATCTTCAAAGAGAATCGCATGCCATATTTTGTTTTTTTTCCCCTCAGAAATCTCTTTGGGTTCTAATTTTACCTGCATCAAAGGCGACAATAAATTAAGCAGTCGCTTTGACAAAGGCTCAGACCACAACAGAGTAAGCCTTCAGTAAACAATCTTCTCAAAAAGATAAACCAGGAGTTCTGTTTAGGAGTAAGGACCAAGAGTCTGACGAGGGACTTTTCCCCGTCTGAGGTGAACCAGAGGGGGGGTGTTTTTCCATGGTACCTTTTTCATAATCATGCATAAAATCAAAGTCTGTCTTGTAAAGGAAGCGGAGTTCCAACCAATACAAATGCATATCTTTGTGTGACTATAATTTAAGTTTTGGCAGATGCTGTATGGACGTAACAAAGGAGATGAAGGGGGTCTGCGTTGGCCCCTGGTCTCCATTTGGCAATTCTTAAATACTGGATGATTCCTAAGAGTAGGTGGTGTGGTAAGGAATTTAACCATTTAATCTCCTCAGAAAGAGGTCTGACCTTGGTCCTCAGCTTCAGGAAGGTGATTTATGTCATGCCTGATAGGAGTGTCTTCATTTAGGGTAGCAACTAGACATACTGCTTAGGGTGGAGTTGCCACACCTGAAAGTCCTGGGGTCGGGGCTGAGTAAGACAGAAAGATTAGCCATGTGATTTAGGGTGGTGCTTTGGGTCATAAGCTGTTGGGCAACATGGAGATTGAGTTCAATCAATCATGATGAAGCCCCAATAAAAACCCTGAATACTGAGGCTCAGGTGCCCTTACCTAGTTGGCCATACTTGTGAATATTGTCACACTTGATGGCAGGAGGGTAACATGTCCTGACTGCACAGGAAAGCACAGTGAAAGCTTCCTGGGAACCCTTCCAGACTTCATTCTACACACTTCTTCTTTACCTGGTTCTGATCTGTGTTCTTTCCCTTTAATAAATGGTAACTGTGAGTCGAAGAGCTTCAGTGAGCTTTTAATCCTTCAAGCCAGTTATTGAATCTGGGGATGGTTTTGAAAACTCCCCAAACTTACAGTTGGTGTCAGAAGATAGGATGATCCTAGGTGGGACTGTGATGCCCCTTAAACTTGATTTCTGGCTCAAAACTTTGCCATTTGCTAAACTCTGCGCATAGGCCAAGTGGTAGATGTGGCTGTCTGGTTTCTTCTTAGTGTAGGCTACATCCAGATTTCCAAGTATAATTGTGAGTTAGTGATTATCTTACCTGCTGATCAGCACCTCAGATCTTGAAGGGCCTCCCTTGCTGAGAGAGTCACACTGAGAACATGGAGTCTCTGAGCAGCATTTTGGGGAGCTGTGTCTGCCTTGGGTGAGGCAGCTGGGGGTGCTGCTATTATTTTTCTTCTCGAAGGTTGAAAGTGGCCTTCTGTTGGCTACTCTTTTACTTACACATAGCAGGAGACCCAGGTGTGCAGTGGAGGACTGTTTCTTATGGCTCAAGAGAAGATCACCATTGTCAACTGTTGTGGGGAGAAGAGGGCTGGTTGTAATTTTCAGGTCTATAATTAAAACAGTTATGAGGCTTTCTTTGGTGTTAATTTTGTTTGGCGCAGGGAGGGATTGTAGGATGGCCTCTTTCTCTGTGAACTCCAGTGAAGCCAGAGAACTTCATGAGGATGGGGAATATGGGATGGCGTGTTGATTTGGTCTCTTCTGTGATTAAACATCAATCCCTGAAAGACTCTTAAGTGGCAGTTCTGGGATTTTTCCTGGGAAGAGCTGACATAATTCTCTATTACAGGGGGCTTTAGGGAGCTGGGTAATGACTACCTCTCTGGGTATTTTTTCCACTGTGGGTAATAATTCTTTCTTATGATGGAAAGTGAATTTATTTTACATTTAAATGAAAACAAGTTATAATTTGACATTTGAAATTAAAGCATATTTATCACTAAGGTGGTTACATTTTTCATTGTGAACAGATGCCATTAAAGTTTAATTTACCACTAAAACTGCAAGAAAAACATCTATTACCTGTTAATAATGGTTGTCTTTATTCTATTTGTTTTCTCTGGTGCCTTGGTGACAATAAAATGGAAGATAATCATGCACTGTGAAATGGAGCTGAATTGGAAGGAACAGTGTTCATAAAAAGCATTTTTCCCCATGGGAGAATTGACTGAAGTTGTCATTCCATCAGCTGGAAAAGTTTCCTCTATTTGTGGTGTTGGCTGGCTTGGAGAAATAATATATTCTCTGTGCTATGATTCCTTTCTTCTTTCTTCCTTAAATAAGTGGCGAAGTAGTTATTTTCATTTGCATCTGTAAGTCTTGGGACCTGTAATCGAATGTAATCATTCCCATGATTGAAGTAGTATCTCATTTTAATACATTCTGTGCATTTGAAATCTTTTTAAAAAAATTACTTTACCTGTGCAATTTTAAAACTAACACAAGGTACCATATGACCCAGCAATTGCATTTTTGGTCATTTATTCCAGGGAAGTAAATGCCTACATACACACAGAAACCTATCTATGAAAATCAATAGCAGCTTTATTCATAAGATTCAAAAACTGACAGCAACCCAAATATCTTCTATATTATGGAATACTATTCAATAATAAAAGGGAAATAATTATTGATGTACACCAAAAATGAGATAAATCTCCAGGTAATTATGTTGCGTGTAAAAAAACCAATCCAAAAGCTTCCATACTGTATTATGCTTTTTATATGACATTTTTGAAGTGGTTGTCAGGGGTTAATTGTGACCATGTTGGACAAGGTGAGCATGGCTGCAAAAGGGTGGCATCCTTTTGTGGCAATTAAATTTTGCTTGACTGTGGTGATGAGATTTTGCTTAACTATGGTGGTGAATACACAAATGTACACCTAAAAAAATCTCATAGAACTAAATACACAAAGACACACAAATGAGTGTATGTAAAACTGGCAAAATTTGAATAATGTCAATTAATTGTATCGATTTTCACTTCATGGTGGTGGTATCTTACTATAATTATGCAAGATCATATCATTGCATTAAATTTCGTTAATGGTACATGGGGTCTCTCAACTTTATTTCTTACAACATTATATGAGTCTATAATTATCCCCCCCCAAAAAAAATATATATAGCTACAAAATTGGGAGGCACAAAGTATAGAGAATTAATGTCGATGTTTTATTCTAACCCCATTCAGTATCTTTATTCCATTAATATATATCATACTTGTGTCTCAGGAATGTTATCTCCAGACTTCTTGTTATGAAAAATAATAACTTATTTTGTTGTATAGAATGTGTTTAAAATTTTGTATTATGTTACTTGAAGGCCAAACTTCCTCATGGGTGCACCCTTCATGTGGTTCATTCCTCATAGTCCTCATTGAAATTGACAGCCTCTCTCCATTATAAAATGATTGCAGGATTTCGTGCCATAAAAAACCAAAAAAGTAATGAGTAACCCATGTCCCAAACTACCTGAATGTGTTTCTCATGTTGTGCTGTTCTCAGTATGTTCTTGAACACGAAAGTCGGCTATCTCCAGAGTGAGTGATCTAAGACAGAGCGTGGCCAAGAAAGAGTGAGCCTAAGATGGAAGATGTGGTTCATACAACCTCGTTTTGGAAGTGACACCCTATCATCACTTCTGCCTTTTACTATTGGTCACACAGACCACCTCTGGCACAAGGCAGGAAAGGACTACCCAAGAGGCTGTGAGCATGGGGGGCCATCTTGGAGGCTGGTGCCCATGAAGTCAAGCATATGAAAGTGGATGTGTAACCTCTCCATGCCACACAATAGGACTCTCTGCCAGTGTAAACAAGAAGGAGGATTTTATAAACAATGATTTTCAGAAAATACTGTTAAGTAAAAACATCTACCTTTTGTGTAAAGAAGGAATAGAAAATAAAAACCAATACATGTGTCTGCTTATCTTTACTAGAAAAAAAATATGCACAGGAAAATAAGTCAACCAAAATGAAATTGGTTACTTGGAAAAGGTGAGGCTGGAGTGGGCAGGTGGAATATGAGAGAGAGTGAGACAGTTTTATACTTTCTTGAATAAATTTTGACTTTTGGAAGCACAAAAAATTAATAAAGATGGGAGGGGGATAAAAACATTATAAAACTGAATATAAAATTAGCAGACTATGTATTTTATATGAATGCTATAACAACACTGAAGGGAATCAACCTAAACAAAACTAATCAGTATAACTTACGAACACAGTGTTTCACTATCCACTCACAATCTTTAATAGGGTTAATAGGTTTGTTTCATGTTGCTGTTTTTGTTCTAATCTTCTGAGAACATTTTGGAGTATTACAGAATTGAACAGAGGAGTGAACGTTGTTGTTATCATTGGGAGTCGGGTTTTCACTATGGAAGGAAGAACACACTGATATGGACATGGGAAAGAACCCTGTGGTAATGCACTATAATTTGGATATTGCTATAAACTCATAATTTCCAAATATACATGTATCTGCAAGTATGTAAGTACATGTGTAAGTATGTATGTAAAATATGTGTGAATGTGTATTTGCATGTATGTCTCTATAGATGTAAATAGGTATATTGATACATATATTTCCTCACTCTGTTCACAAAAAGGGCTAAAAAGCAAAGCTATGTCAGTATCGATACTCACACTTTACACTCTGCATTTGGTCTCAAATATAATTCTCCTCTGAGAAGAACTACACTTCCTCAGAGAAGTTGCTTATTACAGGGCTAGGCCAGGATAGGTATAAGATAAGCTCAGAATAACACGATGTACCTGAACATAAGAAAGTGTTCTTTGTAGATTCTGGATATTAGCCCTTTGTCAGATGAGTGTAAATGATGAGTTAATGGGTGCAGCACACCAACACGGCACACGTATACATATGTAACAAACCTGCACATTGTGCACATGTACCCTAGAACTTAAAGTATAATTAAAAAAAAAAGAAAATGCTGGAAAAAGTGGTAGATACATGTCTCAAGAAAACAGGAACAAGCTTGAAGGGACTCTTACTGGCCAAATATAGGACAAATAACTTAATCAGTCTAGATAGGATAGATAAATAAGATAAAGATAGATAGGTAGCTGATAGATAGATAATAGATAAGACAGATGATTAGACTGATATATAAGATTGACAGAAGATAGATAAGATAGATGATGATAGATAGATTAGATGGAAGATAGAGAATAGAATAGAACGGAATGATGAATGGATGAATAGATAGATACGATAGATGATTAGATTGATAGATAAAATAGATAGAAGACAGATAAGATAGATGACGATAGAATGATATAGATAGACTAGATTAGACCATAGAATAGAATAGAATAGAATAGAATAGAATAGAATAGAATAGAATAGAATAGAATAGAATAAAGCCGGAAGCCACCATTCTCAGCAAACTGACACAGGAACAGAAAAACAAACACCACATGTTCTCACTCATAAGTGGGAGTTGAACAATGAGAACACATGGACACAGGGAGGGGAACATCACACACTGGGGCCTGTCAGGAGCTGGGGGCTATGGGAGGGAAAGCATTAGGACAAATACCTAATGCATGCGGGGCTTAAAACCTAGATGACGGGTTGATGCATGCCACACACCACCATGGCACATGTATACCTGTGTAACACACCTGCACATTCTGCACATGTGCCCCAGAACTTAAAGTAAAATAAAATAAAATATAAATTAAAAAAAAAGAATAGATGGATGAATGGATGGGTACATAAGATAGATTATCAGATTGATAGATAACAGAGACAGAAGATAGATTTGAAAGATAAGATAGATAATAGATGATAGATAGATAGATAGATAGATAGATAGATAGATAGATAGATAGACAGATAGACAGATCAGATAGATAAAGAAGGGGGCGCTTTCTTCCAGCAGAATGCCAAAGGCCGTATGATAAAAGTGCAGAAAGTGCTCAAGTTAGATAAATAAGCATTTTGCAACCATCAGAGTAGCATCATATCAGGCAACAATGATCAATGTATGTGAAATCCAGGGAGAATTTTAATAAAGGGTATGATATTTGCCTGGTCATAAGGTGTCTCCTCACACATTTCTTATTAATTGGTAGCAGAATAGTGGTAATAAGAAGAGAAATTGAAGAACACCCTCCTTGACCAGGTTATCAAAATTAACAGCTTCCCTTAGGTCCAGATGAGTATCCTACCTGAAGGACCCAGCACGGCCTATAGAGTATTCGAGCCAGCAGCGCGTACCCTCAATTACATCTTGAGGGAAATCAGAAAAAAAACTCCAAAGAAGTGAACAGTTCAGTCATCTCAGTGCCTCAGCTGTTTAAACCTTCCCATGTAGGCAACAGGAAAGACAAAGGCAACTGAAAAAGCTCAGGGGACAACGCATTCCTCCCAAGCAGAAGTGTGTCTCTCGCTTAAGAAAACATGCTGGTAGGGCGTTGCTGGGAGACAGAAAGCAGCCCATTCGGGGTGATCTTACTGAACTTCCAGTTTACTTGCCTGTATTTGAGGATGTTCTATTTCTTTTCCTGTATTTCTCTTGTACCAGAGGATGTGATATCTTAGTTAACGCTTATATCAGTCATGAAAGAAATTGCAGAATATCTCTAGGATAACAAATGAAATGTTAAAGACTATGCAATGATTCTTTATCCGTCTGGGAAGCTAATAAAGGACCTGGAAGTTTTACTTTTAAAAGTCTACACTGAACTGCATTCATTGAAACTTAAAATATACTTTATCTTTCCAAGAGTTAAACATATGGAATAAA
Source organism: Homo sapiens (assembly GCF_000001405.40). Lineage (NCBI taxonomy): Eukaryota > Metazoa > Chordata > Mammalia > Primates > Hominidae > Homo > Homo sapiens. Next base: position 127,434,037 of record NC_000012.12, on the reverse strand, counting down.
GTGAAAGATGCCCTGTGTATAAAAAGAAGAAATGAACCGCTTGGGTTTAATAGAACACACCAGAAAATAAATCGATGATTCAAGGGAATTCTAGAGAGACTTCTCACTGGGGGTGGGGACGTTGGAAGGGAACTTGGAGAAAGTTTTGCACATTTTAGGAGTGGGAACAATAGGGCGGAGATAAATGGGGTAAGTGGAAAGATGAGAAAGGCAGGGCTAAGGGGAGAGAAGAAGAAGAACGTAGAATGTTGAGAATCACAAAATAAAAGTGGCATACACAATGTTGACAGCTGAAGGAAGTAAATTGAAGTCAAGAACAAAATGCTGATGAAAATCAAGCCTGCCACTTAGTGTAACATTTGTGGGCATACAAGCTTGCACTCAGTGGCTACAATAAATCATTCGACTTTCTGCCCAGATGGAGAAGACACGGCAGTCCTTCCTAAAGGGGGTAAGAGAAATTGGCAACACTAGGTTTCTGCCTGGAGGATCAAAATTCTTACCAAAGAAAGGAAGTGTGTGTGTGTTTGGGGGTGGAGGGATCCTAATTTCATCTTTGCTCTTCTCTGAGTTTTCTAAAAGGTTCACAGACTACTTTTGTATATGGTTCTCCCAGGATAGACTTTTTTTTTTTTTTTACAATATGCTAAATTCTTTAAAACACCAGATATCTGAGGCGATGGAAGACCCCTTGAGGAGTGGGTTCCCAATTCATTAGTTGGTGTGAATACTTCCAGCCTCCTTGTGGTTGGCAGGGCTCTCAGCAGAAAGGTGACGAGTCCCTCTCATGGATGAGCTTTTGCTTAACAGTGCAGAGCTTTGCAGAACTCTCCCCAATAGTGATCATTCTAGGAACAGAGAAGAGAGGAACAGAGCACCCAGTTCCCCCACACTGGGTACACAGCACACAGTGAGAAACAAACCCTTGTCCCAAAGCCACCTGAATACCGTGTTTGCTGCTGTGGCACCCCTGAGCCCATTTCACTGACAACAGGTGAAAAGAAACCAAATGTGCTTCTGGTTTTATAAAGGAAGCAGCTTTCCTGGGAAGATGGCCAGGATGAATCCCCAGACCATTACAGTTAAACCTGCATTTATTGATCACCACCTGTATGCTCATAACTGTGCATTTTCACAAAGCTTCCAAAACAGTTCCCAGGGAATGGTCTAAAAATGCCTGCCTGCATGAAGGATTCAAGAAGCTGCCGGGACACTCACTGTCGGGGCCCTGTCTCTGGGAGCCGGAGTCTAGGAGGGTCATCCTGCCTCTGCCCTCTGTGGGGCTCTGCCTGCCGAGGAGCCTTCAGCCCTAAAGGGAAGAGGGAGGTGCAGGGTTTTAGTCGTTTTAAATCTGCCTCATTACTCTCTTACAGGTTTCTTCTGAGTCCTGGGCTGCTCCTACCTGGCCACCCACCAGGCTGCATCAGGTTCTGCTTATTCCCAGGCCTCCTCCCTGCAGTCTCTCTGTGCTCCCTGGAGGCAAAGACCGTGTCTTGTGCATCTCTGTGTCCTCAGAGGCTGGCATATGGCAGGGGCTTCAGAAAGACCTGTGGATCCTATACCTTACATCTGAACTTTGTGAATTTTATTTGTATTCCATGGCAAGCAAAATGTATGTTTGCTAATTTTTATTAAAAAATCTCATTTCTCTTTTGGCTGGGAGTCCCTCTCTGGAGCTCTCCTGTCCTGTCTCCTTTGTGATTTTCTCCTTCCCAACCCTGGAGACACACACCCTCCCCTCCCCGCTGCAGGTAGGTCTGGCTAGAGAGGGTCCTTGCTGGACTCTGCTGCCTGCAACCTGCCCACCTGCCCTTCGAAAGCTCAGGCTCATTCTGTGGCTCAGGGGGGCTGTTTATTCACTCGCTCTCATGATAAAGCTGCATGTAAAGCAAGTGACAAGAAGCTGATGGACGGGGAGTGACCCAGGAAACGTGTCTCAGCTCTTTCCTTCTCTCCACGTCCTTCTCAGGGATTCCTAGTTTCTCCCCTAAGACTGTCTTTTTTTCTCCTGATTTTGCTTAGTTTGAGGATTTTCTTTCGAACTCATGTCTGCCAATTTAATTCCACCATTTTAGCTCCTAATTGGGGTGGAGGGTGAATCGGTCTCCTGTGCTCAGAGTTGGAATTGGGATCTGCATTCTGGCATCCCTTGATCTCTTTATTAAGCACAGCCAGCCCTTACAGCTCATCTGGGCACAATTAACGTCATCCAGAATGTTTGCATTTAGTTTGGGTGGGACTCTTGCAGGGGCCTGGGGAAAGAGAAAGAGTAAAATGCAATTCTTTATCTCCCGAGAGACCAATATGCAAGGAGAGGCTTAGAGAGAAGAAGGAACCACCAACCTGACTGGGGAGATGATTGTACAGTGATACAGAAGCTACCAGGCCTCTCCAGGGACAGGACTGAAATTTCGAAGACCATCCTCAGGCAGAAGAAAGGGCGGAGCAAAGGCCCACGGACAAGCAAGGGCCAGGCAAGCATAATGCAAAGGCCCACAGGTGTGCACGTCCCTGTGAATGTGATGCAAAGGCCCACAGGTGTGCACATTCAGGTCATCTTGATGCAAAGACCCACAGGTGTGCACGTCCAGGTACGCATGATGCAAAGGTCTGCAGGTATGCACATTCAGGTGTGCTTGATGCACAGACCCGCAGGTGTACACATCCAGGTGGGTGTGATGGGAGCATCAGGAGCCAGGCCTGGATGGGCAGATGGGGATGAGGTGACCCAAGTGTCCTCCTAACGGAAAACAAAGCCCACTCTGCGCATGGTGTGGGGTGGGGGTTAAACAGAGCTATGGCAGAACACAGGTTAGGGTGATCCCTGGTGGGTGTGAAGAATGGGAGGCAGAGGCCTGTCATGAGGCAGGGTGAGTAAGGTGTGACGATGGGGAGGAGAAGGTGGATTCCAGAGACAGGTCTGGCTAGAACCAGCAGGACTCAGGAACAGAGTCTGTGTAGGAGATGGAGCCAAGTACAAGGCAGTGGCGTCCCTGAGGCAAAAAAATGGGAGCCTTGGGATGGAGCCTGGGACACAAGTCCTAATCACCTGTGTTTATTATAAAGTGTGGTTCAGCGGCTTGTGTCCAGGATGGAGTCAGTGGCCAGCCTGGCCTCCACCCCTGCCATAAACAACTAGGAGCCCAAACAGAAGCCAGGAAACAGCAGTTTTCAGGCACTAAGCAGGCAGCACAGGTCTGTGATTCCAGAGAGAAGGAAACAAACCAGGCTGGGACCCCAGGCAGCCAGCAGGGGTCATTTGGTTTGAGTGGGGCCTTGCAGGTCCTGGGGAGCTGAGAGCTGCACAATTCTCACACCTCCCTCAGGGCTGGGGGATGGTCACATTCGAGTGGGCGGGTGGAGATCAGATCACACATGTAGCCAGCTCAGGATCCCCGGAAATGAGACCCACATCTATGGAGCAGTGTCCCTCGCATCTGTGTCCAAGGACAGCCCGGACTGGGAAGCCAATGGAGATGGCCCGCCTGCACTGCTGTCACACTGGCCAGCGTAGTCCGGGTCACCCACGTGGACACTCATCACTGGAGCACAAATGAGTGCAGAGGAGGTTGGGTCCTCCTGGTTGTCCAATGCCAAGTTCTTTCCAAGGAAACAGGTTTTCTTTGAAGGGGAAAAGCAGACTTTACTTTTTTTTTCTTCCTTTTACAGTGCAAGCTCTTTTCCTTCTCATGAGTGCAGAGGGGGTTGGGTGTCCTATACCTCCTGGGTGTCCAGTGCCAAGTTCTTTCCGGGAAAACAGGTTTCTTTGAAAGGGTAAGGCAGACTTTACTTTTTTTTCCTTCCTTTTATAGTGCAAGTTCTTTTCCTTCTTATAAGCATAGAGAACTTCCCATCTTAGTGAGGTCGTTCTTTAGTGTAACATGTGTATGACTGTGTTCATAGGCTTCCTCCTGTCTGTCTGTGGTAATCAGAATTATGATAATAGTGGCCTAAGGCCCCTGATGCCCCAATCTCACGCCTGCTTCTGTTTCCTGCTCACACACCTCGGCACACCAGCCCCTCCTCGCTGTCCCCCAAACACACCATGGCATGCTCCTTACTGCCTGGGGCCCTCGTGCCTGCTACTCCCAGTGCCTGGAAAACACAGATATCCTCATAATTCCCTCCTCGTCTCCTTCTCATCTTTAAACCATTTTACACTGAGCACTTTGGTGGCATTAGGCACATTTACAATGTTGTGCAACCATCACACCTATCTAGTTCCAAAACATTCCATCACTCATAAGTAAATCCACGGCTCACAGCTATTATGTGGTCACTCCATCCTCCCCCTACCCCAGCATCCACCAACTGCATTCCTTCTGGATGGATGTGCCTATTCTGCACATTTCCTATAAATAGAGTCATGGGACATAGGATCCTTCCTATTGACTTCTCTAACTCAGCGGGATATTTGCCACCTTCCTCTACATTGTAGCCTGTGCCAGCACTTCATTATTTATCATGGCTGCCTCCCTTACGGAGCCAGAAGCCCCCTCCAGGAACTCTGGCCCTCCCTATCCCTTTCTCACTTTATTTTTTTTTTCTCTGATGGTATCTGCTAATCTAATTATTTCACTACCTGCTCATGAGTCACTACCAGCTAATCTAATGATTTCAGTTACTTACCACGGTGAATGTCGAGTTTTGCCCCCTAGAATGCAAGCTTCACAGGAGCAAGAAACATTGCTTAATTCCACTGCTGCATCCTCAGTACCTCAGACAGTGCTTGGTGCTCAGTGGGCACTCAATCAATATGTGTTGAATGAATGAATGATCAAATTATATTACTGAGCCTTGCCAAGTGCCTGGACTGATGTTATCTCCTTAGTAGCTGAGGAACCCTGGGTTGCTAAGGTCACGCAGGTAGCAGGAGGTAGACGCAGATATGAACCCAGGCAGAAATGCTCTGAATACTTCTGTTGTCGCGATGATGCTGCTGTGCCTCACCGTGAACTTGTGTTTTCCTCTCTGTGCATCCAAGCATGCATAATACAAAGGCCCACAGGTGCGCACATCCAGGTGAGCATGATGTAAATGCCCCACAGGTGTGCACATTCAGATAAGCTTGATGTAAAGGCCCACAGGTGTACATGTCCAGGTGAGCAGGATGCAAAGGCCCACAGGTGTGCATGTCTAGGTGAGTGTGATGGGAGCAGCAGGAACTGCGCTTGACAGACAGGTGGGAATCAGGTGACTCGAGTGTCTTCCTAATGGAAAGCAAAGCCTACTCTGTGCATGGCGTGGGGTGGGGGTTAAACAGAGCTGTGGCAGGATGCAGGACAAGGTGGTGGCACAAATATTGGTTGAGTGCTCCCGTGTGTGTGTGCGTGTGTATGTTTGCATGAGTTCTAAACCTGCTTCCTCTCTTGAAGCTCTGCTCAGCCCACAGAAACCTCTCACTTCGCTGAAATCCTTCAGCCCTAATGCTGGCTAGGTACCGTGGCCTCCACTTTTGTGCTGTCTTGAAGCAGCATTCATTGCCCATGCAGGCACCATGCTCACTCAGCTGGACGGTTAGTTCCCTGGTGTAAGGAGGTGAGCCTTTTATGCTTCCTTTCTGCCCCAGAGGTATATGAGGATTGCTAGGAGAACAGCCCATGTTTTCAGATTGATTTCTGTGGATTTCATTTCCTCCTCTTCTTCCGGAAGTAGGGCCTGAGGAAAATGAAAAAACTCACTTGTGCAACTAAGACAGTTTACAAAAGCCACCACAATGGCATACTGAACCTCATCATCCCTAGATCTGGTGGTCTTTGTTCTTTGTCTTCTTTTCGTGCTGTGATCACACCTATGAGCACAGATGAGGGGCTTCATGGATGGGCAAATGCCCACCTCCTTCCAGAACAAGTCCCTCCCGTGCCTGGCTGGATCCAGAGAGCCCTCCTCAGACTCTGTGCTAATCGCTGCTTTCCACGTGGCCATGTCTATGTGGTCTCAACACGAAGAGGGGCTGAAACGGGAGCAGCTGGGAAGGCCACCTCACCTTCAAATAGAGGAACCCTCTGCTTCATATGGGGAACCATTGGCGTGTCATTGGCGCAAGTCTCTCTGGAGGACCTGAAAGTGTGAACTGCAGCCTCTCACTGTTATCCTGTCTGCTTGTCTAAGGCCTTGCTGACCAGGTCACATTTTCTAAAGCTACTGAAAGCAAATTTTTTTTTTTTTTTTTTTTGAGATAGAGTCTCGCTCTGTCACCAGGCCGGAGTACAGTGGTGTGGTCTTGGTTCACTCCAACCTCCGCCTCTCTGGTTCAAGCGATTCCCCTGCCTCAACCTCCTGAGTTGCTGGGACTACAGGCAAGCACCACCACGCTGGGCTAATTTTTTGTATTTTAGTAGAGACAGGGTTTCACCATGTTGGCCAGAATGGTCTCAATCTCCTGATCTCATGATCTCCCCGCCTCAGCCTCCCAAAGTGCTGGGATTATAGGCGTGAGCCACCGCGCCTGGCCTTATTTTTTTTATTAAGCCAAATACATCATCTCTCCTGCAGTTCAACGCATTTCACTCTTGAACAATACTGTTCAGCCATTTGAGTATCTGTGGGCTTCCTGTTCTTAGCCCATAGCACAGAGTCAAAGGAGGAAATAAAACTGAGCCAATTCCAGACCACTGGGGCCAGCATCATCAGTGTGTATCACTGGGTTGAAGGGAAACCACTTCTTTTGAGGACCAGCTACAGCTGGTCACTCTCAAAGCACTGGCCAGGAAGGAGCTGTAAATTTACTCTCATAAAATCTAATCTTAGCCATTTTCTGTATCTTTTAATTCTTTCTTTTTTAAAGATCCTTCAACATAAAGGGTTTTTCTTTTCCTGAAAGTTTTTTAAGACTTTTAGAAATTCTGCTTCTTTAAGTTAATTCTGTCTTCATAAAATGAATTTTTTCACACATCCTATAATTTTCATTAATAAAAAAAAGAAAAGGCATGTGGGTCATTGCCCCTGCGGAATAACCTGCATTATAAGACAGTTTACGCAAAGAACTTCCTAATGCATTTGAATAATAAAGATGTTCAGGAAGGTGATCTCAGTGAGAAATAATATCAAAGTTAGATTGGAATACTCAGCAGGGGAGGCACTGGCAGTACCCAGGAGAGCCAGAGCTGGAAGGCTTATGGACCTTCTTTAGGCGGGGCTGTGAGTCCTCCCTGAATTCAGGGAGATGCATTTGGAGCCTGTGAGTCTGATGGGAGGAGGAGATTATCTTAGTCAGGGTCAGACCCACACATGCTCACTGTGGCCAGGGAGATCACAGGTACTGAGACTGGAGGGCTGGTGTTGGCCTGGGAGGAGGAGTTCCTCTCAATCAGGGTCAGACCCACACATGCTCGCTGTGGCCAGGCTAATCACAGGTAATGAGACTGGAGGGCTGGTGCTGGCCCGGGTGCCCCTGCCCCTCTAACGGAGAGATGCCCTCAGCTTCAGCTGATGGTTGCCACAGAGGGATGTGGGGCCAGGACCACACCAACTTCTGTTGCTTGTTTCAAGAGAAGTCAGACATCTGGATTTGAGGTAGAATCTCTCAATTTTTAAATGTTGACTCTTTAGAAACACCATGCAGGGCAACAGAAAACACATCTTCATTCCAGTTTGCAAACTTCATCCGAGAACTGGTTATAAGCGGCCCTCTCTCATTATCTGCCAAAAGTACTTTGGACTCTGTTGTTTTCTTCTCTCATGAACCTCAAGTCTCATCCCAGTCCTTACGTCCAGGGTGTTTCTTCCCGGCGCTGCCAAGCCCACCTCGCCTTCTTCCTCTGCATCCCGCTGCTCTCCTCACTTTGAGTCAGGAAAGCTGCTCCCTGCCTCGTCCACCCGCGTTGGTCCTAGGCCTCACTGTGCTGTTCCTCTTATCCCCCATATGTCCTCCTCTTCTGTCTGCTGGCACAAATCCCACCCACCCTTCAACCCCAGCCCAATTCCAGCCTCTTCTGAAAAGTCCTCTTCCATTGAATTCTAAATTCATTTTGTCCTTATTATGTACGCAGTGTGGCTTGATTGAAAATACACTGGTCTCAAGTTCCCTTCACTGGTGTTTTACTGCGTACTCTCTTTAAGAAACAGAAACCCAACTCAAATGGCTTAATCCATAAAGGAAACAAATTAACTCACAAAAAAAATTCAAGGGTACATCTAACCTTGGGCATAGCTGGATCTAGGTGCTACAATAATCTCATCAGGAATCTGCTTCTCTTTCAGTTTTGTGTTGGCTTCATTAGTTTCCATGGGAGTAGCGAGATGACTGTCAGCGCCTGTAGGCTTTTGTGCTATCGGTTCTGCAATCTTTGGAGAAAGGAAAACTTCTCTTTCCCAATGATTTCAGGAAGACCTCAGCTTAAATCTCATTGGCCCAGGCTCAGTCATGTGCCCATCCCTGAACCAATCACTGGGACCAACAGAATGGAATATGTTGATTGGCCTGGCTGGCTCACATGACAGTCCCTGTAATTGCAGATGGTGTCGGCTCCATCTGAACACATGGACCAAAGTGTGGAATGAATAAATTCCCAATGCAAAAACTGCCATGCTGCTATAAGAAGAAAGGAAAAAATGATGCCAAATTGGCTAAAATTAACCTAAATTTAAAAATTCCACCCTTTAGATTTTTCTAATCTCTTAGGTTTCATTTAGACTATTATTTGTGTTTGTGTGTGTGTTTGTGTGTATATCTACATGTATGTGTTCTGTGTGTATATCTACATTTTCTTAAGTAGCTATTGTTTACAAGGCCCTGTGCTGGACTGTGAGGCAGTGTGCTGAAAAAGACAGGTGCAATTCTCATCCTCATGGACACATTTGGTGATGGAACTATAGAGAAAGGATTGCCCAAATAATTAATTAGCCTTTCAGAGGTATTTTGAAGGAAAATACAGGAAATTTTAAGAGCACTAAACAGGGAGATAGGATGGTGAATAAGAGGCTAAAAATGACTTTTTTTTTGAAGAGGTTATCTGAGGATATCTGAATAACAAGTAGCCATCACCTGAGAAGAAAGGGTGAGGTGGGTAGCTGAACATTCTCTACATGTGACTGCTAAACTCTGAGTGGATGTTGGCATGTCTACCAGTGTGACAGAGACTTATCAACACGTTTCCATAGAAATGCCTAAGGATGGTAACCACCAATGCAATTTGGTGTCTTTTCCTTGGAAGAAAACTTGATTGATCCACTGCTCATACAATTCTGTGTATTTACTTACATTAGTGTGGTCAGATTGTCATAACAAAATACCACAGACTGGGTGGCCTAAGTAACAGAAATTTCTTTTTCACAGCTCTAGAGACTGGTAAGTCCAAGATCAAGATGCTGTCAAGATGGTTTTACCCTAAAGCCTCTTCTCTTGGCTTTTAGGTGGCCGCCATCTTGCTGTGTCCTCACTCGGCCTTTCCTTGACACAGGTTCAGAGAGAGAGGACTCTGATGTCTCTTTCTCTTCTTAAAAGAGCATCAGTCTCTTTGGATTAGGGCCCCAACCTTATCAGCTCATTTCATCTTTATAACCTCCTCACAGGCCCTATCTCCAAATACAGTCACATTGGGGTTGAGGGCTTCAACGTATAAGTTGAGGGAGGGGGGACAGAAATATACAGTTCATAGCAGTGCTATACAAGCATGTAGGTTTTTTTTTTCCCCAGTTAAGCCATACACAAAACCTCATGCCAAAGACCTAAGGGTCCATGCTAATGACTTGAAGAGCTAAGCTTAGAGATGGAGGTTGAGACCCAAAAACCTAGAAAGCTCGCTGGTCCCCAGGCTCATTGAAGCTTCCAACTGCCTTAAAGGTTGCAGGGTAAGAATTTATCTTCCAAATATTAAGTACACTAAAAGCAATTGAACTACTTCTTAGCTAAATGAAGCTTCTACTTGATACTTCTAATCCTCTCCTGACCCCGACTACTTTACTGAAATCCTACTTGTGAAGCAAATGGGTTTTCATTAGTGGCAGGATATTTTAAAAGTGCCATATTTGTAGTCCTCCATTAGCCGACCATCCCTCGAGACTGGGTAGGAATTCACATCGTGGTCTGAATTGCTACATCCTTTTATTGCCACAATCGAAATGGATGGCAATAAGGGTGTGCTCACAGTGTGATGTGCTTTTCTTCCCCCTAAGCACGCCATTAGTTATTTATAGATTTCCCCCTCTTTGTGCTGATAACTTTTTACATTTTTCATTCATGAAATCAATTTTCTGTTGTACTTTTTCTGTTTAGAATTGTGATTGCCTGGACTGACTGTCTTTGGGAACCCATGACTGCACATTTGGAGAGAGATTAACAGAAGGAATATGCAGCCACTTGTCACAGAGTCCTTGGGATCTCAGCAATCCCTGGTTTGACAGGAAGCTCTGGAGTCATGACCTACGTCAAGTTTCTCATTGCTGGAAGAAATAGAATTACACAGATGGTGAGTGAAAGGCAGTTTATTCTTTTTATCCTTGTTCTAGGAAGGGCTCTGTTAATATCCATCCATTTAAAAGGTTGCCCCAAAGCTGATGGTAAATAATATTAACCTGAGAGCAACTAAAATCCTTCTCAGCCAGGGGTCACATCTGCTAGGAGCAGGACATCAGTGAGCCTTCAGCAGCTGTGAGACGAGATGACCGGACTCTGTGGGCTTTTCTCTGACTCAGTCTAGAATGTCAAATGTCTGCTTGGGACAGGCCACCTCCCTCTTTAGCTTTTGGCTTGGGAGATGGGCAGGAAGTAGCCATGGCTTTCTCTGGGTGTGTCCATAAGTGGTTTAAATGTTGCATGAGTTGAAACTGCTTTAAGTCCTCTCCAATACAGACTGTGGCTTGTCACTGCCTCAAGGGAAGTCTGTGCTTTTTAGCAAAGGTCCTTCCATGGGCTTGTCGGCTTCTCAGGGTCAGGGCGGCGTCGCCCTGGTATACACCGCATCTACCGCAGGGCCTGGCCCTAAGCAGGTGCTCAGTGCTACTGTTGAAGTGGTGACTTTCTAGTCTTCATGATTCCATCCAACTTCAGCATGCATAGGCATCACTTGTGTGGCCTGGGGTGTACCCAGCAGCTTTGCAGGTTTGCACTTTGTACAGGCGTTGCACTGGAATTGCTTTCAGTTACTCAGTTGCCCTGAGCATGAGATTTGGAATTGATTTCCAGACCAGACTGTAAGAATATTAACCCAATACCCAAATTAATAATCAGCCTTAAGGGTATGGGGTAATTGTTTATTTTGCTAAATAGCACAGAGAAGCTCTAGCTTAATTATAGTGATTTTGTTATGGAAAAGAGTGGTGATATTTCTGTATCACAGCACCTCATTTATGGAAATTTGATAATGTTTACTGACAGGCCTAGGTAGTGCCCTTTGGTGTGAAATTATTTTCTAATTTACTAACATCATTGGCAAAAAAAAAAACAAAAAACAAAACAAAACAAAACAATTCTTCCTTTTTTCTTTTTTTAGATAGGGTTTTACGCTGTCGTCCAGCTAGAGTGCAGTGATGCCATTATGGCTTACTGCAGCCTCAACCTCCCGGGCTCAGGGAATCCTCCCACCTCAGCCTCCCAAGTAGCTGGATCACAGGCACACACCATCATGACTGGCTAATTTTTGTATTTTTTGTAGAGATGAAGTTTCACCATGTTGCCCAGGCTGGAAAAAAGAACATTTTCAAACAAACACTCTTCTGGACATCACACATTTGTGCTATATATACGTATATATATACACACACACACATACGTACATATGCCAAAATGTGAATGGGTTTCAAAACTTGGCTGTAAGAAACATATTATCTTTGACAAACTTGTGTTTCTCCAAATCATCCACAGTTGGGTTAAACCCAGCATCAAGAACCCCCAGTGTCAGGAGTCTCTCCCACGGGAGAGACTAAACTCAGAGTTTAGCTCAGAGGCTAAACCCACCGTCAATGCTTGAGTCCCAGCTCTGACTCTAGGTAGCCAAGTGGCCTTGGGCAAATTATTTAACATTTCCAGACCTCGTTGTAATAATCTGTAAAAGAAGTGGGTTCCTTTTTTTATTCAAATATTACTTGAGTGCCTCCTGTTTGCTAGGGACTGTTGAAGGTAATAGGAATACAGTAAGAAATAGAATTGGACACGATTCCTAATCAACAGGAGTTCCTATTCTAGTGGAGAAGGCAGACAGTAGGCACATACGTGAATGAAATAAGAGAATGTAATTGAGTGAACTGTTAGGATGCAAATAAGAATGCAATTGAGACAGCTGGTGTGGTGTGTGCATGGTGCCTCTGCCTGAGGGAGAGGCATCAGGGAATGTCTCTCTGAGGACGGTGCATTTGGGTGGAAACTAAATGAAGAGAAAGAGCAAGATCTACAAGCTTTGGTGGAGTGCTTGGCAGGCAGCAGGAAGAGCAGATACACGGCTATAGAGGCAGGAGCTCGGAGGTCCCTGAATGTTCTAAAATCAGAGATTTGCGTACCAGGCATTACAAACCATATTCTGTGGTTGTTCTGCGTGGTGGATGTCATCTCAGATCTTCAGTTGTCCTGGGTCTGATTCTGGTGTCCTTCCAGAGGTTTAGTTTCTATCCCAAGTGCCTTACTATTGATTAAATATCACCCCTCAACCCCTCTTTGCTTCAGGCATTGTGTTTCCACCAAGTAAATTTCAACCTGGGGTGGCCCTGTCCAGCCCCTGCAGTTACCTGCTGTTCTTGACCAGTTAAGACACAGGCAGTAGGGGTAGGCACGGTGGCTCACACCTGTAATCCTAGTGCTTTGGGAGACCAAGGTAGGAGGATCACTTGAAGACAGGAGTTTGAGACCAGCCTGGCCAAGAAAGCGAGACCCTGTCTCTATAACAAAAAAAGTCAGTAAATTTTTTAAAAGTGATGTAAAAATCCATGTAGCTGAGAAACAGGAAAATCCCTGTACTATCATCTAGTAGATTTCCATTTCTTACTCCCCTCCTAATGGTCAGAAACTGCCTGAGAAATATATGCAAGTTAAGGTTGTAATTCACCTATTATTTTCTGTGAGGTCTGATGATAAAATGTTTTGGCATTTCTAACAGTGTAGTTGTAATTGAAATGGATAACGATGATTAGGAGAAAAAGCAGCTATTACATAATCTATGCCTGGTAAACGCAAGGCACTAACTCTCTTATGGAATATATTACGCCTTTATGTGTCTTCCTGATATCTAGAAATAAACTACTCAGTGCTAATTTCCTACCCAACTTAACCATTGCTGAGGAATGAATGAAGAAGAGTGTCACAGTCTGGTCCCCATCATTCCTGGTCCTGGTGGGACGGGAGTGAATGTGAAGTTACCAGGTCATCCAGGCCAGTGCTTACCTGATTTTACAGAGTAGCTCAGAGACCAGCTATAAAAACCTGTGGCTAGACTTGATTCAAAGCTACCCCCTCCCACCCTAGCTTACCACCTTTTAGCCCTTGAGCACATGATCAAGGTCACCTTCAAAGAGAGACCTTCCCTGACAACATGTCTAAAACTGTCCCTGTGGTGTTGGACACACATGTAAACAAATAAATGAAATATAAATGCTAAAACAAAGATAGCATGGTGGGCTAAAATAAAGGCATACCTATCCTGCTTTTTCTTTTCTTTTGTTTTTTTTAAACAGTCTCACACTGTCACCTGGGCTGGAGTGTAATGGTGCAACCTCCACTCACTGCAACCTCCACACCCCAGGTTCAAGCGATTCTCCTGCCTCAGCCTCCCAAGTAGCTGGGATTACAGGTGCCTGCCACCATGCCTGGCTAATTTTTTGTATTTTTAGTAGAGACGGGGTTTCACTATGTTGGCCAGGCTGGTTTCAAACTCCTGAACTCATGATCCACCTGCCTCAGTCTCCCAAAGTGCTAGGATTACAGGTGTGAGCCACTACACCTGGCCTTGGCCTACTTTTTCTACCGGATCAAGGAAGACTTGTAAGAGAAGCAACTACATTTTCATTTGATAGTCTACAAATACTCGTTGAGCACTGTTTCAGGCATGTGTTACTACAAAGAAGATGCCCTCCATTCCAGACCTCAGTGGATGAGAATAGCAAATGTGTATTCTCAAGCTCTCAGGTGTGCAGTAGAGTGGGCTTGGTTGATCTAGGCTGTGTGTCTCCACTTGGGGCTGCGCACTGGCCAGCTTGGCTTCTGGCTTGTATGGGTGTGGTTTAAGTCTGTTCTTAATCTCTCCATCCTCCTTGGACAGTCAGGCTGGCTATGCTGTGTTCTCCACATGGAAATGGCAGAAGCATAAGAGGCCAAGCCCAGCTATGTAAGACTAGTCCACACCTGGTTCTCATCATACTCACGTATCTCGTGGATTGACCAAACTTTTAGAAAACTTCTTCTTGCCTCCAGAACCCTGGCCTCCCTTTTCTTGGAGCATTTACTTTAGAAAACTTGTCACTGAAAATTGCTTCTTTGCCCCTTTCAGATGTACATTTTTTCAACAGCCTGTTGCCAGGTTTACAAACCTTGGATGTCTTTATTGAGGACCTGATAGCCATCCCTTTGGAAATGTAAAGATCAAGGAAAATCATGCCCCCAGCTCCCTGCCTTGCATGATGGTAGAAGCCCAGGTGCCCCAGGCCCCTAGCTTCAAGTTATAAAACTACCAACCTCCTGCCTGCAGATCCTGGGAAATTCTACTTTGCCTTTTGGGTAAAGCCAATTAGCAAACACAGATGGCCTAGAATGCAAAGACCACAGCTTTTAAACTACTCTCCCGTTCTCTGTTGCAGGATAGTGGAATTCAGACTGAGTTTGGACCTCTTCCCTCTACGAATAAAGTCATCTCTGTTGGTATAACTTGAGAACAGTTTTTGTGTTGACATTTGCTAATATAACATTGGCTAAAAACACACACACATGCTCAAAATGGGAAGAGATTAATTCTGCTCCAAGGGGAAGGGTGGTAAGTATTGGCTGAGCAACACTCCAGTCCCTCACGGGATAGCACCCACCCACCTATGTCTGTGGTACAGCAGTGATCAGGAAGGAAGGGTCTCTGTTCACCAGGAGCTCACCTTCTGAAGATGGGGGCAAGAAAGAAAATAAAAACCTAAATAAGATGATCTCAAATAGTGATGCTTCCTAGGAATACAACAAATAATGCAATCAGAAGTAAGCAGGGTTACAGGCCCGGGGCTGCTACAGATGCAGTAGTGACAGGAGGCCTCTTCTGCACTGGGGGCAAGGATAAGGAGGAGCTGGACAGGGAGAAGCCAGAGATGACAGGTAGAGCAGGAGCTCCAAGACAGGTCAGCTCGTGTGTTCTCAGAACAGGAAGGTCAATGTGGCTAGGAGGGTAATAGTGATGCAGGATATTTATCTTGACCCCTTAATCAGACTTGCGACAGGGGTGCCCCATTTACTCAGCCAATTGTGCTCAGCCCCTTGAGGGAGGGAGCATGTGAGTGAGCGAGTGTGGGATCCAGCTGGCTGGCTGGCAGCTTTAAACACCAGCAGGTGTAAACTCCATGCAGGCCCTGGGGCAGCACCCAGGTGGGCATGCCTGTGATCCCTGAAGCCCCAGAGGGTGTGTTACAATGTTCTCTGAGCTCCACTGTCCATAGGCAGCAATGTGTTATAATCTCTGTGGGCCCTTTGCCTCATCACGTGGGGCAGCTGCCCTCCATCAGCAAGGACAAACAACCAGTGTGACAGCCCTTTTTGGGGACCCAAATACTTGTCCAGTGCCCAAGAAGAATGAGGTCATGCAGATGAATCGAAAGATGGTGAATATGGAGAATTTTCTTGAGTGATACAAGTGACTCTCAGTGGAGAGGAGAGCTGGAAAGGGGTTGGGATGGGCATGTAATCTTCCCCCAAAGCCTGGCCATCTCTGGCTGGTTCTTCTCAGAAGTCAAGTCATCAAGCTGTCTCTCCTCCAAAGTCCAGCCATCCCTCTGAAATCAAGTTACCTCTCTCTGAAGTCAAGTCACCTCCCTCTCTACTGACTGAGTCTTGGGTCTTTATAGGCACAGGATTAGGGGTGGGGTGGGCCATGGGTAGTTTTGGAAAAGGCAACATTCCATTGGTAAAAAGACATTATTCAGAAAGAACTAATCAGGAAAGAGTGGGCAAACAGGAATAGGAGTTCTCACTTTAAGCCACAGGTTTCAGGCAACTTTTAGTCTGAAGTTGGGGTTTTCACTGGGGACCAATCCCTGGCTGCCTAGAGTTTCTCTGCCTCCTGTTGCTGTCAATAGTTACAACATCAAATAGGCAGGAAGAGGCCAGATTGTGTGCATTCTTGGAGAATACCTTGCAGGGCATACAGGTGTTTATTCTAAAATGCAATGGGATTTTGGGGTGCCATTTTAAACCGGAGAGTTAAACGTTGTTAGGAGAGTGAATAGTGGGGGTGTGGGGACAGAAGCAGAAGGAAAGTCAGGAAGGTTCTGTTGTCATCCCTGTAGAGATGAGAGGAGCTTAGGCCAGGGTGGGTCTAGGGGAAGAAGATTTCAACTCAAGTTTGGAGGTGTGTCCAAGAGGACATATGGGTAAATTAAAGGTAGAATATGAGCAAAGGGTAAAAATATAAAATCAAGTGTAATGATGGCAGTTAGAATATTTTATGAACTGAGAGCCTCCACTTCCATTGCTCTCGCAGCCTTTTGTGGGAGGTGAGGCTGGACTCCAGACCCTTGGAAGTCAGAGGTAAGAAACTCTGAAGATAAGGCTTCAGCTTCAGCCACCTCTCCTGCCTCCATTTATCCAGGTTTCCTCCAAGGACTCAAGGCCCTATAATGATGAGCACACATGGTCCTATAACTGCAATTGATCATGATCATTGTTTTTTCCACTCCAGTCTCTCTCCACCCTACCGTTGTGCTTTGTCTCATGGTGAGCAGCATGGGAATGGCTGGGCATAATTTTTGGTATCTGGATAAGGGAAAATTGGGTTAGAGATATGATAGGATATATCCATATCCATACCTATATACATGAATCTATATCAGCTATATAAGGTGGCATGTAGTTAGTGTGTAGTTAGGTTATTGTGAGCTGCTCTGATGTAGGGAGGCGTCCAGGTTATTCTGAGTCACCATGCTGACTCATGTGGTGATGGGCTGTGTAGCTGCAGGGCTGGTGTATACTCACACGAGTACACCCTGTGGTGCCTATCATAGGAAGAAAGTATAGGATTATGTGTGTGTGCATGTGTGCACCTGCGATCATGAATGCATTTTGGGGTAAGAGTGAGATATGAAGTGTGCAGAACCTCAGCTATTCCATGGAAAATTCTTTCAAACCTTGCATCTCATGTATAAAGTAAATGTAATAAAGTTTTTCCAAAAAGGACAAGACATTTGCAAAATATTACCAAGGATGAGTTTCCAAGGTGAAAGAAAACAAATTTCCATCAGCGATAGTGGAGGCAAAAGTGAATTGTCTTTCTGTTATTTGTAGAAAATATATATTTTTAAAAGTTGTCATGTGAAAATATGATAATAGATTGCAGCAAAACAATGAAAGAACAGTATTATAAACGCGCATCAGGTAGTTCTGTTACGGGAAAGGGATCTCGATCCAGACCCCAAGAGAAGGTTCTTGGATCTCACGCAAGAAAGAATTCAGGATGAATCCAGAGAGTAAGGTGAAAGCACATTCATTAAGAAAGTATAGTGGTGAAAGAACAGCTGCTCCGTAGCCAGAGTGGGGCATTCCTGAAAGTAAGGGGAGGAATGCATTCACCCTGGGTACAATACCCATTTACATAGGATAAAAAAGATTGTGGGGAGAGTGCTCTGCTACAAGGATTTGTGGTAAAGGATTGATCTTCTTAATTACTATATTTTGCAAGAATCAATATTATTATCTTTAAAGAAAAATTAGGAATGCATCTGTTCTCAAGATATTGGGATATCAGGACACTCCTAAGTCTGGGTCTGTTTAATAACTTTATCAATCTGTTTCCTTAACCGTAAACATCTAGAGGCTGGGAACACCTCACTTCCTGCAAATCCAGCTCAGCAAGCCCCAGCCTCATTTTCCAGCCCTCACTCAAGATAGAGTTGCCCTGGTTCGAACGCGTCTGAAAGTTCACTGAAAATACTGCACTGTTAGTTTTCTAAAACTTGTAAACTGTTGTGACTTCTTTTTCAATTGTAAATAACAGTTTTGGGCCTATGGGTGTGTTAGCATTTTTGCATTGTTTTGCTTTTTAAAAGAGCTCTTACCAACTGGGGAAGTGCTTTAACCCCCAGAGCCTGGGTCTTCCCTGTTCCTGGCTGTGTGTCCTGTTTGCAAGCTGAGCTCATGGGTAAAATGAGGTTTAGAGGGAGGATGAGAGGGAGTTCCCAGCTGAGAATCCCAGAGAACATCTCCTGTGGGAACCTCCTTTCTGAAGGTTCTCAGGGAAGCAGAGGTCAGTGGAATCAGCCACCAGGGTGAGGGATGAAACAGTCTGTCACCTCACATTTTATTTTCCTAATTTTTTTCCCACTTCATTCTTTAGTGATGGAGCAATGTCTAGTGTGGGGAGGTGAGATGTGCATAGAACAATCTTATTTAATTTGTTTCATGAAATGTACTGTCTGCTTAAGCTTAATAAAGTCAAATTTCTGAAAAGCAGGCTCATTAAAACTTCCATAGTAATAGATGAATTTAATTACTTTGACTTAAAAGAAGGAGTACGTTTCTAGGTGGCAAATGAAGAGAATCCGGTCTCATACACTTACACTTATCTGTTTCTGTTATGGAAATTAAGAGCATTAGACAACTAACAGCAGACCAATGCATATAAACCAGAGTTGTTGCCAGGAAAAATATAGTTAGAAGACTATTAACATTTTTTCTCCTTTTTTTTCCCTCCAGTATTATGGAATAAATAAGTTAAAAGAGCCTTATCCTTCAAAGTAATTAAAATTCAGAATTACCTTTTTTGTTTCAGAAGTGTCTGATTTGATTACTTTTTTAATGTACGTAAGTCTCTGAATATTTAGAATCTTGACTCCCACTTTCCCTCCTTTTCATTCTCACCCTCCCCCATCCCATTCACTCTACTGCTAACCTTGACTACTGCTAACCTTGACTACTGCTAACCTTGACTACTGCTAACCTTGACTGCCAATGCTGACTCCCTGCTGGTTCATAGGAATCACTCTGGCCAAAGATCATCCTCCAGGCTTCTCTCTGCTTCCAGCCTTTCTCCCTCCCTGGGACACAGGTGCGGCTCACAGCCAGGTGCATCTGCCCCTTGTCTGCCTCACAGAGCATCTACATAATGCATGGTCCAAAGTCCAGTCTTTGTGTCACTCAGGCTTTCCACACTAGAGGCACTAAACCCAGTTTCACTATGAGCCGTATCTCAGTGGCATCTCTAGCCAGTATTCAAGATAGGACAAAAAGAAATAGAAAAGAAAGTTGTAAAGAAAAGTCCCAAGTTAGTGTCATTTTGAAAATGAGGCTGGATGCAAACCCAGACACCAAGGGTCAGTGCCTCACTCGTGGGCTCACTGATGTGTTCATGGGTTAGAATAAGCACATGGTTTGGCTCCCTTGACACTTCTGAAGTGTACATTCTTCTCTGGGAGTCACTGTTCCCTGCTTCAGTAATCCTGTCTCCCCTGCACTTCCACAAGCGCTCATCCTCACAGAGATCAGGCTCAGGGGAGGAAGACCCCCCTGGCTGGCTGCACCTAAATTACACAGGAGCCTCCCCTCGACCTGGCCAGCCCTGGTTAAGCCGGAGGTTGCACCTTGACAGCTTTCCTTGCGCACCTGGGACAGCCAGGACCTGGCCAGTGCCCACGTGGCTGTGCCCCAGCAACTGTGTTGACGTCCCCTGCTTGCAGCAAGGATGGAGAACATCATAGTGCCCCAGGGGCTCAATCATTCCGGCCTCTATGCTGCATTCACTTCCGGGTCTTGGCCAAGCAGAACATCTCTCTGTTATTCCTCCATCTACTGGAAACATTGGCATCTATCACATTTAGTTGGGACATATTGGTTACCTCAATTATGTATGAGCTTCCTGAGGGTTGCAACCAAGTCTAAGTGATCTTCATCTCTATCACACCAAGCCCAGCACTGGCACGTGGCATAAATTAATAAATCTGTCAAATTAAATGATGTTATTTCAATTTACCGAAAATGTACCCTAAGGCCCCATTTTAGAGTCCTGTGAAGTTACCATATAGTTTTGTCAACCAGACAATAAGCCTGGGTCAGTTAATGGCCTGGGTCTGTTCTCTGGAATAGTCTTGGAAGATGAATTTTGGCACTAACTCTAGTGACGTTAGCAGGTTGACTTGCACCAGCGTCCTCACACAGCTACTCCATGGCTCCTCGTGCCACGCCGCTTACTGCAAATGGAACTTCTTTAAGCCTCTCTTTCCTCCAGCACTAATTCTAATAACCAACAACGATACTATCACAGGCCTGTTAACTCTCATGCTTTTTTTTTCTACTAGTTTCCAAGTAAAAGCTCCACTTGCCATTCACTCTAAGTGTTGGGAAGAAAATTAAAATTGATGAGAACAGAAATGAGTAAGTATGTGTGAGTGTGTATGTGCGGTTATGTGTGAGTCGGTGTGAGTTTTGGGGGGAGTGTTGCAGGGTTAAAGAGGTAAAGAGAACTGGAATATGACTCTGGAAAGGGTGTGGCTTCTCCAATGTATGAGACCTGTTTGGCTTAGAAAAAAATATTTGCTTAACAAGGAGCAGGTAAAGAAAGCATGGGTGTAAAATAAGGTATGATGCCTGCTTTATTGTAGTGTATTATTATACTGTATGATATTATTATTGTCTTATTCTATTAATGTGTTAAGAGTGTTAGTATATTATTGTTTTGTGCATTGGTTATAAGTAAGGATTGTGTGTTAGAATATTAGGGAGTAAATCTTGGCCCTGTCATTTGCTGGCAGTGAGATCTTGGGTACGTTCAAATAGCTTCACCAAGAAATGTATTTTTCAATGGTAATTAGAACACGGTGATTAGTCTTACGTCACTCTCCTGCTGAGTTCAGAATTTCTAGCCTGAAGGAATATAAGCTCTATATGCATCTTGCTATCGAGCTCCAATGCATTGAAAATTTGACATCAGAGGCATCAATGGCTATGGAAATTACTCTTGAAATCCCACAGGAGTGTTATTTTTCCTTTGAATAATAATGCCATTGAAATGTGAAATTTTCAGTGTTACAAAAGCCCCTTCAACTGTTCTGTTTTTCTGTGTCAGATCAGTGGTGTGAATGGAATTATTTTGTCTCATATGATTTGATAGTTTCATTGATTATAAGGTTTTTATTTGTTGTTTTTTTGTTTGTTTCTTGAATGGCCTTCTCCCAGCTGAAGTTATGAGGACTGTAGATTGAGAGGAAAGCAAATGATCTGAAGACCCTCAAGAATGAAAGCAATCCTGAGTAGCATTGTTCTCTCTCCCTTTGGTGCGGCTGTAAATAGGTTTTTAATTCAGTTTAAATTTGTATTTTGTGTTGAAACCTCAGGAAGCCTAAACTCCATCACCTGAGGATGCTGAGGGAACTACATTTTTGTCTTCTTGGGACTAGAAATCCTTAGTCTCTTTGTTAGTGGAGATAACTTGTCAGACATGAGCAGGGGAAGGGAGGGGAACCGCCACCCCTAGGAATGTCAGGAGACCATCAGGTGATGGCCAGGCAGTTGTTACACCTGTATCTCTAAAATAATAATCGGTCACAGCTGGTGCCAGGGAATGGCAGTCTCCCAATAGATAGAAAACCCGGAAACATGATCAGCAGCTTCCCAGTGAGATCTCAGGAGCTGGAAGAGTGAGCTTGAGCATGCACACTAGGAGGCAAAATGGCGGCAGTTAACCGGTATGACCTTCCTCTAGGGACACCAGTAAGGGAAAAACACCTACAGTGAGCATGCGCACAACTTGAGAAAAGACACTGTGCAGGCGGCCCCTCTCAAGTGCTAGCAAGCCTCGGTGCACGCGGACAGTCCTTAGAGAGACAGTGTAACAACCGCCTGACCATCACCTGATGGGCGCCTGACATTCCTGGGGTGATGGCGCCCTCCCTTCCCCTGTTCATGTCTGACTAGCTTCCTAGTGTAACAAACAGACTAAGGCTTTCTAGCCCCAAGGGAAGAATCAGGGGAAAAGAGATGGAGACCCCAGGAGCATGACAAGGCAAAAAGCCCCAAGCCAAAGGTCAAACGGTGCACTTGATCCTTCAAGTCACCCACTTGACCCTCTTCCAAGTGTACTTCTTTTCATCCCTGCTCTAAAGCTTTTTAATAAACTTTCACTCCTGCTCTAAAGCTTGCCTCGATCTCTCACTCTGCCATATGCCCCTCGGGCAAATTCTTTCTTCATTCTGCTAGAATTGAGGTTGCTGTGGAGCCGCATGGATTTGTGGCTGCTAACACACTTTGGTGCTGCGTGACTCAGATATGTTTCCCAGAGCTAACATGTTCTCCACCTTTTACTTTTAAATACTCTTTATCAGATATGTTATGATCCTGTTATTCAATAACCTTGATGGATTGTAGATTTCTTACAACAGGTACATCACCCTTCACAGAAAATGGGAAAATGATTCTTTTTCTCTTAGATTCAAAAACTAATGCTGCCTTTGATCATAGAGAGGAGGGAAGTAGGATTCTAGGCCACTGGGCGTAACACAGAATGGCTGATCAGAAAGGAATTCACAGGGATATTTAAACTACTGGACTCTCATGAGTCCAGGTCATTAATGAGAGACATTGTTGCAATTCTCAAATCTGAGATGTTCTACAGAGTCTAATGAGATATGGATGGATTTCCCGGGGCAGCTTCCTCCAAAGTGTGACTCAGGGGACTGAGCTCTTCTGTCTGAGGGCTGTGCCATCCAGAATCTGTGCTTGCCAGCATGCTATCTTGAAGGTGCTAGAAAAAGGCTGGAAAATTTCACAGAATTCTTTCAAAAGAAGGCCTGGAAGTAGCTTATATTAACTTTACCCACATTTAACTAGTCAGTATACAGAGTCATGGTCCCAGTGAAACTTCAAGGGGTTCTGGGGAAAATGGTCTTCCTATGGCCTAGGAAGAAGAAGATGTATTATTGTCTTGACATGCTTGCCAGCAAGTGCGGCCGTTTTCTGCCTCCATGCTTTGATTTTGTTCTTGCCGCGCTCTCATTAAGTGCTTCTTTTCTGTCTCCCTATGTATTTTTTAAGCCAAACTCAAGTTTTTCTCTGAATACCTATTGAGCTTGAGTTCGTAACTGTAATATGTATCATTTGATCTAGGTGTTCTCCTGTATTATGTTCGAACCATTTTTTATGACTTGTTTATGTTTCTTCCATTGTTAGCTCCTCAACATGATCTCAAAGTGGTTTGCTTGAGAAGTTTTTCATTTGTCCACAAGTGGCTGATCAGTGCTTAAAGAGTTAAGGACAGTCTCTATTTAAGCTTCTAATTTATGAAAAAACTCCTCATTATGTAGGAATAAAAGGAAGCTGTATTAATTTGAAGCAATATCTACTAGAAACATAATCACCATACCTAATAAGAGATCAAAGTTAGGAACAAGAAAAGAAAAACTATTCTGGCATTTCACTGAATATCTAGCCAAAGAAATAATACATGGAAAAGACTTGAGTTTTATGGTCTGTGTATCATTTAGCTTTTGCTCCATAACAAACCACCCCAAACATAGATGCCTAGAGGAACAAATATCTATTTAGCATGTCATTGTGTGGGTCTGCAATTTTGGCTGGACTCAGTTGGACTTTCTCTTTGCTGGACACAGCGGCACTCACTCATGCCACGGCCTGGACAGCTGCTTGACAGTTGATTGATTATTCTTTTAAGCTATTAAGTTTTTGGATGATTGAATAAAGAACAAAACCTAACTAATAGAGATTCGAAGAAAAAAGAGTAAGTGGGCATTATTTGCAGATGATATTCTAGTCTACCATAAAAATCTGATATTGAGATCAGGCTGAATTGGAGAAATGCAGCTGAATCACACTTAAGAAATGAATTTTATTTATACTTATCAGTAAATGTTTGTCACTTGTTGGTGCTGACAGCCTTTTCCCCTAATATAATGCATTTGTGACTATCAGTACCATTTGTACCTCCAATCCCTGTGATTTTCTTTCCATTCACCTAAATAGATTTTCTCTTACCCTAATCTGAGATAACCAAGTGATAAATTCAGGGAAGGGTGAGATAGTTAAATCTTCACGGAACCTGAGAATTCATATAGTTGGCACCCTGGCTAAGAGAGGTTAAATGACTAAGCAAAAATCACAGAGATAATGAATAGCAAACGTATATGTTATTGCTATAAATATTGTACTGCAGGGTCAGAAACTGAGTTCAATGCTTCTGTCATACCATGTGCAGTATTTCATGACTTGTTTCCATTCAAAGGCAGAGGGGCCAGCCAGAATACTCTTAGAAGGAGGAGCACTGATGTGTGAGGTAAATCAATTCTGGTGCCTTCTTATGGGAGAATCCCCCAATACATTTCTATGCATTTTTGGTAATTAGTTATGCTAAATGTTATATGCAACTCAGAAAGTCTTAAAAACAGCACTGATGGTGTATTGTGTTGTTATTTGTAGGACTCTGTTTAAGACATAAGATCATATTTAAAAAATAATCAGTATGTGCTAAAGAAAGCAATTATTCACATGCAAAAGAATGTAACTGAACTGCTACTTCACACCTAATACAATAATTAACTTAAAACTCATCAACAGTACAAATACAAGAGCTAAAACTGTACAACTCTTAGAAGAAAATATAGGAGTAAATATTTATGACTTGGATTTAGAAATTAGTTATTGGATATGACACCCAAAACACAAGCAGTAACAGTAAAATAGATGTTAGATTTTACGTTTCTACATCAATGTACACTATAAAAACATTGAAAAGACAACCTACAGAATAGAAAAAAATATTTTCAAATCATATGTTGCATAAGGGTCCAGAATCCATATTATATAAAGGACTCTAACAATTCAACAACAACAACAAAAGGCAAACAATCCTATTTTTAAAACTGTGTAAAGGACTTGAATTGACATTCATCCAAAGATACACAAGTGGCCAACAAGCATATGAAAAAAAGATATTTACAATCATTAGTCAGTAGGAAAATGCAAATCAAAACCACAATAAGATACCATTTTATACCCACTATGATGGTTATAACAAAAAATAAGGAAAATAGCAGGTGTTATATATTCTTTAAATATAGCAAATAGGACTGTAAAAAATGCAGCCAATGTGGAAATCAGTTTGATAGTTTCTTAAAAATTTAAACATAAAATTGTTATGTGATCCACGACTCCAGTTCTAGGTATACATGCAAAATAACTGAAAACAAGTTCAGAAACAAACACTCATGCATGAATAGTCATAGCAGCACTATTTGTAATAGCTACTGTAGAAACAACCTAAATGTCTATCAACCAGTGAATGGAAAAATACAATATGGTATATCATGCAACATAATACTATTTACCTACAAAAAGAACTGAATACTGTACATGCAACAATGTGGTTCAACCTTGGAAATGCTATGCTATGGAAAAGAAGACACAGAAGGTCACATAGTTTTGATCTTATTTATATGAAATATTCTGAATAGGTAAATCCATAGAGACAGTAAACTGATTTGTGGCTGCTAGCAGCTCCAAGAAGAGAGGAATGGGGAGTTACCGCTGAATGGGTAGAGTTTTCTTTTGGGGGTGATGACAATGTTTTCATACTAGATAAAGGTGGGTTGTGAAACAATCAGAATGAGCTAAATGCCACCAAAAAGTTAATATTATGTTATGTGCTTTCCACCTTAATTTTTTAAAATAGAAAGAAAACATAGATGAAAATCTCCATAAACCTGGATTAGGTAATGATTTCTTAGCTATGACAACAAACAATCAACAAAACAAAACACTAGATAAACTGCATATCATCAAATTAAAAATTCTGTGCTTAAAAAAGACATCATTGAAGCTAAAGAGAGATCATGTGGGATTTTTCTTTCTGTGCCTGGCTTATTTCACTTAGCATAATGTCCTCTAGGTTCATCAATGTTGTTACAAATATTATAATTTCCTTTAAAAAATACTAAATAGTATCTCATTGTGTATATATTGTACTGTCTTTATCCATTCATTCACTGATGCACACTTAGGTTGATTCCAAATCTCACTAATATGTGAAATCTAAAAAGTTGAACCCGTAGAAGTTGAGAGTAGCATGGTAGTTACTGGGGGCTGGGATGGGGAGTTGGGGAGATGTTGGTCAACGGGTAAAAAAATTTGGTTAAACAGAAGTCATATGTTCAAGAGATCTATTGTACAACATGGCAACTATAGTTAATAACAATGTATTGTATTCGTGAAAATCAGAGAGTAGATTTTGTATTCTAGCCACAAAAAGTTAAGTATGTGGTATATTATGTTGGGGTTGTTTTCAGCACAGATTGATTCTGCTAAGAATAACAAATGCCTCCCTTTATTTTATTTTATTTTTTTCCTTGAGTCAGGGCTTCACTCCTGTCACCCATGCTGGAATGCAATGGCGTGATCTCAGCTCACTGCAACCTCTGCCTCCCAGGCTCAAGAGATTCTCCTGCCTCAGCCACCAGAGTAGCTAGGACTACAGGCACATGCCACTGCACCCAGCTCTATTTTTTTTTTTTTTTTTTTTTTTTTTTTTTTTTTTTTGCAGAGATAGAGCTTCCTCATGTTGCCCAGGCTGGTCTGAAACTTCTGAGCTCAAGTGATTTACCCGCCTCGGCTTCCCAAAGTGCTGGGATTACAGGTGTGAGCCACGGCACCCAGCCCCTTTATTATTAATAGTAATTAAAATGTTAGCAATGATGGGTTGAGCTCATTGTGACAAATACGTATATTTTATCTACCTACTTTACATTATCTGATTAAAACCTCACAATCCCTAGGTGATATAGTTATTGTTATTCTAATTTACGGAGATGAAAACAGAGGTATGAAGAGGTTAATCCAAGGTCAAACTATCACTAAGTGACAGAAAAGGAATTCAAACCCAAGGCTCTCAAGCCTCCAAGGTCTTAATTCAGCTATCATTAATGTTTGCTCAGTAGGCCAGTGGTAGTTGTAAAATAGACACAAACATTATTTCGATAATCCTCCATTCAAAAAATAGAGCTTCATTTTCTTTCTCTTGCAGGTGGGCAGCACTTAGTGATCAGTCCCAGATAATACTGTATGGTAGAAGTGTTGGTTGTTTCCAAGCCAGGAAGAGAGGCCTGGAACAGATGGTTCCCTCACGTCCCTCAGGAGGAACCAGCCCTGCCGACACCTTGATCTTGCACTTCTGGCCTCCAGACCTGTGAAACTATGCATTTCTGTTAACTCACCCAGTCTGCAGTACTTTGTTATAGCAGCCCTAGCAAACTAATAAAGACCGGGCTAGGGCTCTGCAGCCAGCAACGTTCACTGTTGCAGCTGGTATCTGGAAAGTCCCTCACCTTGCTGGGTTGTTGTGAGGTTGGATGGAACAGGCCTGTGTCACTGGTGCCTGACTCTTTAGGCTGACGGCTGGGTCATGGAACTATCTGCAGATGGACTGTGGGAAATGGTTCGTTCACCCTCTGTCTCCTATTTTTAACTCCACTGTGAGTTTGTGTAGGTATTTGTGTGTATGTGAGTGTGTGTGTACACATGTGGGAGTGTGTGGATGTGTGTGCTCGGTTTGTGTGTACATGAGTACATGTGAGTGCACGAGTGCGTGCTCATGCAGAGTGCATTTTTAAGTGTGCACATATATGTGCACATGAGCTCCTGTGTGTGTAGGTCTATGTGTATAGAGACGAGTGCATGCCTGCAGTCAGTGTGTGTGCACATGAGTGCATGCATGCAGGAGTGTATGTGTGCCTGAACATGTCTGTAGAGCATGGGCACTTGAACTTGGTAAACTTATTACCATCTGAGTGCCTTTGCCCTTGCTGTCTTCCTAGTCTGGACCATTGATTCTTGTCCTCTCTTGATGAGATCTCAAATGTTACTTCCCCAGAGACATTTTCTTTCACCACTCTACTTAAATTATCACTCTCACCATCACTTTACCTTGTTTTACCTTCATCTCTGCATACCTCTGCAGCAGTCAGTATAGGCTAGTTCACTCTGTGATGGCAAATGCCCCAGTGGATTTAAAGAACAGAGATTTTTCTCTTACTATGGATCTGTTGAGGCCAGTTGAAAGGCTCTGATCAGTGTGGTAGCTCCGATGGCTGAAGAGGCAGGGTCATCCCCTTCATGAGCTGGGCTGGAACTAAAGCAGAGAGAGATTTGAGAAGTTTTGCGCCCGCAATAAAATGCTCTTGCCTGGAAGGGAGACACAAAACTCTGGCTCATAGAGCATTGTTCAGAACTCGTCATTTGCCTTCACCCAACCACACATGGGCCAAGAGTTCCATCTTATCCTTTGGGAAGTTGGACGGCCCAAAATTTAGGAGAAAGCACAAATGGCTACCACATCCATTGTTTAATAACTGTCTCATTTATTTTTTTGTGTGCTGTCTCATCTCACTAGAAAATAAGCTCCAGGGCCGGGGCCCTGTAATCCCAGCACTTTGGGAGGCCGAGGCAGGCAGATCATGAGGTCAGGAGTTTGAGACCAGCCTGACCAACATAGTGAAACCCCATCTCTACTAAAAATACAAAAAAAAAAAAAAATTAGCCAGGCATGGTGGCGGGCACCTGTAATCCCAGCTACTTGGGAGCTTGAGGCAAGGAGAATTGGTTGAACCTGGGAGGCAGAGGTTGCAGTGAGCTGAGATTGTGCCATTGCCCTCCAGCACAGGTGACAGTGTGAGACTCCGTCTCAATAAAAAAAGAAAAAAAAAAAGGAAAAAAAATAAGCTCCAGGGGAGGAGGAATCCCATCTAACTTGCTGATCACTGTCTCTGCGCTGAGAACAGAGCTTGGCACACGGTAACTGCAAGGAAACTATGTATCAAATGCTGTAATGAATGTTAAAAAAACATTTAATTAATGTTTTAATGTTTTAATGAATGAGTTATATCCAAAACATGGAACCCCAATGAGAAGTGTACATTCACAGTATTTTGAAGAATTTGAGACTGTAGATTATTGTGTCTCTAGTTTTCCCTTATATCTTCACTGGTGCACTAAACTGCATTTTATGGAGATTCCTAACTTTGAATGTTCTGTTTCTCTATGGAGTTCACGCTCATCAGACCACATGTCTTGAATCAAGGTTCAGAAAATTCTGTCCTCACACTCCCAGCACCTCTAATTAGGATGAGTAAGTCGACCTGGATCAAAGAAAAGGAACACATTATCACCTTAGGACTAAATAGTGTTTTCAAGGAATTGGCTTTGTGGATCCTGATCTTGCAGGTTCAGAGCTGAAGACACAATCTCCTGCCTTCATTTGGACACTGGAAGCACCACCAGGCTATGCTTTGTTCCCAGCATGGTTCTGACTCTCCTTAGTGGCCATGGGTTGAGGGGGAGGATGATAGTTATGTCAAAGATCAGTCTCTCAGAATGTCCACCGTATCACCCCAGAGCCCTTCATTAGTGCACGGTCAGGAGAACCAAGCTGGTTCAGATTTCACTTTTCATTCTATCTTTTTAGGTCAATTCGTCGTTTTTATCCTCCAAGGGACTGACCTGGTGCTTACCACTTCCAGATGTCATCATTATCCAGACTTCATTTCCATTTCCTTAGAAGGCTCTTACGATTCCATTTCGAAGGCTCTTACGATTCCATTTCGAAGGCTCTTACGATTCCATTTCGAAGGCTCTTAACGATTCCATTTCGAAGGCTCTTACGATTCCATTTCTTACACTGAGGTTTCTGAGTTCAGTTGAAACGACCCGGGCCTTGGGCAAATTCACAGGTACCAGCACCTGAACTCTACATGAATCTGTCTTCCCTTTCCTGGAACCCAGAGAAATGGCCACTCCGGTAATGCACATAATACTCATTTCCTATCCTGGGCCATCTTATTTTTGTATTCTTCCCCTGGACTTAAGCACACTTTGCAAGACAAAACATAATTTTTTAAAATATAATTTTCCATTTTTTATACACAAATCTGGCTCATACTTGCTCAGTGAGACAAAATAAATTCATAATCAACAGACTATCGATAAGAGCACATTTCCATGAAAACTTCAGGAGTGCTTGAGTAGATCTAATTAACAAAGAAATTAGAGAAGTCACATGTACTCAAACCTTTTAACTGTGGTTGACTTAAGATCTAGTTACTTTAGAGTAATAGGCCTATAAGAAAGCTTGTGAGGCTGTTGTAATTAATATAATGGGCCAAGTAGGGGATGCGATGAAATCATAGAGTTTTAATTAATTGGACTCAGGGAAATGCATGTTTCTTGAAGGAGACCTTCTCACTTGGGCAGATTTATACACTTTTGGATTTCAGGAGCCTATACAATTTTTTTTTGTCCATTGAATTTCTACCCACTTGAGAAGTATTGAACAACCATCAGATAAATAGACAGGTATGAAAATAACGTGACTGTCAATGTTATGTTTATCAGATAAATGTCTGATTTTTTAACTGAAATGTCATTTAACATATCAATGTACTTTTGGGCTTCTCTTAACAATTCTACTAAAAATGAGGATTGATGAGAATGAAGGTCCTGTTTGGGCTCATCTTAAAATGTCTCAGAATACTTTCACATTTTAGGTGTTCAAGGAAAGTGGATTGAACTGTTTTTTTCCTATGGATCATTTGGGTTTTTTTCTTGGCTAATGTTTTCTTTCTATCTCTGCTGATCTTGCTTTTATTTTTTTAATTTGCTTTTGTGCTGTTAAAATAATCACATGTGGTATTGTGTCTTGTTTTGAGGTTCCATGATCATTAGTGATGACTGACTCAAAGGCAGATGCCTTTGTTGGAGAAAGCGAATAGTCACAGTCATTTTGAATCTTCTTGAAATCCCCCTTAGGTATCACAGAGTCCATGGAAACAGGAGCTGCCTTTAAGACTTTAACACTGGTGAGGCTTCTTCTGCTAATGGCTGGGTGAATCTTTTCAGATTAATGCTTTCAATTAGAAACTATATATAAAACAACAACTAACTGAAGGCAGTGGAGTGTACACAAAAGACTGAAATCAGCATTTGGAATTACAAAGAACTTTGAAAAAACAGCACAAAACCTCAGAAAAAATAAAAATTATAGAATCATACAAACTGATTTCAAAGCTTACTTTCAAAGATTACTTGACAGTAATCAAAATAGTGTGGTTTTGGCATAAGCATATAGAAATAAGGCTGGGCGTGGTGGCTTACGTCTGTAATCCCAACACTTTGGGAGGCTGAGGCGGATGGATCACCTGAGGTCAGGGGTTTGAGACCAGCCTGATCAACATGGTGAAACCTTGTTTCTACTAAAAATGCAAAAATTAGTTGGGTGTTGTGGTGGGCGCCTATAATCCCAGCTACTCAGGAGGCTGAGGCAGGAGAACTGCTTGAACCCGGGAAGCAGAGATTGCAGTGATCTGAGATTGTGCCACTGCACTCCAGCCTGGGCAACAAAGCAAGACTCTGTCTCAAAAAAAAAAAAAAAAAAAAAGAAAGGATATACAAATAGATCAATGGAACAGAATTAAGAGGCTAGAAATGTATGCATATATATATATATATATATATATATATATACATACATATATACATATATGATCAACTCATTTTCAAAGTCATGACAAGCTAAAGATGAAGAGAAAATATCTGCAAGGTCTATATCTGATAAAAGATATATATGCAGACTATATAGTCCAATGATAAGAAGTACTTATAATGCAATGATAAGGAAATAAACGACCAATTTTAAAAGTGATCAAAATCTTAGAAGAGTACTATAGCAAAGAAGATATACGCATAATTCATAAGCACATGAGAAGATGGTTGATATAATTGGTCAGTAGAGAAATGAATTAAAACCACAATGAGATACTGCTTCACACCGATTAGGTGGTTCAGATGAACAAGACTGACAATTCCAAGCGCTATCCAGGATTTGGGAGCAACGAGACTGCTTATGTATTGCTGATGGGAATGCAAAATTGTTGAAAAGCACTTTGAAAACAGTTGTGCAATTTCTTACACAGTTAAACGTGCCCTTAAAACAAGACCCAACACTTTTACTCATAGGTGTTAAAGCAAACTAAATATGGCCCAAGAAAGGCTCTGTACTTCTTTATTTGAGTCTTTGTGGATGAACTGCAACCTAACTTAATAGGTAGACAAGGTTGAAAACCGAACTTAGCAGTATGTGCCTGTACAATTGTTGAGTCTCGGCCAATCCCAGCAGCCATACTTCAACCAGTCATACACTGCTGAGTGTTCAAACTGTGTTCAAATAAGACAAATGCTGAGCTGTAACCAATCCAGCTGTTTTGGTACCTCACTTCCGATTTCTGTACATCACTTTACTTTTTTATTTTTTTCAAGAATTTTGTTCTGACCACGAGGCACCCCTGGAATCTCTCCAAATCTGCTATGATTTGGGGGCTGTCTGATTCGTGAATCTTTCATTGCTCAATTAAAAACCTTTAAATTTAATTCAGCTGAAGTTTTTCTTTTAACACAGCTGTTAACTAAAACTGTATGCTAACACTATGTTCACACAAAGACTTGAACATAAATGTTATTGCAGCCTTATTCACTACAGCCCCAAACTAGAAAAAACCCAAATGTCTAGGAAGTGAAAAGTGGATAAATAAATTGTGATTTATCCCCACAATGGAATGCCAATCAACACTAAAAAGGAATATATAATAGATGAAAGTGCGTGATTGAATCTAAAAAGAATTATGCTATTTGAAAATGCCAAACCAATGACTACATACTTTATGATCTCATTTATGAACAATTCTTGAAATGCCAAAACTATGAGAGAAAGCATGTTAGTGATTGTTGGGGTTGGGAGGGATGCAGAGGATATTGAATACGATGGAGCAGAGGAGAATGTTTTGGGGTAATGGGAAAATTCTATAGCTTGATAATGATGGCTGTTACATGACTGTATATATATTTGTCAACTTTCATTGATATGTATAGGTAAAATGGGTGAATTTTATTGTACATAGACTTTAGCTAATATGGCTGATTAAAAACAATAAATTTCAATGTGACTAAAATAATCAACTTTGCACAGCATAAGTGTTACATTCAGTCGCTCTCAGCACAGACATCTGTAATCCCAGCTGTTCGGGAGGCTGAGGCAGGAGAATTGCTTGAACCCGGGAGGCGGAGGTTGCAGTGAGCCGAGATTGTGCAACTAAGTGAGACTCTCTAAAAAAAAAAGAAAGAAGAAAAAAAGATATACAAATAGATCAATGAAACAGAATTAAGAGGCTAGAAATATATGCATATGCA
Organism: Homo sapiens; assembly: GCF_000001405.40. Taxonomy (NCBI): domain Eukaryota; kingdom Metazoa; phylum Chordata; class Mammalia; order Primates; family Hominidae; genus Homo; species Homo sapiens. Next base: position 127,400,700 of record NC_000012.12, on the reverse strand, counting down.
TATATATGTATATATGATCAACTTATTTTCAGTCATGACAAGCTAAAGATGACAAGAAAATATCTGCAAAGTCTATATCTGATAAAAGTGAATCCTGGTGCTCTCCTTCACAGCGGTGTGAGCCACCTCTGCCAGGGCCTCCTTGTGCTTTCATCACGAATGCCGTTCACCACTTACCTTCTAGGCATGTGGGGAATTATCCTTGCTGGCCCTGGGGTCAGATGGAAACATGGGACTGCTTACAACCTCACTTCCAGGCCAGTCATTCCATTGTCACACAAGAAAACAACCAAAGCTCTCATACCACAAAGATCACATGTTCCAGATGCAAAGCTGGGTCCATAACGTGAAGCATTTGTGTAAAGACAGGCAAAGCCTCAGACTTGGTGTTTGTAGAAGCATCGAATGAATAACTCTGGAAGGCTAACAAGACAATGGATAGCAACTTTGGCTGAGGAGCTGAGAGGCAGCAATGGGAGAATAAGTTTTCAGTTATCCTTTATGATTTTTAATTTTGAATCATTGGAATAGATAATTTATTCAGAACATTGACATTGTATTATACAAATCAAAATATACATTTTCCAGCAGGATACTCAGGCAAACATGAAAACCCATGGATGTTTGTCTCCCAAAATCTTTACCCAGGGCCCATCGAAGAGTTAAGAAGATCCAATAGCCCTTCTACTGTGCACTGTGCACTGGCAAACACCACATTATTTTTTAAGTCACCCAAACCAAGATTTTTTTCTAGTTTAGAGAGATTTAAATAGAAATTAATTCATTAAGTCATTTTACATTTTATTAAGGGTAATACTAAGAAGAAACAAAAAGACGGACTATTCCTAAAAGTTGCATTTAGGAAGTTAGTTTAAGATGTTCCGGAGCCATCATTTCCTGGAAGGGCTTGAGATATTGGGAGAAAGAAACAGGCAAAGAAAAAAATAATTACACCAATTGTCTTAGCTGTCCCCAGGCTTGTCAGGATGCTGCTGATAAAAACCAGCTAAGCTGGAAGTGAGTGTGAATTGTTAACTTGAGAAATAGCTGTGGATTTGGCAGCTGCGAAAGTGGAGGTGCCCAAAGTATTTGCTCATTATTAAGATTTATCGTTTCCAATTCTGGGAAAGTGTTGGCTAAGCAAAATAAGGCCATTCATACCAGTCTGCAAGGTATATTTTACTTTAAAAATAATAAAATGAGAAGAAAAAGGAGGATGAGGAGAAGGTAGGATTATCTCCTGTGATTTGGAAGTGGGGTAATGAGTTAGCTGAATTGTTAGAAATGGAGTAAAGAGTCAAATAGGACATTTCTTAGAGTGTTTATACTGCAAAAATGTATTTAAAATTGAAATAACAACAGCAGAATTGACCAACTCAGAGATTTTGGTACAAAGTTTCAATGAAGAAAACAGGCCAGTTTGTAGAAAAGTTAGAAAATAATAAATATACAAATGCCTTATGTACCCAACACCCAGCTTTATCAACTCTTAATATTTTGATGTATTTCCTTTGGCATTAAGAAAATATTACAGATAAAATTGGAAGTCTTATGTGCCTTCCTGATTTCATTCTTTTTATCCATTTCCCAAGACTGATGATGGATTTTATGTATCAACTTGACTATGATGAGGGATTCCTAGACAGCTGGTAAAACATTACTCTGGGTATATCAGTGAGTGTTTCCTTAAGAGATTAACATTTTAATTGATGGATTGAGTAAAGGAGATTTACTCTTACCAACGAGGGCTACAATCGATCCTCTAGCTTTTTGAACATAGGTAATACAGTTGTAACTCTTGAGTGTCGATTCCTAGTAATTATCCATACCGGATATGTACTTCATTGTTTTCATCGACTAGTTTTTCTGTTCATTCAGGGTCATGTTTTTCTTCTTCTTTGAATTCATGGAAATCTTTAGTTGGATGTCAGGTGTTGTGGATTTTACTCCATCGAATGCTGATGTTTTTGTATTCTAATAAATATTCTTGAAATTTGTTCTTGGATGCATTTATGTTACTTGAAAATTTATCCTTTTTTACTATTTCTTTAGGGATTTCTCAAGTGGGACGAGTACTGCGTTTAATCAAGGATTCAATTTTCCCCACTACTGAGACCACAATCTTTTCAACATTCTAGAAAACGGTGGCATAAACACCCTAGGATGGCCCCCAATGAGTCATACCTTTGTGTAAACCTCTCTCCTCCAGTGTGGGCAGAACATGTGTGTGATTTGCTTCTATCTGATACAACACGGCAAAAGCAATGACAGGTCACTCTTGTAATTACATTATGTTATATAGCAAAGGTAAAGGGTTTGTCAGATGTAATTAAAACCTCTTATCAGTTGGCTTTAAATTAAATAAAAGGGAGATTATCCAGTTTGGCCCTGACCCTTTAAGCGACGGTCTTGAGGTCGAAGACTCTATAGCAGCAGTTACTTTCTCTCTGTTTCTGCCTTTGAAGAAGCAAGCTGCTACTCATCCTACAGCCTCGAGGCAATTAATCCTGACACCATGAGAGATCTTGGAAGGAGATCCTTCCTCGTTTGAGCTCTGAGATGGAACACAGCCCAGCCAGTACTTTGATCTCAGCTTTGGGAGACCCTGAGCAGAAGGTTCCCCATCCACAAATTCTATGAGATAGTAAATGTGGTTTGTTTTAACAAACGATGTTTCTGGTAACTTGATACACAGCAGTTGAAAACTAGTGCCATGAGATTTACCTGTCTGATGGATTTTTTCTATTTTATGGAGATTTAAATAGAAATTAATTCATTAAGTCATTTTGAATTTTATCAAGGATAATACTAGGAAGAAACAAAAAGAGGAACAATTCCTAAAAGTTGCATTTAGGAGTATAGTTTAAGATGCTTTTGGAGCCATCATTTCCTGGAAGGGCTTGGGATATTGGGAGAAAGAAACAGGCAAAGAAAAAAATAATTACAGCAATTGTCTTAGCTGTCCCCTGGTCTGAGGTGTGTTCTCTTTAATCGTTCGGGTGGTTCTTTCTCTGTTGTAGGCTAGCTTCTTCGTTCATATATCCACTGGTACTCTCGAATTCACAAGAGGGACCCACTGCTGGTCTCCAGAATTCTCTCCCAGGGCAGTCGTCTCTTATTGAGTGCTCTGTTTTTTGATCAGCTCATCGGTGTTCTCCCTGTACCTTCATCTCTGTCTCGTCAACTCAGTGCCTGCTGGGCATAGTCTGGGTTCCCTTTTCCTAAGCCATAGCCTGGAAACTCCCTCAAAGGGAGATACCAGGGCAACTACACATCTCAGCTCATTGGTTTTCCATCTCTCAAGCAAGGAAGGATCAC